>NT_167248.2:675614-1008898 GCF_000001405.40 Homo sapiens
GGCCAGACTGCTTTTTAATGCACCTCCTGATCCTGTTTTTCCTCACTGAGTGGGAACTTCTGGGATCCCCAGCCAACCCTGCCAGTGTGTTTGGGCTGGTAACAGGTCCATTCCTTCCTGGAGCAGAGCTCCCAGAGGGAGGCGCAGGCCGCCATCTTTGCTGTTTGACAAACTTCACTGTTGATACCATCAGGTACTGGAAAATCTGAAGTGACTAGGGACTGGAGCAGATCCCCAGAATATGGTAGCAGCTCTATGGAAAAGTGGTCAGACTGTATGTTATGTGGGTCCCCAATCCTGTATCTTCTCCTGGGGCAGATCCTCCCAGCCTAGTCTCCAGTCACCCTTACACTGGGACTATTGAGCCAGTAGCAGTTCTGCAATGCCCTGGGACAAAGCTCCCAATGGAAGGGGTGGGTTGTCATCTTTGCTTTCTCACAGTCTTCATCCTTGTGTCCCCAGGCCCTGGAGAGTCTGTGGGACCAAGGGCTGGTTGGGACCCATAACACAGAGCATCCACATCATAGAAAAGTGGCTGAACTGTTCTCCATGCAGATCCTGATCCTCACTTCTCCTCACTGGGCAAGGCCACATGACCTGGGACTCCAGCACAATCACCCAGCTGCCACCTGACCACTTCAATCAGAGGCAGTTCTGCAGTTAAAGGAACACTCACACACAGAGATGAGAAAAAAAAAAAAAGAACTCTGGCAACTCAAATGGTCAGAGTGTCTTATGTCCTCCAAATGATCACTCTAGTTCTTCAACAAGAATTCTTAAGCAGACTGAGATGGCTGAAATAACAAATAGAATTCAGAATATGGATAGGAATGAAGATAATTGAGATTCAGGAGAATGGCAAAACCCAATCCCAGGAAGCTAAGAATCACAATAAAACGATACAAGAGGTGACAGACAAAACAGCCAGTATAAAAACAACCTAACTGACCTGATAGAGCTGAAAAACTCACTAAAATAATTTTTCAATGCAATCACAAATATTAATAGCAGAGTAGACAAAGCTGAGGAAAGAATCTGAGAATTTGAAGACAGGCTCTCTGAAATAAGAGAGTCAGACAAAAATAAAGAATAAAAGGAAAAGGAATGAACAAAACCTCTGTGAAATATGAGATTATGTAAAGAGGCCAAATCTACAAATCACTGGTATCCCTGCAAGAGAGGGGGAGAAAGCAAACAACTTGGAAAACATATTTCAGGATATCAACCATGAAAACTTCCCCAATCTTGCTAGAGAGGCCAATAGTCAAATGCAGGAAATACAGAAAACCTCTGCAAGATTCTAGACAAGAAGATCATCCCCAACACACAAAATCATCTTATTTTCCAGGACAAAATGAAAGAAAGAATGTAAAAGGCAGCTTGAGAGAAAGGGCAGGTCACCTACAAAGGGAACCGTATGAGGCTAACAGTGGACCTCTCAGCAGAAATGTTGAAAGCCAGAAGAGATTGCAGGTCTATATTCGATATTCTTAAAGAAAAATTTCTTTAACCAAGAATTTTATATCCAGCCAAACTAAGCTTTCTCTGTGAAGGAGAAATAAGATCTTTTCAGACAAGTAAACATTGAGGGATTGTATTACTAGACCCACCTTACAAGAGATCTTGAAAGGAGTACTAAATATGAAAAGAAAACACCATTACCAGCCAATACAAAAACACATTTAAGTACACAGACCCGTGACACTATAAAGCAACCAGACAAACAAGCAGGCATAATAACCAGCTAACAACAAAAAGACAGGATTAAATCTACATATATCAATACAAACATTGAAAGTAAACAGGCTAAATGTCCCAATTAGAAGGCACAGAGTGGCAAGCTGGGTAAAGAAGCAAAATCCAATTGTATGCTGTCTTCAGGAAACCCATCTCACATGCAATGACACCCATAGGCTCAAAATAAAGGGATGGAAAAAATCTGCCAAGTAAATGAAAATCAGAAATAAGAAGAGGTTGCAATTCTAATTTCAGAGAAAAACAGACTTTAAACTAACAAAAACGAAAAAAGACAAGGAAGGGCATTATCTAATGATAAAGGATTCAATTCAACAGGAAGATCTAGATATCCTAAATATATATGCACCCACAGCAGGAGAATCCAGATTCATAAAGCAAGTTCTTAGAGACCTACAAAGAGACTTAGATGCCCACACAATGGGAGTCTCCAGTAGGGTATTTCAACACTCCCCTGACAGTACTAGACAGATCATCAAGGCAGAAAATTAACAAAGATTTAAACAAAGATTGAACTCAACATTGGATCAAATAGATCTGATAGACCTCAGAACTCTCCACCCCAAAACAACAGAATGTGCATTCTTCTCATCAACACAGGCACGTACTCTAAAAATAGACCCCACAATTGGACATAAAACAATCCTCAGCAAATGCAAAAGAACTGAAATCATACCAAACACATTGGTGGACAACAGCTCAATAAAAATAGAAATCAAGACTAAAAAAATCACTCAATCCATGCAATTACATGGAAATTAAACAACTTACTCTTTAATGAATTTGAGGTAAGTACTGAAATTAGTGCAGAAATCAAAATGTTCTTTGAAACTATTGAGAATGAAGATACAACATACCAGAATCTCTGGGGCACAGCTAAGGCAGCATTAAGGGGGAAATTTGTAGCACTAAATGCCCACATCAAAAAGATACGAAGATCTCAAATTAACAACCTAACATCATAAGTAAAAGAACTAGAGACAGAAGACAAAACCAACCCAAAAGCTAGCAGAAGACAAGAAATAACCAAAATTAGAGCTGATCTGAAAGAAATTGAGATGAGAAAAACCATACAAAAGATAAACGAATCCAGGAGTTTGTTTTTTGGGAGAATTAATAAGATGAATAGACTCCTAGCTAGATCAATAAAGAAGGAAAGAGAGATGATCCAAATAAACACAATCAGAAATGACAAATGGGATGCTACCATTGACCCCACAACAATACAAATAATCATCAGAGACATGATGAATCATGAACACATATGCACATGAACTAGAAAACCTCGATGAGATGGATAAATTTCTATACACATACATCCTCCCACGTCTGAACCAAGAAGAAACTGATTCTGTGAAGAAACCAATAACGAGCTCTGAAATTGAATCAGTAATAAATAGCCTACCAAACAAAGGGGGAGTGACTCCTCCCCAACTCATTCTATGAGGCCAGCATCATCCTGATACAAAAACCTGAAAGAAACACATACATGAAAGGAAAACTTCAGGCCAATATTCTTAATGAACATAGATGCAAAAATTCTCAACAAAATGCTAGCAAACTGAATTCAGCAGCACATCAAAAAGCTAATACAAAATGATTAAGTAGGCTTTATCCCTGGGATACAAGGTTGGTTCAACATTTGCAAATTAATAAATGTGATTCATCACATAAACAGAACTAAAAACAAAACTCACATGATTATCTCAATAGATAACAGAAGAGGCTTCCAATTAAGTTCAACATTGCTTCATATTAAAAATTCTCAATAAACTAGGTATTAAGGAAAATACCTCAAAATAGTAGGAGCCATTTATGACAAATCCAAAGCCAACATCATACTGAATAGACAAAAGCTGGAAGCATTCCTCTGGAAAACCAGCACAAGACAAGGATGTCCTCTCTCAGCACTCCTATTCAACATAGCATTGGAAGTCCTGGCTAGAGCAATTAGGCAAGAGAAAGAAATAATGGGCATTATAGGAAGAGAGTAAGTAAAACTATTCCTGTTTGCAGATGACATGATTCTATATCTAGAAAACCCCATAGTCTTGGTCAAAAAGCTCCTTCAGCTGATACACTATTTCAGCAAAGTTTCTGGATACAAAATCAATGTACAAAAGTCACTAGCATTCCTATACAGCAACAACAGTCAAGCTGAGAGACAAATCAGGAACACAATCCCATTCACAATTGCCAAAGAAAGAATATAATACCAAGAAATGCAGCTAACAAGGCAGGTGAAAGGTCTCTACAATAAGAACTACAAAACACTACTCAGAGAAATCAGAGATAATACAAACAAATGGAAACAGATTTCTTGTTCATGGGTAGTAAGAATCATATTGTTTAAATGGCCATACTGCCCAAAGCAATTTACAGATTCAATGCTATTTCTATCAAACTACCAAAGACATTCTTGGTAGTTTCTAAACTAAAGTTTAGAATACTAGAATAAACTAGTTTATTCTAGAAAAACACTTTAAAATTCATGTGAAACCAAAAAAGAACCTGAATAGCCAAGCAATTCTAAGCAAAAAGAACAAATTTGGAGGCATCATGTTACCCTACTTCAAGCTATACTACAGAGCAACAGTAGCCAAAACAGGTTTCCTGAAAAATACCAGGGTATTCTTTCAGGAAAGTCCCAAAAATGGGAAAGTAAATCCATATCTCTGTCCTAGGAAATAAAAAGAAATTTGACTAAGAAAACATATTAAGCCATTGAGACCTGTGTTGGCCATAGTTCTAAAACTAACGAACAAACTTAGTAAGGAAAAAAAAAAAACAAGAATGAAAAAAACAAATGAAACTTCACACAGGAATTCCCCAAGGCCACTGATTCATATTACAGGTGTGGAAAGGCATCCTGCTAATTCCTAAAATCTTTCTCAACACCAGGGGACACTCTCCCTTTGGATTTCTATGTCTAGAGACCTGTGGCTCATTAAAAGGCAGACTGATTTTTCAGAAAGAGAGAAAGAGGTTTTTAAAGATGAGTTTATGCTGCAATCCCAACATGAACTATTACTTCAAATATGTTTTAACTTTTATAATCACTGGGAATATAAACATGAATAGCTTCCTTAACTGTGAATCAGAACACTCAATCAGGTAAGAGAATGAACTAGGAGACAGGCTGTGAAGTTACACATAATCTCAATATGTTAATGAATGATCTATCTACTTGCTAGTATTAAACACCCAGTATCTAGATCTCATTTTCTATCTAATGGTGGACTCCTCATTGTGTTTGTGAGATATGAAGGCCCTTGACTTACCATGTTTTTATTGCCATACCTTGTTCTCAATTCAACATATCTAGTTCTCTAGACATTATCCAAAGCAAACATGTGATTTCTAAATGGTGAAATTTCAGTGAAGGAAACGATTTACTACAGACCACTCTGACTGCTAATTTTCTCAGAAGCTAGGAATATATGTTTTACCATATGGATTTTTGGGACAATTTTGTTTTCTGGGTCCAAGAACCAAAAATTATATTTGAAATATAATTTGTATTTTAAACAGGAGTGGTAATTTTTAAATATACAAAATATACATGGTCATTCAAGAAAGTTATTGTGAATTATTTGAAGGCAGTCCTTCATGGAGGTATAGTAAAAGTTAGATTGTTTTTCAAAACTTCTTCCCAGCTATGAAGCCAAAAAACCCATGGGCTCTCTAGAAGTGTTCCCTTGTTCATTATTTTTTTTTACCCTAGTCACATCAAATTATATTCTTTTCTCCTCAGTGGTTTCTAAAACCTTGAATGATACTCCTTTTATAGGAAGCACTCCAATGTCAGCATCTCTTTTCAATTTCTTTACAGTTCTACTAGCTCTCTCAGTGCCTCTCACTTCTGTAAGTTCCCCACACATCCTGACTTCTTCCCTCCCAATATACAAGAGCTAATCCATTACAGCCTAATGAAAAGAACAAAGAAGAAGCTACTTCACAATATTATGTCTGCTTTTATTAGTAAACCTAATGAAGATAATACCAGTACTTTGCAAATTATGGAGAAAAAATTTTTCTAGAAAATGTAATGGATCTAGAAGAGAAGAAGGTGAATTTCACTTGAGGTAGAATATTCCTTAATATCTGATGAGTGAGTTTATTTCAGGCAAAATAAAAACAGAACTTAAGAAAATAGATCACAAGAGAAGACAATTTCAAGAAGGCTGAATATATATTTTGAGGAGAGGTTAGTATTGGTGAAAAAAGAAGAGAAACTACTGAATCTATCAGAGGAAATACTATTCTTATCCAGGGATTCACAGATTTCCTAGGAAAGAAAGAGTCTAAGATCAACTGGTGAATAAAAGCACAATAACATTTGCAATGAAAAAAATAATTTGGGATTCTATTTCAAAAAATGTATAAAGGGTCAGATTATAGGAAGAAACTGAGCTCATCATCAGATATAATAGTGATGAAATTTTAAATATTCAGGTTAATATGTGATTAATGTGGTCATGTTTCTTACCCCAGTAGGTCACTGCGACATTTCAGGGATGTGGGTCAGGAAGAGATCAGTAAGAGAATATCTCTAATTCATTTACATTCTAAAATGAGGAAATGCAATTACTACTACTCTTTCAAGATTTAAAAAAAAAATCGTGGTTTTGATGCATTGAAACCTGTCTTTTTATTTAAGTTAACATCCTACTGGTGGTTTCTTACTAGGCCAAGAGATAGCTATGTGGTATGCTTAAAAATTGCCCCCTGTGAGAGCTGCTTGGGAAGATGAAAGGAAAGCTGTGACCGAATGAAGATATTCACAGGCCCAGAGATGTGGCTAATGCCTGTAATCGCAGCACTTTGGGAGGCCGAGGCAGGCAGATAACTTGAGGTCAGGAATTCAAGACCAGCCTGGCATACACGGTGAAACCCCATCTCTATTAAAAATACAAAAATTAGCCAGGTGTGGTGGTGGACTCCTGTAATCCCAGTTACTTGGGAAGCTGAGGCGAGAGACTCTCTTGAACCCAGGAGGCGGAGGTTGCAGTGAGCCAAGATCACACCACTGCACTTCAGCCTGGGAGAAAGAGTGAGAATCTCAAAAAAAAAGAATGAAAATATTCACAGCCAGAGAAGACTGTAGGCTAGCAACGTTTTCTGATTCCTGGGAGAAAGAAATATATTAATGAAAAACATAATAAAAAAATAGTTGTGTCAGAGATCATAACAGATATATATATATATATCTTTAATATTTAGCCATCTAAAAGCCAAAAATGTAAAACTTGTGAGGTTGAATCATGCAAAACAACAATACTCTCCCTCCAGATATTCTTGGCTTGGTAAGAAAATTCTGAGCTGGAAGGATTCTGATTGTGATTAGTGTTCCATACATTATTTTGTCTTTTGTCTGAAGCAATGCTGAATACAACCTCAGTCACTGAATTTCTCCTTTTGGGAGTGACAGACATTCAAGAACTGCAGCCTTTTCTCTTCGTTGTTTTCCTTACCATCTACTTCATCAGTGTGGCTGGGAATGGAGCCATTCTGATGATTGTCATCTCTGATCCTAGACTCCATTCCCCTATGTATTTCTTCCTGGGAAACCTGTCCTGCCTGGACATCTGCTACTCCAGCGTAACACTGCCAAAAATGCTGCAGAACTTCCTCTCTGCACACAAAGCAATTTCTTTCTTGGGATGCATAAGCCAACTCCATTTCTTCCACTTCCTGGGCAGCACAGAGGCCATGTTGTTGGCCGTGATGGCATTTGACCGCTTTGTGGCTATTTGCAAGCCACTTCGCTACACTGTCATTATGAACCCTCAGCTCTGTACCCAGATGGCCATCACAATCTGGATGATTGGTTTTTTCCATGCCCTG
The DNA here is from genome assembly GCF_000001405.40 of Homo sapiens. Taxonomy (NCBI): domain Eukaryota; kingdom Metazoa; phylum Chordata; class Mammalia; order Primates; family Hominidae; genus Homo; species Homo sapiens. Next base: position 683,217 of record NT_167248.2, read on the forward strand.
CTGCACTCCCTAATGACCTCTCGCTTGAACTTCTGTGGTTCTAACCGTATCTATCACTTCTTCTGTGATGTGAAGCCATTGCTAAAGCTGAGCTTAATCAGTGGCTGCTCAGTACTGTCACAGGGACAATCGCCATGGGCCCCTTCTTTCTCACATTACTCTCCTATTTCTACATTATCACCCATCTCTTCTTCAAGACTCATTCTTTTAGCATGCTCCGCAAAGCACTGTCCACTTGTGCCTCCCACTTCATGGTAGTTATTCTTTTGTATGCACCTGTTCTCTTCACCTATATTCATCATGCCTCAGGGACCTCCATGGACCAGGACCGGATCACTGCCATCATGTATACTGTGGTCACTCCAGTACTAAACCCACTGATCTACACTTTGAGGAACAAGGAAGTGAAAGGGGCCTTTAATAGAGCAATGAAAAGGTGGCTTTGGCCTAAAGAAATCTTGAAGAACTCTTCTGAAGCATAAATAAACAATTAAAAAGATGAGTTTGTAATTACATTGTTTCTTAAATTATTTAGAAATGTACAACAGAGGGAACTGGATAAAACAAAAATATATGGAAAAATATGCTGTAGTTGTATTTAACAATGCTTTCCTGGATTATATAAGGGACATTTGAATGAATGGGATACTAGCCATGGAACTCTACTGCTGACTATGTTTTGAAGATATCAGTTGATAAAATTGATGTTAGGTTTTTTATATGTTCTTATGATGAAATTGGGTATAGAAATATGCCTGTTTTTCCCATATATCAAATATATGGATAATACTTGGGTCTATTTATCTATCTGGTCCCTCTAGGTTAATGCATTATAATATTATAAATAAAATTATTATGCTTTGATATTTTGAGGATTTTACTTTAGGGCCATAGTTACTCAACTGGAAAAGAATATGCTAACTGACGTATGAGTTAAGGAGAATTTTTAAGGGGTGGGTCTTGATTTCTTATTCTTCAAACAAGGAGACAAGTAATTAAAGCAAATGACATTGTAATCACTAAATAACAACAACAACAAAAACCCTGACAGTTCATCTAAATAGTTTTGGCACCTCTGTCTCCAGATATCTCTTATTAGTCAACTGTCCACACCCTCAATGATTACTTAAAATATTAAAAATCGGAGATAATTTAACAAAGCTCTTAAGACTCTTTCAATCTCGTTAGGATGTTATTGTTCCCTCAGCCTTTAATTGCGGAAGATGACGACTTTATCAAAATTTTATTTTCTTTTTCTTACTTGGCACCAAACTCATACTAAGCAAAGGCATAGAAGTCATAATTATTGAAGTATTTCTAGACATGAACTGCTATGTTCCTCACTTTTTAAGTTCCTATAAATGGCTTCTGTCCCTGAAAAAATGGTGGATTCTATAATTTATAAATATTTAAAGAATAGACAGAAAATACTATGAAAAGGCATTTTAAGCTGGTGGACTGACCCTTCAAGGTCCCTGCATGCACTTTTGTAAATCTAAACAATTTTATTCTGACTTCTCTCCATGCTTCTTTTGTCTTCTAACTTCACCTTCTTTGGTCCCTCAATTCCAGTTTAGTTTATAATAAAACAAAACAACAATGTGTGTGTGGAGATGGCAACTCCTAATCTCAACTGTCCCACACTATCAGTAATATATTTGATGCATATTTTTATACAATATGTTTTTTCTGTCATTTCTGGTGGTGAGAATCTGCCACATAATTCAAACTTCAGAGAGTTTGTGAACTGTAGAAGAGCACATGGGGTTCTGGTTAACTATTAGTGCATAACACATTAGGACCCCAAAATTCAATCGCTTAAAACACTTAAGTTACATGCTTTGTTGGGTAAGAAATTTGGAAAAACACAGCAGAGAATGGTTGACTCTGATCCATAATGTCTCTGACCTTTGCTGGAATGACTTCAGTCTGGTCACGGAATAGCTGAGAGCTGAGTAAGTCTCTCTCTCTATTTCTTTTTCTCCTCCCTTAATTGCTCCTTGTGACTATCATATGCTTCTTCAACAGGGAAGCCTCAGACAGACTTTTTCATGTTCCAGTAGACCACGGCAAAAGCTGCCAGCCTGGGGCTGAGATTGACCAGTAATAAAATGTCTCCTATTCAAAAAAGCCCAGGATCTGATGGCTTTATTGATGTATACTACCAAACATTTATAGGATAATTAATGCCAATCTTCTTAAACTCACTCAAAAATATGAAAAGGAAGAAATACTTTCAAACTCACTTTATGAGGTCAGCATTACCCTAATACCAAAGCCAGACAACGCAACTATAAGGAAATGCAGTTACAGGCCAATATCCCTGATGAACATAGATGCAAAAATCCTCAATGAAAACTAGCAAAATGAATTCAACAGCACATTAAAATGATCATACACCATGACTAAGTGGGATTCATCCTTAGGATGCAAGAATGGGTTAACATACACAAATTAATAAATATGATATGCCACATTAACATACTGAGGGATAAAAACCATATGATAATAGGTGCAGAAGAAGCATTTGATAAAATTCAATATTCTTTCATAACTAAAAGAAACTTTCAACAAATTAGGTATAGAAGAAACATAGCTTAATGTAATAAAGATAATGTATATCAAGTCCACTGCTATTCTCATTATCAGTGTTGGAAAGCTAAAAGCTTTTCTTCCGATATCAGGAGCAAGTCAAGGAGGCCCACTTTCACAATTTCTCTTCAATATAATTCTGACATTCCTAGCTATAGCAATTACACAAAAGAAATAAATAAAAGGCATCCAAACTAAAAAGGAAGAAGTAAAATTTTCTGTTTGCAGATGACTGGATCTTACATCTAGAAAACCCTAATGACTACACCAAAAACTGTGAGAACTAATAAATTTAGTTAAGTTCACAGGATACAAAATTAACTTACAAAAGCCAGTTGCATTTTTACAACAATGATCTATTTGAATAGGAAATCAAGAAAACAATTCTATTTACAATAATATCAAAGGTAAATAAAATACTTAGGGATAAATCTAACCAAGAAGGTGAAAGATCTGTACCTTGAAAACTATAAGGCATGGATGACAGAAATTGAAAAAGATACAAATAAATGGAAAGATATTCTTTATTCATGGATTGGAAGAATTCATATTGTCAAAATGCTCATACTTTCCTAAGCAAACTGTAGATTCTTTACAATCCCTATCAATATTCTAATGGAATTTTTTACAGAAATAGCAAAAGTACTAAAATTCTTATGGAACCACAAAAGACTCCAAATAGCCAAGGCTATCTTGAGCAAAAAGAACAAAGCTGGAGGCACAACTACCTGAACTCAAAATATACCACAAAGCTATAGTAATCAAAACAGTATGATACTGGCATAAAAACAGATACATAGAACAATGGAACAGAATAGAGAGCCCAGAAATAAATCTATGTACTTATGGTCAGTTGGTCTTTGGCAAAGGTGCCAAGAACATACAATGGGAAAAGAATAGTTTCTCCAATAAATTGTGTTGGAAAAACTTAATATTCCACCTAAAGAAGAATGAAATTAAACCATTGTCTCAAACAATACGCAAAAATCAATTTAATTGGATTAAAAACTGAAAGGCAAGACCTGAAACTAAAACTACTGGAAGAAAACAGGGAAAAACTTCTCAATGGTGGTCTGGGAAATGATATTTTTAAAATATCATACGTAAAGCACAGGAAACAAAATCAAAAATAAATACGATTCTACCAAACTAAATAGTTCCTATTTAACAAAAGAAAACATCAACAGAATGAAGAGATAACCTATGAAATGGGAAAACAATATTTCATAAAGAGTTAATATCCAAAATATACATTTTTTAAAAACTCAATAGCAAGAAAACAAATAGCCTAGTTTAAAAATGAGGAAAGAATCTAAATAGACATTTTTTCAATGAAATAGATATTTCCACACAAATGGCCAAGTGTATTTTTTAATGTTCAACATCATTAAATCAAAGGAAATACAAACTACAACCACGAGATATCACTTCACATCTGTTAGAATGGCTTTTATCAAAAAGACAAAAAATAACAAGTATTAATGAGGATATAAAAAGAGAACCTTTGTACATTGTTTTTGGGAATTTACATTTGTACAGCCATTATGGGGAACATATAGAGATTCCTCAAAAAACATAAAGGTAGAAATACCATATGATTCAGTAATCCCACTTCTGGGTATATGTCTAAAGGAAATAAAATCAGTATTTCAAAACCAAACATTGTATGTTCTCACTGATATGTGGGAGCTAAGCTATAAGGATGCAAATACATAAGAATGATACAGTGGACTTAGGGGACTTGGGGTGTAGAGTGGGAGGGGGGGTGAAGGATAAAAGACTACAAATACGGTGCAGTGTATACTGCTTGGGTGATGAGTGCACCAAAATCTCACAAATCACCACTAAAGAACTTACTCATGTAACCAAATACTACTTGTACCCCAATAACCTATGGAAAAATAAAAAAAAAATTAGTATTTCAAAGACATATCTGCACTCTTGTGTTCATTGCAGCATGATTCTCAATAGCCAAGATACAGAATTAGCCCAAAGGTCCATCAAAACAGAGAAGTGGATTTAAAAATGTGACCTATATAATGTGCATATAGCGTGGTGATTATAGTTAACAATACTGTATTATATACTTGAAATTTTCTAAACTAGAAGATCATAAATGTTCTCACCACACACATACAAAAGGTTGTAACTATGTGAGGTGATGGATGTGTTAATTGGCTTAATTGTGGTAATCGTTTCACAATGTATACATATCTCAAAACATCACAGTAAACATCATAAATATATACAACTTCATGTGTCAGTCATACCTTAATAAAGTTAAGAGGAAGAAAACGACCACCAAACCCTCTAGGCAGGGGAATATATCAATAGGAACTTTAAAAACTGAAAAGCGAAGAAAACAAAGACTTATTAAAGCAGAGAAGAATATTCAAGGATTCTGGAAAAACTCCAAAATATGTAATACATACAATGGGAATATCAGAAGGAGTAGAAAAGTAGATAGGAACAGAAGAAATATTTGAAGCAATAACTGAAAATTTCCCCAAATTAATATGAGACATCAAACTTCAAATCTAGGAGGCTCAAGGAATACCAAGAAGCATAAATGCCAGAAAAACTATGGCTAGGAATATCATTTTTAAACTATGGAAAATTAAACAAAAATCAGAAAGTCAAAGATTTTTTTTAAATCATGAAGAAGCCAGAGGATAAAAAATACCATACCTTTAGGGAAGAAAAGATGACATCTGAGTTCGCAGAAGCTACAAAAGTTAGAAGAAAATAGAGTGAAATATTTAAAATTTTTGATAGAAGAAAAACCAATCTAGAATTCTGCACTACATGAAATTATCCTTCAAAAGTGAATGAGAAATAAACCTTCTCAGAGGAACAAAAATTGAGGGAATTTATTGCCAATAGACTTGCCTGGTAAAAAGTGATAAAATAAATTTTTTAGAGAGTAATAAAATTATACAAGTGAGACATTTCAATCCACCTTTAAGAACAGAAGAGCATTGAAGAAGAAATAAGTGAAAGTAAAATAAAAGAAAAAATATCTAATTACGTATGCTTATGTAAGTGTGTGTGTGTGTGTATGCTTTCATATGCTTAGGATGGTTTCATAACTTTGCTCTTGTGAAAAGTGCTGCAATTAACATACACATGCAGGTGTCTTGTTTGTACCATGATTTATTTTCCTTTGGGTAGATATCTAGTATTGGGATTGCTGAATCAAAGGGTAGTTCTAATTTTAGCCCTTTAAGAAATCTTCATACTGTTTTCCATAGAGGTTGTACTAATTTATATTCTCATCAACAGTATATAAGCATTCCCTTTTCTCTGCATTCTCACCAACATCTCTTGTTTTTGACTTTTTAATAATAGTTACTATTACTGGTATGAGATGATATCTCAGTGTGGTTTTAATTTGCACTTCTCTGATGACTAGCAATGTTGAGCTTTTTTTATATGTTTGTAGGTTTTGTAGGCTGATTGTATGTCTTCTTTTAAATGTAAGACCTGAAACTATAAAAATTTTAGAAGAAAACCTAGGAAAAACTCTTCTGAACATTGGCCTAGGCAAAGAATTTGTGACTAAGACCTCAAAAGCAAATGCAACAAAAATAAAAATAGACAAACAGAACTTAATTAAACTAAAAGGCTTCTGCACAGTGAAGGGAATAATCAACAGAGTAAACAAACAACCTACAGAATGGGAAAACATATTTGCAAATTATGCACCTAATACGGGACTGGTATCCAGAACTTACAAGGAACTTAAACAACTCAACAAGAAAAACAAATAAATAACCCCATTAAAAAGTGGACAAAGGAAATTTTTGTATTTAGTATATGCGTGAAATGTTTGTATTTTAAAATGTCAAAAGAAAAAAAAATTAGTACCTAACATTATCCTTTCGCACTGTGCCAAGAGTAGACATTCATTATAGTGCTTTTACATCTGTGAACACCCCCACTACATTGTGATCATTTCCTAGATTCCTTAACAGCTGGTAACAACCATGGAAATTAGGTCCTACCAATCAGCAAGACTATGCATGTGGAATTCAGTCTTCTCTGCATGAAACAGAGGAATCTGGTCCTTCTGGAGCATCAGTGATGGATCTAGAAGTACTCTAGGGTTGAGTAATGATGACAGTGATATTTACGCCAACAAGAGACCCTCTGTGTTTCTGCATCTCATTCCTGGCAGAATAATTCAGAGTCTGACTCTCTTTACCTACAGGATAGTGTGTGAGCTATCAAATATTATATAAGAAAAAACAGCAGCTTAAATTAGCCAGGGTAGCTTATGTTGTTTGCAACTGAAACCACACCAAGAAAATTCACTTCTCTCAATTACTCACTCCTGATTTTAGTTACATATGCACACAGACACACAGAATAGAGCCTGATATGGTTTCGTTTTATGTCCCCACACAAATCTCATCTCAATTGTAATCTCCCATGTCAAGGGAGGGACCTGGAGGGAAGTGATTTCATCATGGGGGAACTTTCCCCCACGCTGTTCTCCTGACATATACACTAAGTAAACAGAGCTCTGGTCTATATAACCCTGGGAACCAACCACATCCTCTCTGTACTACTTACCTCCAGACTTCTTTTACTTGAGAGAAAAATTAACTTTTACTTACATGACAATTTTTACTTTTAAAACTTTGTATTGACAGTTTCTAATAGCTAAGTGTGATTCCTGGCTGACTGATATATAATGTACTAGAGAGCCATTTATTAAAATGGTGAATTTTGGAATTGAAAAAGGAACATAAAAACATTTGGAATAAAAGTTAATCATCACCTTTCCACAATGGATGATTAAAGTATTAGGGAAAACGTTAATTAGAAACTGAGTAATTGATAGATCTGACTGATACCACCTCAACTCACTGGACAATAATATAAATAGCATCTCTAAGAGTGGGACAACTAAATATCATGTGTCTCAGGATATGATGCAATAAAAATAACATAGCAACTTAAGTCAATGGCATGACAAAAAAGTGGGGTCTGCTATGTTATAAAGGGACTGGAAAGACAATAACAAAATACATTGTGTGAACCTTGTTTAGATCCTAATTTTAAGAAATTACTTAAAGATCAATGGAGAAATTTGAACATGGCTTGTGTATTAGATGATATAAAGGAAATACTGATAATTGTGCTAAGTATCATAATGGTATTGTGGGCATGGTTTTTTAAAATGTCTTTATTAGTCACAGATTATACTAAATACATATGTGGAATATGTACATACATAACTTACACAACATAATAGTTATACAACATCTGGAATTTGCCCTAAAATTTTCCATGAAAACTAACAAACAAGGAGCTGTAGCTAATTAAAATAAGATTAGCAAAATGTTGATGTTGAAGCTGGATGGTGGCTACATGGAGTACATGGGGGTTCACTGTGCTCTTCTCTTTTATGTATGTTTGAAATGTTCTACAAGAAAAGAAGTTTAAAAGAAAAGGAATTCAGCTTTAGATTTTTAAAAACACATATCCTTAGATCTTGCAATTTAGGTGCTAAAAGTTTATTACAGGAAAATCCAGATGTAAACAATGTACAGTAAAAGAATAGAATACAACTAAAAATTCCCAAAATAGAATAACAAATCATGTTTAGCCATACGATGAAGCCCAGAAGAATAAAGAAATAGATGCTTGTTAATAGAAAAAGTTGTTCGTGACACAGTGTTCAGTGGAAAACCAGATTACAAACTCCATGATCCAACTTGTATGTATAAATATAAATACACATAGAAAGAAATTTTTAAATGTCATACAACAATAATATAAAAAACAATATTTCTAGGTTTATTTTGGTATTGCTGTATTATTTTTAAATATTTATGACATATTTAATAAAGAACTAATCAAAGTTTAAATAATTTTGATTATTTGACATGGATGGAATTGGAGGCTACTATCCTTCGCAAACTAACACAGGAACAGAAAATCAAATACCGTATGTCTTCACTCATAAGTGGGAGCTAAATTATGAAAACATATGGATACATAGAGGGGAACAACACACTGAATCCTACTTGAGGGTGGAGGTTGGGAGGAGGGAGAAGATCAGGAAAAATGATTAATGAGTACTAGGCTTAATACCTGGGTGATGAAATAATCTGTACAGTAAACCCCCATGACACAAGTTTACCTATGTAACAAACCTGCACATGTACCCTTGAACTTAAAATAAAAGTTAAAAAATTGTTGCCCTATCATTTTCATTTTTAGTATAACTGCAGAAGAGTTCAAAGAGAATGGTCGAATAAGACAAAGTTACTCCTCTCCAACCCATCCTGGAAGAGTCCCCAATGGAGGTGTCCGAAGTCCAAAATAACATCTTCATTACTCTCCTTCAATCAAGTGTTTCAGTTTGTTTGATACAGAGAATCTTCCGAAGTGCCTGATGCACCTCCTTGTTCCTCATGGTATAGATCACAGGATTGAAGAGAGGGGTGACCACAGTGTAGAGCAGGGAGAAGACCTTGGAGAGGAGCTGGGAATGGACAGCAGAGGGTGCAACATAAAAGATCATGAGCGTTCCATAGAATGTGGTCACTACAGCTAGGTGGGAGGAGCATGTGGAGAAAGCCCTTCTCCTGCTTGCCCCAGCAGGAACTCTCAGCACTGCCACCACAATTCTGGCATAAGATGTCAGAATCAGTCCAAAAGGAATAGTGAGGCAGAACACAGACAGAATGAGAGTTGTCACCTGAGCCACTCTGGGATCCGAGCAAGCCAGGCCCACGAAAAGCATAAAGTCACAGTAAAACTGGTCAATGTGGTTGGGGCCACAGAACCTCAGCTGGGCCACCAGGGCCACAACCAGTCCATCTACCACAAATCCAGAGAGCCAGGTTGTGACCACCAGCCCCATGTACCGTCTGGGCCCCATCAGGAGTGGGTAGTGGAGTGGGTAGCAAATTGCCAGGTAGCGGTCATATGCCATGACAGCCAGCAGTAAGCATTCAGCTGTGGCTAGAGAGCCGAAGATAAAGAACTGGAGCAAGCAACCAGCCACAGAGATAGTTGCTTCTTGCAGGAAGCCCTCCAGCATTTTTGGCATCACTGCGGAGGTGTAGAGAATATCCAGGAAGGACAGATTCGCCAAGAAAATATACATGGGTTTGTGGAGCCTCTGGGAGCTAACCACTGCTACAATAATCAGCATATTCCCTATGATGATGAAGACATAGACAGCAGTGAATACAATAAAAAACAAGAAATGCAGTTCAGGGATGTCATAGAAGCCAAGGAGGACAAATTCAGTAATAGTTTCGTTTCCTGTGGAGACAATTTCCATGTCGATCGTCCAAGTTTCTGCTTGGCAATAATTGGGGGAGAAATTTTAGCATGTCTCTGCATCTTCTATACCAAGCCTAACGTTATTAGAGCTAAAACAAAACAAAACAAAAAAGACAAAAATGAGTCTCTAAAACAAGACTCGCTCACGCAAGTCTTCAACTATCCCCCTTCTTAGTTGTCATTCCTTCCTCAACTCTCATCCTTCCCTGCCTTCCTTAATTGTGCATATTCTTTAACGCTCAGAAGAGTTTATCCAAACTCATAATTTTAGTCTTTCAAAGACCTTTACCCCATTAATTCAATCTACTACCTCTTTCGCATAATCACCTCTATCATTCTTATCTGTATAGTCAGCCATAGCCTCCTTCTTGTGCACCAGTATAATATTCTCCAAATGTGTGCTATATAGACATGGCCCACAACTGCAAACTCTTCTATCTTTCTCAATCACAACCAATTCCTCTATGAGTGGTTTGAGAATTCTGTCTAATCCCCATGGTCACTATCTCATTCTTCTCATTATCTCAACCGCCCCTTTCATTCCCCATCTCCTAATCAGTGATACCTTACCAACTGTTCCTCGGATAATTCTTATATATTCTTCACTTATTGCCTTCCTTAAATAGTAGTTTCATCAAGTCATTCAGGAGTTGGTAGTGAAAATGTGGTAAATGGTAATAGGGAAGGAAGTAGGTGCCATGGGAGCAGAGAAGGACCAAACCCAGCCTGGGGTTGTGGGGCAGAAGGTGTGGGATCAAGGTCGGGGAAGGCTTTCTGAAGATAGAAGCAAGTAGGCTAAGTTTTGAGGGCCAATTAAGAGTTGGCCAGGAGGCCGGGCTTGGTGGCTCACGCCTGTAATCCCAGCACTTTGGGAGGCTGAGGCGGGTGGATCACGAGGTCAGGAGATCGAGACCATCCTGACTAACACAGTGAAACTCCGTCTCTACTAAAAATACAAAAAAAATTAGCCGGGCGTGGTGGCGGGCGCCTGTAGTCCCAGCTACTCGGGATGCCGAGGCAGAAGAATGGCGTGAACTCAGGAGGCGGAGCTTGCAGTAAGCCGATATCGCGCCACTGCACCCCAGCCTGGGCAATAGAACGAAACTCCATCTCAAAAAAAAAAAAAAAAAAAAAAAAAAAAGAGTTGGCCAGGCAAAAGACAGGAAACCAGACCAGGCAGGGCATCCCTGGCAGGAAAGCATATGCAAAAGCAAAGAGTTGTAATTGAGCATGACACTTCTAAATATCTGAAAATGGCTCTGTCATACCTGCTGGAAGGTTTTCATATGCTATTCAAAGCAATATGTGTTTATTAACTGAAGACAATGAGAGAGAATACAGGGAATGATTAGAAACAGTTGAGAAAGGTAGAGAAAAAAAGCAGATATCATATAAATAAATATAAATACATAATACTAACAGTGTTACTTTCTAGAATATGGGATTAATAAACATACATTATATTTATTATCACAAAAAATGTAAGTTATCTTTAATACAAATAGTCTAGAACATCAGTTTCCTAAGAGGTGAAAAACTGGATGCCTCAGGGACCACAGTGCTGGGAGCCTTCACGGCACACTGTTTTGTAGTTTTGCCTAAGACCAAATCTGCCTTTTGAATGGAATCCCATTTTCCATACCTCTGCTCATTGCTAACGTTAAATCCTCGAAGACCCAGCTTAAGAACTTATCTCTACCAAGAATCCCCCTTGACTAATAGAGCCCTTTATTTCTCTCCCAATCATGTACTAAGGATCTAGTGTATAGAAGATATTACATCTGTTTCTGAGGATAGTGGGCCAAACAAAACTGGTCCATACTCTTAAGGAGTTTACACTCTTGTGTGACAGATGGACATATCAACAGAAAATTGCAATACGCCAAAAGACAGTTAATGAATTCAACCTGAAAGAAATAGTACTAGGAGGAAGTGATGCTGAACTGATGAGTGATTGCAGTGGAAAATGGAAAGAATGGAGGTGAGGGCATTTTAGGTAAAAGGAAAACCATGAGTACACACTGAGGCAAGAAACAACATTGGATGTGAGGAGGAGAAAGAGGTAGCAGGGGGTAAGTAGCCAAGGGTAGCTCAAACAATCCCCTCGATTCTGAAGGAGAATTAGGATTGAGGTGAAGAATGGGGGAAGACAGGGAGAGAAAGGGGCCAGGATCAGAGTCTGGGGACCCTTGCTTGTCACAAGAAGGAACTAGAGCTTCATTCTATAGGCAGCAAGGCACAGCTGAAGGCTTTTAAACAGTACAGTGGCATGTTTCAACCTAAATTTAAATAGTATTATGGAAGCTACATCCAAGGTAACAAGAGTGAAAGAAGGGATGGCCCCACTCATCTGATACCTGATGTGCAAATACATGCTGCCTTGAGTTCATCATTAATTATCTTATGGTATGCACTTTCTCTTTTCCAAAAGACTAAAAGTTCATTTAGCACAGGATTTAAATTTTTATAAGTGCTACTGTACCGAAGTCTTACAAAAAGATATATTCTCAATGAATACTTAATGTTTAACACCATGTCTTCCTTAACCTAAACCCATATGAATTGATCAGAGAAGAATGCTGTTCTTCATAGACTACAAAATTCCACAGGTTCTGTTATTGCCCTCCAACTCCCGTCTCTAAAGCTATTCTCTTACCCTTTGATCCCATCTGCATTTCCTTGTGAGTGAATCTGGCACTCCCTATGTGGGCCATCTTTAACTCTAGATTATTTTATCTGGTCCAAACTCATTCTGAGGCTTGGAGTCTTTCTATAGGATTCCTGCCAGGAGAGAGGTGAGCATGTAAATCAGGCAAGAATACCTCTAATAATAAATAGCTCATGACCACTACCTCCCCTGGAAATCAAGAGTATCATTGGAGCTGGAGGCTATTATTTTAAGTGAAATATCTCAGAAACAGAAAGTCAAATATTGCATATTCTCATTTATAAGTGGGAGCTAAATAATGTGTGCACATGAACACAGAATTCAGAATAATAGACATTGGAGACTTGGAAAGGTGAGGTGGGAAGGGGTGAGGGATGAGAAATTACCTAATGGGTATAATGCACACTATCTGTGTGATGGTTACACTAAAAGCCCAGACTCAATCGCTACACAATATATTCATGTAACAAAACTGCACTTGTACCCCTAAATCTGTAAAAGTAGATATGAAAAGAAAAGAAATGGGAAAAACACAGAAACAGTAGGATATATGAGAGGCTGTTATTCCCTTAAAGACAGAGGGGAATCAGGGAATAGAGGAAGTTGATGAATTTAGAGTTGAAAACTCCAAGGAATAGAGCTGAATTTGGAATTGGAAAACTCAAAAAACTGCAGGAAGAGTTTGAAATCAACAGGAATTTCACCATACTGACTGGTAGAGAAGTGAGAATAGTGCAAAATGCCTGTTTGTTGTCTAACGAACAATCAGCCACACACTCAATTCTAAGTAAAAACCATAACCCTCATTCAACCCAGACTCTGAGATAGCATAGAGTCCTTAATTAAAACGAGCAATTCAAAGAATATTCCAGGAAAAAATATTTTAAAAAATATATACAAAACTGTACATTTTAATTCATCTTTAGGTATTAGAAAAAAATTTATTCTCATATTTTGAAATGTCTGCTAAACAAACATGTTATGTTTGTAAGCAGAAAACCAAAAAGTTAATTCAGTTTGATTTTTTTAATCTGTTAATTCTCCTCAAGTCTCTTCAGTAATTACTCCATAATAAAACATTAAAATATACTTAAAAGGTTTTAAAAGAAAACAGTATAATTTTAAGTATATCCCAGTTTTGTCAAGCCATGGGATAGCAGGAGGAAAACTTTCCACCATGAAAACATTAGTATGAGGGTGTCTCGCTTCTTCCTACTCTGTAACATATCAACTGAAGCTTGGGGAGCATGAATATCTACTGTTCCCCATCTCCAAAAGAGAAGAGAGAATTAAAAAAATAAGTCAGTATGCACCCAGAAGGATTAGAAATCAACTTTTAAAAACATCCAATGGAGAAAAGAGCAGCACTGGTATTCTAGAGAAATACTGCGGGACTTCTTGAAATGATTTTTAATAAAAGACTTTTTGACTCTCTGGGTTAATTGAAAGTTGCTAGTGATTACAGGATAAACAGCTATAAAAACCAGCCATTTAACTTTTTTAAAGAATCTGTGAACTAAGCTGTAAAGAATTTTACAAAAATAAACGTACCCGAAATATCGACCCTGTTCTCTAAAGACAGGACTGTGAGGAGGAGATGATCTGCTAAGATTTGCTGAAGACTTCAGAATGTTGGAATTTCCTACCTTCAGCTCCCTCCCTGCTTGAGCTCAACCTGAAGTAACGTAGAACATTGATTACAAATGTCACCCTTGTTACCCTCCACTCCTGAGCCATTTTCTCTTCCACCCTCCATCCCCTTTTCTAGCTCTCAGGCTATTCTGTCCTTTCATCGCAGTCCTTTCCCTCTATCACATGGGAGGGCAGGAAATTGCCACAAAGGGAGAGGCCCCTGAGAACCAATTACAGATTTACTGGAGAGCAGCCTGAAATGAGCAAGACATAGCAGGCCCCTAAGGAAATTGTATTTTTTCAAAGGCGGTTTCCTGAACTGTTGGCTTGACCATAAACGGAGCAGAAACCAAAAGAGCCAAATGGAGCCCACCTTTCCATCCCCTTGGGGACAAATGCTCTCCATTTCACCAAACATCTAAAGCCCCAATTCCTAGTCTCCATAACTCACCAGAAAATTCTGATTTCTCTGCAACATCCCTAAATTCCCCATTACCAACAGTGGTCCTCCCAGCAGCCTGCCCTCAACTTTCATTCTCCAATCTACAGCCTCCAAATCGCCCTCTTACCATCCCAGGCAATTGTTTCAATAGGTACCACCCTTAGTAGGGGTGTTTTATATAGATCATCAAAATCTTGCCAATGCTGAGCCTGATTTAAGGAGAAGGAAGGTGGCGTGATGTTACAAAATGACGTTGAAATGGTTATGTAGCGTTTCAATATCCTTCCTGACCAAATTACTGCCCAACAACTTTGTCTGCCACTACTCCCTTTTTTGAAGCTTCCACAGAAATCAGGCTGATATATTTATTTCTCATCCCTAGGAGTGTGTTGAAGGCACTTCTGTGTCATTTATCAAACTCAGACCCTAACTTCAGCTCCACTTTCTCCCTGACCAACCGAGAACACTTTTTCTCTGAACTACGTTGTCTACTATCTGTAGTTCACAGTAAATGCCACCCTATTTTTTCTTGGCAGCAGGAGGGGTTCTCTTAATCGTTTATTTTTTTCATCAAACAGCAGCATATGCTAAAAGGTAAGTATATGTGTCTTGAAAAGAAAACTTTTGGAAAAATGTAGCATTTTTTAGTTAGCCTACATTATTATGATTTTTAATTGACAAATTAAAATTGTATATATTTATGATGTATAACATGATGTTTTGACATATGTATACATCATGGAATGACAAAATCAAGCTAATTTACATGAACCATTACCTCACATACTTATCATGTTTTTGTGATGAGAACACTCAGATCTACTCTTTTAGCAATTTTCACATATACAATTCATTAATTATAGTCACCCTTTCATATAATAGATCTCTTGAATTATCTCTCTTGTCTAACTGTAATTTTTGTAACCTTTGACCAATATCTTCTCAATTTTCTCCCTTTCTTCCAGCCCCTGGTAACCACCATTCTATTCTCTGTTTCTGTGAGTTTGACTTTGTAGATTTCATGTAGAAGGGAGACCATGAGGTATTTGTCCTTCTGTGCCTGACTTATTTCAGTTAATATAAGGTCCTCCAGATTCATCCATGTTGTTGCAAACAACAGAATTTCCTTCTTCTTTAAGGCTGAATAGTATTCCACTATGCATATATACCACATTTTCTCTATCCATTCATCTGCTGAGGGATGCTTAGGTTTATTCCACATCTTGGCTATTGTGAATAATACTACAATGAACATGAAAGTGTAGATCTCTCTTCTTATTTCCTTTGAATATATACACAGACAAGGGATTGCTGGGTCATACAACGGTTCTATTTTTAATTTTTTCAGAATTTTTCAGAAACCTCCACAGTGTATTTAATGACTGTACTAATTTACGCTTCCACCAAAAGTGTATGAGTTCTCCTTTTCCACATTTTCATCAACATTTATCTCTTATCTTTTCTGTAGTAGGCATTCTAACAAGTGTGAGGTGATATCTTATTGTGAATTTAATTTGTATTTCCCTGATGACTAGTGATGTTGAGCATTTTTTCTTGTACCTGTTTGTCATTTGTACGTCTTCTTTTGAGAAATGTCTATTCAGGTGCTTAGCTCATTTTAAAATTGAGTTATTTGTTTCCTTGTTATTGATTTGTTTAAGTTCCTTATATAGCTTGAATTTTAGCCACTTACATGTATCATTTACAAATATTTTCTCTCAACCTGTGGGTTGTCTTTTCACTCTATTGTTTCCTTTGCTGCGGAGAAATGTTTTAATTTGATGCAATCCCATTTGTTTACTTTTGGTTTTGCTGTCTGTGATTTGAGGATCATATACAAGAAATCTTGCCCATACCAACGTCATGGAACTTTTCTCCTATATTTTCTTCTAATAGTTTTACAGTTTGCAGTCATATGTTTAAGTCATTAATCCATTTTGAGTTAATTCTCATATATTGAGTGTCATAAGGATCCAATTTCATTCTTCTGCATGTGGATATTCAGTTTTCCAACATCATTTATTAAAAAGACTTTTCTTTCACCGTTTCATGTTCTGTTTATATGATCATATGGTTTTATCTTTAATTCTGTTAATGTTATGTATCACATTTATTGATTTGTGTGTTGAACCATCCTTGCATCTCAGAGCTAAATCTCACTTGATCATGGTGAAAGATCCTTTTAGTATACTGTTAAATTTGGTTTGATAGAGAAACACAACTTCAGAGATAATTCAAGTTTAAGATGGGAAAGTCTGACTAATCTTAATTCTTACAGATATTTTAGCAAACTTTTTGTCAAAATACATTTTATGGACTTTTTAAGGTCATCAGTTCAGACCACAGTCCCATGGATAAAGACAAGGATCTGTGGGGAGTAGATGTTTGTATTGTTAATCACCCTGGTGAGAGGTTAATCCTGGGGTATAAATGAAGTCTCCAAAAGTAGGTGATATATTAGCATGAAAAATACATTTCTACCTTCCCTTGTGTCCTGGGGTCAATTTGGCCTAAACTGCAAGACGTGAAAAGATTATAAGTAGTTCCAAATGAAATGAAATATACCCTTGGCCACATAAATTACCTAGTGGAATTCAAGTGTGTGTGGATCAGTATAACAGCATATAATTCTCTGCACTACATTTACTTTCCACTAAGTTAGAACTACAGTAAATTATTCTATAAGCTACAACTTGATATATGTTGTACTAGGAGAATTCTAAGAGGGCCTGTGGCCTTGCTTAGAAAAAGCAGGTACAGGGGACAGTGGTTGCTGTTCCCACAGCCAGGGTGGAGAAAGCAATGTCAACCACTGCAAAGGATGACAAAATAAAAAGAGTCAGTCAGCTCTCACAGAGCAGCAGCTTGAAGGCACAGAAAAGACACAAGAGAGGAAGGACCAGAGGAGACATTCCTGAACACATCTTGCAAACTCTCAGAAGTGACTATGGGATGCTTCACGGGGGCTAACTTCAAGCTCAAGTTTGACAACCATTTATGTTGTTTGGCTTTGGTCACATATATATCCTATTTTGTATCAGTAATTCCAGTTGGAAAAGAAACCACACATTTCCATGAGTCTCCCATGTTACTAAAATATTTCATAAGCTCGAGCTCAGTGATGTTTTCTGATTATTTGTTCCTTAGACTCCAGCCTAGGCATCCAAGGCAATCTGAATCCATAGAAACTTTAATAACAGTACATCATGGACCTAACCCAAAATATTGTTCAATCTCTTATCTTTGAAAACTTCTTGAGGATTAACAATATATTTTAATACAAAAGAGATAGTATTCAACCCAGCAGGATTTTACAAAAACAAATTATAGCTCTTTGTGGTTTCTGTTAGAGATTTACATAGTCTTACCATTTAGATTTCTTCTTCACTAGACTACGAATTAGAAGTAAATATTATCCAGGGCAGATGGTGTATCCTATTCATCTTTGTATCCCAAGAATATTTTAGCTGTGTCATAAATGATTAGTGAATAAGTAGCAATGCATGAATGCATGAATGAAAAAATAAAAATGGTCACTTGATTCATAATCCCTGGCCTTCTAAAAATATATTAACACAATGTCCGGTTGAAAAGAAAGTTCCAAACATTCCACCAGTAGACATGACTAGCAATAGAGTTGACCTTCATTATTTGTGGATTCAGTATTTGCAAAGTCACCTGCTCCCTAACATCTATTTTTAACCCCTAGCTCAATACTCACAGCACCTTCGCAGTCGTTCATGGACAAGTGCATGAACACAGTGACAAAAAGTTTGAGACACACTGTATGCATCCCCACCTGATGCTGAGCAAGGAAACGCTCTGTCCTCTTGTTTCAGCTATTATACTGTAAACAAGTGTCCTTTTCATGATTTCCTGATTTGCTGAATGCCATATTTTTCACATTTTTTGTTTGTTTTTTGGTGATTTCATAATTCAAAATAGCCCCAAATGTAGCGCTGAAGTGCTGTCCCATGCTCCTGAGCACAAAAATGTTGCAATGGATCTTACGGAGAAAATGCATTTGCTAGATAAGCTCTGTTCAGGCATGTGTTATAGGGCTGTTGGCTGTGGGTTCAACGTTAATGATCAACGATATATATTATATAAGATGTGTTTAAACAGAAACACACTTACAATAAGGTTATTTATTGATCAGGTGACAAAAATGTGACCAAAAACTCATAGGAATCTAACCCTGCATCTCCCCTAAAGCAAGGAATTATTTAATATTTGCTCCTACAGGGTTCAAGGCAACTTTATAGAATGCAACTGCAGTGAATAATAAGAATCAGCTGTGTCTGCATTTTAAAGATGAGAAATATGAGTCTCATTAAAATGAAGTGAATTGTACAAAGTTATAGAATAGGTTAGTCATAGAGCCAGCATTAAAACCCTGGCCTAGTTCAGTGCTCTGTCAGCTGTATCTTCAGTTCTGAAAATGCAATAAGAAAAGATAAAATACGGAATTCAGTCGGCCAGTGGCCCGCAATCCTCTTCTCTCGGTTCCTCTTTCCTCGCTCAAGATGGCGCTGCTCGCGAAGCGTTCTTGGCGTTGGGCGGCCGCAGCGGCTGCTTTCGAAAAGCGCCAGCACAATGAGATACCATCTCACACCAGCTAGAATGCCGATCATTAAAAAGTCAGGAAACGACAGGTGCTGGAGAGGATGTGGAGAAATAGGAACACTTTTACGCTGTTGGTGGGACTGTAAACTAGTTCAACCATTGTGGAAGTCAGTGTGGCGATTCCTCAGGGATCTAGAACTAGAAATACCATTTGACCCAGCAATCCCATTACTGGGTATATACCCAAAGGATTATAAATCATGCTGCTATAAAGACACATGCACATGTATGTTTATTGTGGCACTATTCACAATAGCAAAGACTTGGAACCAACACAAATGTCCAACAATGATAGACTGGATTAAGAAAATGTGGCACATACACACCATGGAATACTATGCAGCCATTCTGCATCTTTCTAATGACAAGAATATTCTCCAGCATAACCACAATACTATTATTACACCCAAGGGAATTAACATTGAACCAATAATATAAAACCCATATTCAACTTTCCCACTTGTTCCAAATCTTTTTTATAGTTGTTTTTATTTTGTTTTGTTGATGACGTAGGATCCAGTCAAAAATCATGAATGACATTTTATTGCCATGGCTTTTGGTCTTCTTCAATCTGGAACGATGTCATCTCCCATCTTTGCTTTGTCTTTAAAGACATGGATATTTTTTAAGAGTTTGTGTCAGTTGTCTATAGAATATGCCACAATATGGATTTGTCTGACTGTTTTCTTATACTCCAATTAAACATTTTTAGCAATAATACTACATAGGTTACACTAAGAGTGGACAAATAGCAATCCAAATTATTCTACTCCATTCTGTTCCCTGTAACATTAATGGCATCATCTTCAGCCATAACAGGGCTACACTCTGGGAGTAGATGACTGATGAGCTGAGAGAAAACAGATTCCTGAGGAATTCTGGATCAGAGCAGCCATATTTCCCTGAACTACAAATCTTTAGACATTTAAGTGAGAGATAAATTTTCATTCTCTTTGAGCCATTGGCATTTCCATTACTTTCAGCCAAATCTAATAAATAAATGAAATGATAAAATATAAAGGAGTCAGAAGAAAACTAAGTACGAAATCCAGTTTATGTAAACCCTGAACTTCTAGTTATATAAATTAATAAGTAAATTTATTACTTAAACCCGTTGGAGTTGGGGCTTGTTATAATGGTTGGTATGTCTTGAAAACATTCTATTTGACACACAGCTTTTATCACATCTATGAAAATGTATAAAAACACAGAAGAAACAAATCAAATAATAGATACCAATGATAAAAATGCAAAGAAAGATTTGTATAATAAATGAAAAAGAAATCAAAGCAAGAAAAATTAGTGACAATTGTATAAGAAAATGACATTTAGCACCTCAATTAGGTCAAAACATGTTTATTTCTCTTTTATATTATTAGTTACCTGTAGAATCAATAAAACCTGCAAGGGACCCTATAAATAGTTATCAAATAAATTGATTACTGGATTATATCAATATACATAAGAAGGGTAAAATTGCATTATTACTTTTTGTAGATGTACTAGAACATCTACAGTGATGGGAAAAAATCATGAGAAAAAAGAAGAAAATTAAAATGGTTGAACCAGAGATATGGGAGAACTAAGAGAAACCAATAGCTCTGGATATATTCTTTGAAATGTTCTTAACAGGTCATTCTGTATTTCTTGCAATCTAAGAAACAGATTCAAAATAACAGATTAATTGGTTTTGTGAAGCATTCTCCCCATTGGAAAGCCAAGAATGCTTGGAGACTCAGATCCTCAGAGAGCTTAAAGAGAGACAACAAACCTAAGAGAGGCTTCCTCAAGAGGGATCCACTATGTAGATAAAAAAGAAGATAAGCAAGTCACAAATGCCATCTGCCTTCACTGGTTATTTCTCCAAATAGAAAATAGAAAGACACCTTTGAGATAATATCTTCTGGAAAACACTGAAAGAGCCCCCAGAGGAGAATGAACCAAGGGCTCTTCAACTGCAAAAGGATATCAGTGTGTGGACTTGTATTTCTAATACACAACCTTGAATATGGCTGGAATATTGAATTTGTGTATATATTCAAGTGTATCTTTGGGTGTTTATAGTTTTATGTTCAGTGTATTTAGACTTTTACTGTTATCTGTAATAATGCCAATAGAATACATGATTTGCAACTTTAGATAAATCTGGCATCTGGGAATATTAGGCTATTCTTCTGTGCCTGTATTTTGAAATATAATTTGACAGTGTGTGAATTTGTGGAGTTTATGTGTGTAGTTTGGGGATTTTCATGTTTACAATGTAAGAGGACTAAGTTTGAAAGTCTGTAAGATGCAGAAATAAGCAATTAAGGAAGTTCTTGTCATCTTTTGCCTGAGCATGTTTTAAAACTAGAGAAATGCTCACCCCTCTAAATAGTTGAACTGTTTAATGCTATAGGAGCTTAAAAAGAGAGGATCTTTCTCATTTTTTTTCTCCTCCTTGAACACTGTGAAATTTATGGTAAAATGACAGAAAAAGAAGAAAGACTAAGTGAATCTGGTAACTAAAGAAAGAGCTGGAAAAAAGAAAACTAGAGGGCAAGAGGTGATAAGAGAGGTCACCTCTTATCAGACAGGAGACAAGTTGATGGAGAAAAAGATCTGCTATGAGGGAAAATTCTGTCTCCAGCCCTGCAGGAAGAATTGGAAAATCAGAAAAGAGTGAAAAGGGAGCTAGACTGACTTAATCTTCAGCCCAGGTAAAACTGGAAAGACAGTTTAACATGTTCTTTAGAATGATAGGCACTATCAGGAAGAGATGAAGTCAGGGATTCAGGCTCAGAGAGACAAATACTCATCCAGGATCCCAAGAGTGAGCAAGGGTGGAATATGGACTCCAGGCAAGGCTGCCTAATTTCAAAGTCCATGATATTCTAATAGAAAGGGAGATCTAGTGCTGCGATCAGATGCAGAGAGAGGTCATCTTTGCCCATTTCACGATTCCATAGTTGTGATTTTTCCTTGCCATTTCTTTTGTCTTCCAGTCAAAGGTATGCAGGCAGGATGAGTGCAAACACCTCCATGGTGACTGAGTTTCTTCTTCTCGGCTTCTCCCACCTGGCCGACCTCCAGGGCTTGCTCTTCTCTGTCTTTCTCACTATCTACCTGCTGACCGTGGCAGGCAATTTCCTCATTGTGGTGCTGGTCTCCACTGATGCTGCCCTCCAGTCCCCTATGTACTTCTTCCTGCGCACCCTCTCGGCCTTGGAGATTGGCTATACGTCTGTCACGGTCCCCCTGCTACTTCACCACCTCCTTACTGGCCGGCGCCACATCTCTCGCTCTGGATGTGCTCTCCAGATGTTCTTCTTCCTCTTCTTTGGCGCCACGGAGTGCTGCCTCCTGGCAGCCATGGCCTATGACCGCTATGCAGCCATCTGTGAACCCCTCCGCTACCCACTGCTGCTGAGCCACCGGGTGTGTCTACAGCTAGCTGGGTCGGCGTGGGCCTGTGGGGTGCTGGTGGGGCTGGGCCACACCCCTTTCATCTTCTCTTTGCCCTTCTGCGGCCCCAATACCATCCCGCAGTTCTTCTGTGAGATCCAGCCTGTCCTGCAGCTGGTATGTGGAGACACCTCGCTTAATGAACTGCAGATTATCCTGGCAACAGCCCTCCTCATCCTCTGCCCCTTTGGCCTCATCCTGGGCTCCTACGGGCGTATCCTCGTTACCATCTTCCGGATCCCATCTGTTGCGGGCCGCCGCAAGGCCTTCTCCACCTGCTCCTCCCACCTGATCGTGGTCTCCCTCTTCTATGGCACCGCACTCTTTATCTATATTCGCCCTAAGGCCAGCTACGATCCGGCCACTGACCCTCTGGTGTCCCTCTTCTATGCTGTGGTCACCCCCATCCTCAACCCCATCATCTACAGCCTGCGGAACACAGAGGTCAAAGCTGCCCTAAAGAGAACCATCCAGAAAACGGTGCCTATGGAGATTTGAAAAGGGGGCGATAGTGACTTCTGTGCAGTGCTCTGAGTCAGTCCCAAATACCTAAGGATCAAAGAGTCTCCCTTAAGGTCTTTCTTCACATTAGGGGAGGGCCAGCCTGTCAGAAAGACAAACTTATCTTTGAAAAGCTACCGTAGTCAAATGCGCTCCTCAGACCCTCACAACACATACATATTCTATTCCGCTTTCTGTTGCAAGAAACAAGAAACCCAGGATGGAGGATCAATTTCAGAAGCAGAGCAAGTTGACAACCAGGGATAAAGTTACAAAATATTATCCTTATCAGACTAGCAAGGTAATAAAATTTTCAGCCACAACAATGATCCTTAAAGTCATTTGACATTTGTACGTCCTAGGTAAGGCATTTGTTTCTTGGGTGGTACTACTGGTTAGTACCTTAGCAAACATAATTATACCTAATTAAATCTACTACCAGCTAAAGACAGATTCCTCAAGAAGTAAGGAGTGGCCACAAAAGTTTCAATGAAGGTAAGTTCTTATGGAAATTCATATGCCGCAGAGGTTAAGAGAACAGATTCTGATGTCAGACAGACTTAAAGTCAAGTCTTATTTTTTCCAGCTAGTTAGCTAAGTGATCACAGGTGAATGATATAATCTCTCTGAGCCTTAATTTTTTTAAATTTTATTTTAGATTCAAGGGTACATGTGCAGGTTTGTTATATAGGTAAATTTCACCTCACAGTGATTATTTAGTCACCCAGGTAATAAGCATAGTACCTGATAAGCAGTTTATTGATCCTCACCCTTCTTCTATCCTCCACCCTCAATTATGTCCTGGTATCTGTTGTTCCTTTCTTTGTGTTCATGTGTACTCAGTGTTAGGTCCCACTTTTAAGTGAGAATATATGGTATTTGGTTTTCTGTTCCTGTGTTAGTTTGCTTAGAATAATGACCTCCAGTTCCATCCATGTTGCTGCAAAGGACATAATCTGTTTGTTTTTTGTTTTGTTCTGTTTTGTTTTTATGTGAGCCTTAATTTTCTTATCTATAAAGTTGCGGTAACAACAGAGTCTAATTCATTGGGTTTTTGTGAGGATTTGTAGACTTGCAAACAATCAAGCTTAATATCTGGCACAAAATAGTATCTTGATAGATGTTTTTGTTAGCAAGTCAGACAGGTCAGCGCAAAGGCTAATGTTTGGCTCACATGGGGTGACTTTGCTGGGAAGAGAAGGGTATTCTTGAAATATCAGTGGCATTGGAACCCACAAGAGACCCAGAGGAAGGTGGAAGAAGAGGCTCTATACATCACTGTTAACAGAAACTGCTACCCAGCACAGATATGAGCCAAAAACTACCAAGACACGGAAGAGCAAATATAAGGGCTATGATATGCAGGAGAGTCAGTGAACTGCAGAACAAATAAGTGGAATAAGCTGAGAGGGTGAATCAAAAACAGCCATCTCCAAGAGGCAAGTATTTATTAATAATTAAAAGTGCAATCTACATACTTTATATCATTCCAACACTTTATTCAAATGCAATAGTATTTATTGCAAACTTTCTATGTGCCTATTGCTCTTTGGCACTGTGGAGAATATCAAGTACATACAGGGTGGTGATTCTGTCCAGAGAGCACTTGCTGTCCTGTTAAGAAAGCACTGATTCTCATGAAACTATCAGAGAACAGTTTGCAAAGTAAGAAAACACTCAAAATGTAAAGCGAAAAGACAAAGGTGTTACTCCCTGTCCCCACCCCCCAAAAGGGGTTGTGTGGCCTTCCTCAAACTCATTTTATCAATGTGGAAAACCTCACAACTACTGCTCTTCAATTGAACAAAACTGCAATAGCGAGGAACAGCATTTAAGAAGGGTTGCCTAAAGGATTGTCAAAACAGCTTTTCCTCTGATAATTTAAAATCTAAATCTTATCCCCAAGCTAAAGCAGATGAGCACAGAGCTACACATTTAAAATGCTGAAATATTTCCACTTCCTACATATCTCCATCAACTCATCTTTCCTAGAACTGGTCTTGCTAAAGAGTGTTTTGGCATTAAGCCATTGGTTTACATTGAGAAAGATTACAAGAAG
The DNA here is from genome assembly GCF_000001405.40 of Homo sapiens. Taxonomy (NCBI): domain Eukaryota; kingdom Metazoa; phylum Chordata; class Mammalia; order Primates; family Hominidae; genus Homo; species Homo sapiens. The sequence goes on from NT_167248.2 coordinate 708,486, forward strand.
CAACATTATGAAACTCTCAGAGGGATCATTTTTCTCATATCTCAGTGATAGGAATCACTGTATTTTTCCTGTCATATAAGCAATAACATTTCCTCACAGTTTTATGGAAGTACAATTGGCATATGACAAATTGTACATGTTTAAGTGTGCAATTTGATAAGTTTTGACCCATGTATGCACCATGACATTATAGGCGCAATCACGAAATGAACATATCCAGCCCCCGTGCTCCCTCACACTCCATTGTAATCTCTCTCTTTCACCCCTCCCTGCACTCCTCATTCCCAAGCAACCTCTGATCTGCTTCCCAACACTATATTTTTCTTTTTTCAGAGTTTTATATAAATGAAATTATAAAATATGTACTCTTTTTAGTCTGACTTATATTTGGAGATTTGGCCATGTTGTGGTGTGTACAGCAGCCATTCCTTTTCATTTCTGAGTGATACTCCATTGTATAGATATGACATAATTTGTTCATCCATTCACCTGCTGAAGGAAATTTGGGTTGTTTTCACAATTTTTTATTCATTCACCTGCTAAAGGAAGTTCAGGTTGTTTCCAGTTTTTGGTTCATAGAATGAAGGTTCTATGAACATTTGTGTACAAAGTCTTTGTATGCTTTCATTTCTCTGGGGTAAATACATAGATGTGAAATGGCTGCATCACATGGGAAGTGTATGTTTAATTTTTTAAGAAATTAAGTAATCACTTTTCCTCTTAACATGACAGCTAGCAAGTTTCCACCTGAATTTGTAACTCATCTCCAGGAAATGTGCAATTCCTCACGATATATTTTTGAGATATCTAGTTTCTGGTCTCACTTGCTGTTGTTGTTGTTGTTCTATTCTACCTTTTTCTTTGTCCAGTCTCTCTCATCCTTATTTTCTGTACATTTATGTAACCCAGCACATTAGTCTTTCTGGAGCAAGACTTAGAGCCACCAATCAGTAATTAAAAAAAAAAAAATAGACAGGGGAAAGTATTGAATGGAAAATCCCTGGTTATATGGTTTGGCTCTATGTCCCCACCCAAATCTCATCTTGTAGCTCCCATAATTCCCATGTGTTGTGGGAGGGACCTGGTGAGAGATGATTGAATTATGGGGGTGGATGTTTCCTGTGCTGTTCTTGTGATAGTGAATGGGTCTCACATGATCTGATGGTTTTAGAAATGGGAGCTGCCCTACACAAGCTCTCATTTTTCCTGCTACTATCCATGTAAGATGTGATTTGCTCCTCCTTGCCTTCCACCATGATTGTGAGGCCTCCCCAGTCATGTGGAACTGTAAGTCCAATAAACCTCTTTGTTTTGTAAATTGCCCAGCCTTGGGTAAGTCTTTATCAGCAGTGTGAAAACAGACTAATACACCTTGGTAAAGATTGAAGACATGGGTTGTGATCTCTACTCCGTTACTAAAACTTTACAGGACCTAGAGCAAACTCTTTGCATCATCTTTTTGGTTTTCAATTTCATCATCAATAAACATAAAGGCTAAATCAAATGAGCTCTGGATTGAGTTCCAGATCCACTATTCTGTGCTTATTTGTCCCAAGGACTATATGCTTCTTATAGCTGATACTCTCACAAAGAACCAGAAGGAAGATTGCAGCAAATGCTCTTTCTCCACCATAGATAGCTACCAAGGGACCTTGAACTACATTAATCCTGGGCAATATAAGCACAGTCATTGGTTTTCAAGACAAACACCACTCAAAAGCTAGGGAGAGTCCATCAGTGATCCCCATATTGAGTCTTCCCCCACTGTATTCTACCTTCCTGAACCTCACATCTCCCTTACTCACACCTGCCATTGCCCCTGAGCAAAACTTGACCTGCTTCTTGAAATCCCACTGCTCTGTCCCTAATATTTCCTCCTACCAACCTTTCTCCCTGACACTCCCTTCCTCAACTTCCCTAATCCCATGGGACCCACTCACTATAGTGCACCCCAGCTCCTGATGGTATCTGCTACCAGAAGTATCCTCATTCTTTCTTTCTTTTTTTTTGACAGGATTTTACTCTTGTTGCCCAGGCTAGAGTGCAGTGGCACGATCTTGGCTCACTGCAACCTCTGCCTTCTGGTTTCAAGCGATTCTCCTGCCTCAGCCTCCTGAGTAGCTGGGATTACAGGAGCCTACCACCATGCCCAGCTAATTTATGTATTTTTAGTAGAGACGGGGTTTCACCATGTTGGCCAGGCTGGTCTCGAACTTCTGACCTCATGATCCACCTGCCTTGGCCTCCCAAAGAGCTGGGATTACAGGCGTGAGCCACTGTGCCCAGCCAGTATCCTCATTCTTTAGCTTTGCAGAACTGAAGTAAGAAGTGACTGTGGCATCAGGGAGGGAGGGTAGAAGTCAGATGGAAGGGAAGGGAGAAGGAGAGAAAGAAGAAACAGAGGCAGGCTGAAGAACTGAGCAGAGAAAAGAGAAAGAACAAAAAAGACCTCAGAGGAAGACTCACCGGCTCACAAGGAAAGCCATCTCTGTGCATCCCAGGCCAATCTCTTCACAGGGCTTGGAGAAACCTCCCAACCAGAGCTCACTCCCACAGTCTATGCTCACTGCTTCCCTGCATCAGCTCCTCCTGTGGCAGCATGGTCCCCCTGCGTTTCTGCTCCCCACTGAGCTCTCTGGGATTCACAAATCAGTGCCCTAGGGAGGGCTTGGAGAGCCTAGCACGTGGGGATCTTACACAGGGGCCAGGAAAGGGATGTAGGACTCAGGAAGAGACACTGAACAAAGGCTGTGGCTCAGTCCTGGAAATGGGAGCGTGTGCTTGTCCATTGCCAGCCTCTCTGCCTCTCTAGGTTGTGTGCCCTCACTGGCCTTAACTCTTTCCAGTCAGGGAAGACTAGGAAAGAGTTGGAAGAGGAAATATTGTAGAAGAAAGAAGAGAACTCAGGTACATCAGGGCCACCAAGAAACAGGGGCTCTGGGTCTCCCAGGGACATAAGGAGAAGGATTAGGAGCTGACCAGGCTTGCTACACAAAAGATTCCAGGGTTGATCCTCTGAGAGTTGAGAAAAACAGAAAGTGGGATCTCAGTGCAAACTTCAAGCTTCAAAGATGCCACCCATCATCTATTCAACTTTTTTTTTCTTTTGGCTAACCCTTTACACTTCTTTCAAGTCTGCGAATAATTATCAAGTTCCCACAGTGTGCCTTATTCTACATAGTGCTGGCAATCTGGTCAACTTCCTTTGTATTTCTCCTCTGCTCAGCTTTTCAGTGGATCCTCTTCATTCTCCTTCATTCTCACTGCAGCCCAGACCCACTTCCTCCCTTCCCTGAGCTTCCCTTGCCTATCTCCCTCCTCATCACCCAATCCCATTTCCTGCAAGAAGAGGCAATATTATTAATCTGTCTCATCTACCATAACCACCACCTGGTTTGTGCAATAGCATTTTCTGGATGTTTCCTCTCCTGGCAGCCAGGACTGACAATGTCACCTGCCAGGGGCCTGGAAAGCCAAGCCACAACCTTCTTAACCAATTAGAGGCACTGCAGAGAAGCAGCAGGAGTCAGGGCACTTGCACCCAAGAATGATAGATATATTTATTCACCACATATGTATGGATATAGTTAGAGAAACAAGCCTCAAGGCACAACGATTGACTGAGGTTAGACATTCGGCCACTTGAGAGAATGAGGAGGTGGAAGCACAGAAGTTAAAAGTCATCTCTCTCCCATTTGCTTCAACCTCAGCATGCCTGAAAAAAACATGGTTGATAATATACCAGTCAGTGACCAAGCCCTAATGAAATGACTGACTTACCAATACTGACTTCTCAGGAGGCTGATTTAGAGCCAAAGTAACTGCTGAGTTCTGAATAAGCAGCACACCTGGTCTGCATAATAAGATCCATTTTGCAATCACCCTCTTCAGAAAGCCAAATAATAGGTCAAAAGGTGGTTTAGAACCCAAGCAGCGGAAATAACACAGTTGAGGACTCTGTCGACCATAGGCACCCTGATGGACCTAAATAAATTACTCAACTTTTCACGAGAATATTTTACCTAATAACTGGAACTTATCATCCAGAACAATGTTTTCTGCCTCTTTGTTTTTCAGTTCATGATATTCCTGTGGACTGGCTTTACTCCTAATTTCCGACCCCAATAAGATCCTGGTCTAGTTCTTGGTATCTAGACCTAATTCCCCATTTGCATAAAAGAATACAAATGATAAACATAGAAACCCTGACCATCCTTGACTCCAAGGGTAAAAATACTGCCCTAGGCAATCATGATGCCTCTTATTTACTGCCTTTCAAATAGAAACTTTCTAAAGCAGCCATTGGGAAATAGTTCATTTTTGCAATGGACCACAGATACCTATACACATTGGGCTTATCATTTTGATCTTTATTCAGCTCCTAAAAATAGTCAATTTGAAAAATGGGGTTTGCATTGACAGTTTTATATTATTGATGCCAATTTGGAATTTTATACTTGATAATATTTATTTGTTGAATGAATTTGAACGAGTGGTAGAAGACTCTTCTGGCTGGAGCACTTTTAAGTCTTGCACTAGCATGGGTCTGGAAATGAACTGAAGGAGGACTAGAGATAAGTACAGGGGTGCGTCCCAATTGTGAATGAGAATGCAGGCCATATACTCTTTGGAGAATCACCATTATGGGCCCTCTGGCAGTATAAATGAGGCCATTGTAGAGTTATTCTTCTGTATTATCCAAAGAGAGGACCTAAAACAAATTAGTGAAATAAATACTGTAGGATTTCTGCTAGATGATGAGGCTTTTAATTCTTCCTGTTTCTGGGATGGCCTGGCTGGGCCTCCTTAGGAACTCAGCTCATTCCCCATTCCTCCTTGACACTGGATATGCATTCTTTGCATTCCTTGGCTTTCTCTCTGGTGTTCTATAGAAAGTAAATGAGTCACAGTTCCTTCAGTTCTTTCTTTTAGCCAGTCTATAGCACTCTACTGGTCATCAAAAAAGATCCAAAAGTGATCAACATGACCCTTTCTTTTTTTTTTTTTTTTTTTTTTTTTGAGAAGGAGTCTAGCTCTGTCGCCCAGGCTGGAGTACAGTGGTGTGATCTCGGCTCACTGCAACCTCCGCCTCCTGGGTTCAAGCGATTCTCCTGCCTCAGCCTCCCAAGTAGTTGGAACTACAGGTGTGCGCCACCACACCCAGCTAATTTTTGTATTTTTAGTAAAGATGGGGTTTCACCAAGTTGGCCAGGATGGTCTCGATCTCTTGACCTCATGATCTGCCCACCTCGGCCTCCCAAAGTGCTGGGATTACAGGCGTGAGCCACCACACCCAGCCACACGACCCTTTCTAAGGAAGTGAAGATGGCACATGGAGACCAAGTACAGAAAGGACTACTGGGGGTCTTGGATGGCCCTCCAATGCTGTTGTCTCTCCAGTTCCTCTTGGATAATTCTGGTGTCCATGAATTATTATGTTGCCACATTTGGATGCCCCATAAGGGTCACTTGAGAAAATCATGAAATCTGGGAAAGGAAGGGCAAGTCATAGAATCCTGCCACTATAGAATAATGTCTGACAACCAAGTGATACATTCTGTTTAAGTAGGCACCAAACTGTCGGCAAAAGCCCCATTTTCGAGTTGGCCAGTTCTGGCAATTTTCTGTGTCCATTCTGCATGCCACTCAACTCCTCTAATGAATTCTTATTCCTTTTCAAGCCTTCTGTATTCCTTCTTATCATACTGGACACTTTGACCTCTGGTGTCCTAGAACTCCTGCTTCCCATGACTTCCATCTCCAATTCCAATAAACACCTTCTTTTTAAAAATTTCCTGATATTACCCAGTAGCTCTCATCCCTATTTCCCTTTGAAGTACTCATGTTTTTTATGATCCCTTCTCCCAACACTTTTCTTGCCTTCAATGTATTTTTAATGACTGGTGACCTCTTACCTCTCCTTCTTTTACTTTAACCTCTAACTTCTCCTAATCAATATGCCTTAAAACTCTTTCAGTGAAGGCAAAATGATGAAGAAAGTAGAAATATCAGTGGTTTCCAGAGGTTACAGCAGGAGTATGGGGTCAGAGAAGGAATGATGAATAGAAAGCACAGAGAACCTTGGGGCAGTCACACTATTCTGTATGTACTAGGATTCACTTGTCCAAACACATAGAATATATAGTACCAAGAGTGAGTCCTGAAGTAAACAATGGACGTTGGGTGATAATGATATGTCAGTGTAAGTTTATCAGTTATAACAAATTACCACTCTAATATGGGATGTTGTTAGTAGGAGAGTCCACCTAGGGAGGAAGGGCAGGAGGTATACAGAAAACCTCTCTACTCTCTGTTCAGTTTTACTATTTAAAGAAAAGGAAAGAAGAAGAAAACTTCAAATACCTCCCTATAATCCTATACTAAATGATACTCTAGCTATCTTGCCCCCTCTTAATTACCAGAAGTTTCTAATCTCTACATATGTTAAGTACTCAAAAAATATTTCAAAAAATCAAATATCAAAAATAAATTACTCAAGCTACGTCTCACAAAAAAGTATCTTTCTTTCCCAGTTATGATTTTTCTTCCTTCTTCTGATATCCTCACAACTGAACATTTCCTTCGAATACACCCACCCACCCATAAATGACCAATCTTTCTCTTTTTTTTGTTGTTTTGGAGATGGAGTCTCGCTCTGACTCCCAGGCTGGAGTTCAGTGGCATGATCTCGGCTCAATGCAACCTCCACCTCCCAGGTTTAAGCAATTCTCCTGCCTCAGCCTCCAGAGTAGCTGGGACTACAGGCATGCACCACCACGTCCAGCCAATTTTTGTATCTTTAGTAGAGATGGGGTTTTTCCATGTTGGCCAGGCTGGTCTTGAACTCCTGACCTCAGGTGATCTGCCTGCCTCAGCCTCCCAAAGTGCTAGTATTACAAGCCTGAGTCACCGTGCCCGGCCCAAATGACCATCTTTCTTACCACTCATCCACAAAGCTCACAAAACGAGAAGCTGCTCAAAACACTGAGATGCCCCTCTAGGCTGGTAACAGCGTGACTTAGAACAAGTCCTCCAACTTTTCTAGCTTTCTCACCGAAAAATGGGCCTGTGGCAGCACAGTTTTATGAGTAACTAAGATATGGGATGTAGAAAGACCCTAGAAGAGGAAAAAAAACACAACAATGGTCATTGTTAAAACAGGGGACTACATTTGTCCTTGGTTCCACCACTGTCCCACAGCCCCAGCTGGTAGTTTGGCTTCTCCCATGCAGCCTCCCTCTTAGGCCCAACCATAGTATCAAAACTCTCAACAGCTATCCCAGACCTGCTGGGTCATCCCTCACAACAGAAACTCAGTGTTTGGGTAGAGTGGAGAGGCTTGTAGTGATCTTAACTTTCCTGAGAATGCTCAGCCTAATTATGTCCCGGGTATAGAATCCAACCTCATCCTTGAAAAACTGAAAGCTGTCCACAGCTATAATCCTAAAATATTTTATTGGAATCTTAAAAGCAGACATATGTTCATTACAACATCCACTGCTCTGTTAAGTACTCCATCTGGCATGGCACAGAATATGGCAACAATGTCCAAGCTGAGAGACAAATCAACAGTGCAATTACATTCACAATAGCCACACACACACACACAATACCTAGGAAAGCAGCTAGACAGAGAGATGAAAGACCTCTACAACAAGCAAGCATTACAAAACACTGCTGAAGGAAATCAGAGACAACACACACAAAAAATGGAAAAAACATTCCATGTTCATGAATAGGAAGAATCCGTATTATCCAAATGGTTATATGACCCAAAGTAACTTACAGATTCAATGCTATTCCTATTAAACTACCCATGACATTTTTCACAGAACTAGAAACAACTATTCTAAAATTCATATGTTACCAAAAAAGAGCACAAATAGCCAAAGCAATCCTAAGCAAAAAGAACAAAGCTGAGGACATCACATTATCCAACTTCAAGCTATACTACAAGGTTACAGTAACCAAAATAGCATGGTACTGTTACAAACACAGATACATAGACCAATGGAACAGACCAGAGAACCCAGAAATAATGCCGCACACCTACAACCATCTTATCTTCAACAAAGTCAACAAAAATAAGCACTCACTATTCAATAAATGGTGCTGGGCTAACTGGCTAGCCGTATTAGGAAGATTGAAACTGGACCCTTTCCTTTCACCATATGCAAAAGTCAACTCGAAGTAAATTAAAGATTTAAAAGTAAAACCTAAAACTATAAAAACCTTGGGAGAAAATCCAGCAAATACCATTCTGTACATACAAATGGGTGAAGATTTCATGATAAAGTTGTCAAAAGTAATGGAAACAAAAACAGAAATAGACAAGTGGAACTTAATTAAACTAAAGAGCTTCTGCACAGCCAAAGAAACCATCAAGACAGTAAATAAACAGCCTACAGTATGGGAGAAAATGTTTGCAAACTATGCATCTGACAAAAGTCTAATATCCAGAGCTTATAAGGAACTTAAAGAGAAAAAAAATTTTTTTTAAATGGGCAAAGGACATGAACAGACACGTCTCAAAAGAAGACATACATGTAGCCAAGAAGCACATGAAAAAAATGCCCAATATCACTATTCATTAGAGAAATGCAAGTGAAAACCACAGTGAGATACCATCTCATATCAGTCAGAATGACTCAAAAAATAACAGATGCTGGAAGCATCGTGGAGAAAAAAGGAATGCTTACACACTGCTGCTGAGAATGTATGTTAGCTCATACATGCTGCTGAGAATGTATGTTGAAAGTGGTTTGGAGATTTCTCAAAGAACTTAAAACTGAACTGCCATTTGACCCAGCAATCTCATTACTGGAAATATACACGAAGGAATATAAATTATTCTACCATAAAGAGTCATGTATGTGTATGTGTTCACAATAGCAAAGACATGGAATCAACCTAAATACCTATCAACAGTGGACTGGAGAAGAAAAATGCATGGTACTTATATACCATGGAATACTATACACCCATGAAAAATGAAATCATGGCCTTTGCAGCAACATGGATCCTGATGGAGACCATTATCCTAAACAAATTAAAGCAGGATTGGAAAACCAAATGCTGCATGTTCTCACTTGTAAGTGGGAGCAAAACATTGAATACACATGACCACAAAGAAAGTAACAATAGACACCAGGGCCTACTTGAGTTGGAAGAATGGCAGGATGGTGAGGGTCAAAAAACTACCTATTGTTTACTGTGCTCACTACCTAGGTGACAAAATCATTTGTACACCAAACCCCAATGACACGCAATTTACCCGTGTAACAAACCTGCACCTGTGCCCCTTGAAACTAAAATAAAAATTAGGGGAAAAAAAGGAGAAGAGAGATAAAAGGGCAAACAAAAAAATTGTTCAAAAAATGTTGGCAAAATTTTTTCAAATTCGATAAAAATAGCAATCCACATTATCAATACCACATCTACATACATCATAAACTGAGAAAAACAAAGATTTAAAAAGAAAAATCTGAAAACCCGCTGAAGTGGTAGAGACATATTGCATAATAAGGAATAACAATAAAAATGACTGCCAACATCTCAACAGAAACAAAGGGAGTCAGAAGGCTATGAATTATCTTTCAAATGTGAAGAGAAAAAAAATCTGCCAACTTAGAATTACCCAGTGGGGGAAAATAATCTTTCTTAAATGAAGGCAAAATAAAGCCATCTGAAATTAAAAAGAAGCTGAGAAAATTTGTTGCCAGAAGATACTCACTAAAAGAATAAAAAAGGATAAAGGAAGTTTTTCAGGCTATAGAGAAATTATAATATTTGGAGTTTCAAATCTATGAGAAGGAACGAAAAACTTTCAAGATTGGAAACATAAAAGTGTATATAAAAGTTATCTTCTTCCTTTTCTTAAATTCATTAAAAGTCTAAAAATAATGATAATATATTACAAGGGTTGTAACATATGTAAAGTAAAACACGGCAATAGCTGCACAAAGAATGGGAGGAATTATAACTAATTTTATTATTATCAGATTTTTATATTCTATGTTAAAGGTATTGTATTAAGTCAGAGTAGACTCTTATAAGTTCAGGATCCATATGGTATCCCCAAGAAAAAAACTTGCACTTTAAATATAAAGACAGCTTAATCATAAATACACTTATAGATTAAAAATAAAATTATAATATAAATTATGAAATAAATAATAAATATAAATTAATATATATACATTAAAAATAAAATTCACCAGATATGGTGAATTAAAGAGGACAGCAAATCCTTCCTTCCTCCACCTCACAAATAAATTATAAAACCAGAAAAATTGTCAAAAACAATCATTTCAGGTGTCTGGAAATAAACCAAGGCAAATAATAAATTGAGAACCACTTTTTCATAAAGCAGTGCTAGAAGCTTAGGTAAGAATCATAGGTAACTGTGCCTGTCCTGTGAAAAGTGCTCCAGTACTACTCCAACTTAGTTGATGGTAGTTTTGCCAGTCAGGAATGGCCATGAAAATCAACAATTACACTATTAAAGAGGGTTGAGATGATTTGGAACAAAGATAAAAACTCATGCCTAGGGTTTATGTCAGTAAAAGTAACAAACTCAATCGTGTTTAAGGCTCAGGTATCCAGAGGTTACAGTTTTAATGAGGCGAACAGTGAACCTATCAGAAATGTAATGGGAAGATGCTGGGAATTAGATAGCTATAGAAGAATTAGATAAGATCTCTACACATTCCTGGCTGACTGGGAAACTACAGGTATGTACAGAAGAAACATGAGAGAAACCAGCATGAAGTAAAATCCAAGACAAACTTAAAAGCTCTCTGAATTTGAATATGGTCCCAGCACAAAGGCAGATGCATTAGCAGAGAATGGAAGCCTTTTGAAATCAAAAGTATTTGACCAAAACCTTCACCCAATCATTGACTGAACACTAAGCTGTGCAAGAACAAGGGAAACTTCTGGGATCCAAGATTTTAAAATATGAATTTTTAAGAGCTAGGTTGAGACCATGGAAGCCATAAATGGTGGAAGATACACAGTCCACAGATTATGTCCAATAATGTTAACAAAATAATTCTTAGAAAAAAATAAGAATATAAACTTGTCAATATAGTATCTAAAATGAGACATGCAAAGAAACAGGAAAGTATAATCAAGTCTTAGAGAAAAGACTGCAGTTAATGGAAACTGACTGTAAGTGGGACTGCTGTTGAATTTAGCAAACAGAGATTCAAAACATCTAATATAAATAGTTAAATTAAAACCATTTTTAAAGAATTCATGGACAATATAGTCTTTCATTGGGTAGGGAAGATCCACTGTCAATATAGATGGGTATCATCCAATCAGCTGGGGCCCAGATGGAAAAAAAAGGCATGAAAGGATGCTCTTTATCATTGGTTATTAAGAACATGAAATTAAACACAATACTTACAAGTCTACTAGAATGACTATAATAAGAAACTGATGGTATAAGATGTTGACAAAGATGTGAAATACTGATTAAGTGTTGGCAAGAATATGTCAAAATTGACAGAGCCACTTTGGAAAACAATTTGGCAGGTTTTTTATAAAAAAAATTTACTATACAACCCAATAATTCCACTGTCAGGTAATATCCAAGACAATTTAAATCATATGCCTTCAATGACTCTTCATAAGAACATTATTAGTAACACCCAAAAAGTAGAAACAATCCAAATGTCATCAACTGGTGAGATCAGTGGAACTGAATAGAAAGTGCAGAAATAGAGCCAAACACATAAGATCTATTGATTTTACACAAAGACACCAAGATAATTCAATACAGGAAACGATATTCTTTGCAACAAATGGTACTGGAGGAACCAGATATAGGTATAAAAACTGTACCATTATGATTTGTTTAAAAAAGCAGCCATTTTTTTTATCGCTTCTCGGCCTTTTGGCTAAGATCAAGTGTAAAAAAGCAGCCATTTTCATAATATTTTATTATATGTATGAAAATGAATTATGACTCCTATATCACAACATACAAAAAAATTAACATGGGTCATATAAATAAACATATAAGCTAGAAATTAAAAGCTTCTAAAGAAGAACATAAAAGAAAATATTTATGACCTTAGAATAGGTAAAGATTTCTTAGGATTCAAAAAGCACTTAACTGCAAAAAGATAATTGATGAATTTTGAGTTAATCAAACTTAAAAGCTTCTTCTCCTTTGAAGACGCCATTCAAATTGAAACATCAAACCACAGACTGAAAAAATAGCACAGTGCATTTATTTGACAAAGGACTTTTATGCAGAATATATGAAGAACTCATATACTTTTATCATAAAAGGAAACACTATAAAATATGGACAAATGACTTGAACAGACACCTCACAAAAGAATATATAAATGACCAATGAAAAGATGCTCAATGACTTAGTTGTTGGATAATTGTAAATTTAGAAACTACTGTGAGATTAATAAGTCTAGAGATCTAATGTATAGCCTGAGGACTACAGTTGACAACATTGTATTATATACTGGAAATTTCTAAGAGAATAGATTTTAAGTACTCTTACCACAAGAAAAGTAACTGTGAGTTGATAGATATGTTAATTGGCTTGACCATAGTAATCATTTAACTATGTATATCAAAACATCATTTGGGAGGCCGAGGCGGGTGGATTGCCTGAGCTCAGGAGTTCGAGACCAGCCTGGGCAACATGGTGAAACCCCCTCTCTACTAAAACACAAAAAAGTGGCCGGGTGTGGCAGCATGCGCCTGTAATCCCAGCTACTTGGGAGGCTGGGGCAGGAGTATCGCTTGAACCCAGGAGGCGGAGGTTTTAGTGAGCCGAGATCGTGCCATTGCACTCCAGCCTAGGAGACAGAATGAGACTTGTCTCAAAAAAAAAAAAAAAAAAAAAGGAAATCCTGTATATCCTAAGCATATACAACAAAAAATTTTCAAAATTAGCCTGGCTTGGTGGCTTACACATGTAACTCAGCACTTTGGGAGGCCTAAGCAGGTGGATCACCTGAAATCAGGAGTTCGAGATCAGCCTGGTCAATGTGGTGAAACACCGTCTCTACTAAATATACAATAATTAGCTGGGCATGGTGGTACATGTCTATAATCCCAGCTACTCAGGAGGCTGAGGCAGGAGAATCACTTGAACCTGGGAGGCGGAGGTTCCAGTGAGCCGAGATCACACCACTGTACTCCAGCCTGGGCGACAGAGTGAAACTCAGTCTAAAAAAAAAAAAAGCCGGGCACGGTGGCTCACGCCTGTAATCCCAGCACTTTGGGAGGCCGAGGTGGGCGGATCACGAGGTCAGGAGATCGAGACCATGGTGAAACCCCGTCTCTACTAAAAATACAAAAAATTAGCTGGGCGTGGTGGCGGGCGCCTGTAGTCCCAGCTATTCGGGAGGTTGAGGCAGGAGAATGGCGTGAACCCGGAAGGCAGAGTTTTCAGTGAGCCGAGATCGCGCCACTGCACTCCAGCCTGGGCAACAGAGCAAGACTCCGTCTCAAAAAAAAAAAAATTAAATTAAAAAGCTATAAAAGCTATAATGAGATATCACCTGATATCCACTAGAATGTCTATCACATGACCCTGAAATTCCACAAATAGGTTTTGACCAAAGAGAAATGAAAATACACATACACAAAAGACTTGTACATGAAAGTTTATAGCAGATTGATTCACAACAGCAAAAACTGGAAACCACCCCACACTGTTTCTCTATTACAGCATAAAAAGTTATCCCAAAACTTAATGGCTTCAAACAACAAATATTTATTATCTCACAGTTTCTATGGGCCAGCAATTCAGAAGCAGCTAAATAGTAGCTGGTGATTCTAGCTTAGGATCTTTCTTTTAACTTTTTAAAAACTTTTTGTGAATACATAGTAGATGTATCTATTTTAGGATCTTTCTTGACATTGTAGTCAAGAAGTCAGCTGATTGTATTTCTAAGATTTGGATGAAGCTGAAGGATTCACTTACAAGATGTCCCAGTCACATGTTGCACGTTTTTAGTAGGGAGCCTTAGTTTCTCCCCATATGTGTGTTTCCATTCACTGCTAGGATGGCTTCCTCCAAAGTAAACAATCCACAAAGAAGAAGTCACAATGTTACTGTGACATAGTCTTTGATGTCACATCCCATCGTTTCTACCAGATTCTATTTGTTAAAACTGAGTCACTCAGTACAGCTCCCATGCAAAGGTAAGGGAAGTAGGCTCTACTTTGTGAAGGGGATATAAGAAAATTGGGGGCCATATTTTAAAACAACCACAAACCTGAATGTTCATCAACAAGTGAATGGATGAAAAAATTGTGATATATTTAGGCAAGAGAATACTACTCACTGATATTTTTAAAAAAGAATTGGACTATTGATACACAAAACAACAGGGATGATTCTCCAAACTGTGGTACAGAGCATAACACACCAAACACAAAGAGTATGTGCTGAATGAATCTTTTATGTGAAGTTCTGGAAAAAGCAAAACAAAATGATAGAAATCAGAGCAGTGGTTGCCTAGAGCATGGGGAGAATTATTGTAAATGGGCATGATGAAATTTCTGGAGTGATGGAAATGTTCTATATCTTCAGTAGGGTAATGGTTGTCTGGATGTATACATTTGTTCACATTCAGTGAATTGTCCATTAAAATATGTGCACTTCATTATGTAAATTATACCTTAATTTTAAAAAGAGAAAGGAAATAAACCAAAGTCAGGGGGGATTGAATGAGCACATTCGAGGCTTGAGAGGAAGGCTGGAAATATGGGACACTCAGAAGGTGTGGATCAGGAGAGAATAGTGCCCTTTTACTCCCCAGTGACACGGAGAAGCAGTGGTGACCTTTTTATATGCCAAAGGGAACTCAGTTGCTGGCACACTTCCTTTGAATCTTCACATTCCTTCTTAACCATTAGTAGCTGTGGCCAATTAGCTGTCTATAGGTTATGGGGCACCTAGTCTTGGCAGAATTAATGAGCTACTTCTCTCTATGGGATGGGAGTCTTGGGATTCCTCCCCCCATCATCTCACTATGCCTTTTTTTCTGCCTTTAATGTCACTAAAAGAGAGGTTAACTTACTGGATTGAGGAAAAGAAGTCGTTAGCAAGAGTTCCATAGTAAAGCGCTAACTCTAGCTCATGTGTCTGGCAGAGCAATGGTGGAATGTGGTTAGCGCATAGCTTCTTCAGCCAGCCCACCTGGGTTAAAATTTGGTCTTTGGCGCTTACTAGCTATACTTTCCAGAACAAGATATTCAACCTCTACATGTCTTCAATTATTGATCTGTAAGGGAAGGTAATAATAGTACCCACCTTTTGAA
Organism: Homo sapiens; assembly: GCF_000001405.40. Classification (NCBI taxonomy): domain Eukaryota; kingdom Metazoa; phylum Chordata; class Mammalia; order Primates; family Hominidae; genus Homo; species Homo sapiens. Next base: position 723,795 of record NT_167248.2, read on the forward strand.
GTTATAAGGAGCCGTAAATATGAAGCGCTTTTTTGAGTGCCCATGGAAGTAAGCACTAGCAATCAATACTCTTAACTGAAATCCAAGTTCCAATAATCATCAAGAGTATAACATTCCTCTTTAGTTTGCTTTTAGTTCTCATTGTGAGATCACAAGTGGAGGCTCCAACCAGTCCAGAAGTTCCTTTCTATGGGGAAGCTGTGGCAGCAAGGCCGTGAAGAGAGTCTGACTTAATTGCAAGTAAGTCACAAGTTTATTCCCCTACAGCCCATCAATTTCCACATGTTCTTAAGACAGTTCTGAATCAAACAGGGTCTACAATCCTGGCACTGACACTCATTGGCAGGGTAACCCTGGGCAAGTTACTTAACCTCTTTGAGACTGTTTGTTCTTCTGCAGAGATATTAACTGTCTAGCAGGGTTCTTTTAAGAAGCAGATATTCCAGGAAATTATTTAGCACAGTGTTAGTATATAGGACATCAACAGATAGTAACTGTCAAAACTATAAGTGGTTATTATTATTGAACTGTAGGGCAGAATTTGTCTCATAACTTTGTAGCAGTTAGTACATGACTGGCTCTTTGAGGACCAAAAAAGAATAAATTAATGTGCTTCTGTGTGGAGTTAATGGGATGTAGGGAAAGTAGTGCTTGCCTATTATTGGTGTCAGAGAAAAGGACCAGAAGAAACAGGGTAAGGAAAAGGCATGTTATTAAAGATAGAAAATAGGAGAGTGCAGAGGGTCAAAGGAAGATATAAACTGAAGAGATTAAGAAAAAACATACAGTGAGACAAGTTGCCAAGAGAGTAAGAATGTAAGAAATGCTGCAGTTTATGGATGAATAAAACTCTGGACAATTGCTGAGACACAAAAGATATGAGGCTGCAAAGTTTAAAAAGGAACGATACATTTAAAATAATCAGAATAGTGTTTACTTCTTCAGTGGGAGAGAAGGAGATGTGATCAGGGAGGAGAACACAGAAGACTTCTAAGATACCAGTAATATTTGATCTGTTCTTAAATCAGGAGGAGATTCAGGTACACCATGTGTTTATTATTCCATAAAATCCATAGATGTGTTTTATATACTTTTTGTTTATATGATTTTTAAAAAATTAAGGGAACAAATCTTATCCTCAAGGAGAGACGTAATGATGGAGGAAGGAATATAGAAGGAGACAAAAAGGAGGGAGTCTTGATGAAAAGGGAGATGGGAGGCAGCTTTTAACACCAGACAGGGTCCTGTGATGCAGAGGTGATTGTGCCATCCCATAAAGTCCCAGGGCACTGTCTGCCAATGAGACCACCAACTTGCTTGCCCTAAATGGCCACATCCCCTAAACGGCCCTCCTGCCATTGTCTGTGCTCAGAAAACCCTCAGTTTCTGCCTCTTACCTGCCAGGGTGGTGCCACATCCCACCCCCATCATTGAGCTTGCCTCATGTGTCTCAGCACAGTCTTTTACAGCAAAAATGCATGTCACCTCCTCCTAAAGGCTTTCCGTGGCCCACCCACCCAGATTCCTCCTTTATTGTGCAGACTCTTTCCTAACCCACACCTCATCTTAATTTATTTGCCTTCAATTCTGGGCGGCGGTGTTGGGGAGGGTCTCAATTTTCCCATGTATTTCCCAGTGTTTATTGAATACATGAGGCCATACTCTTCTAGTCTCTCTGCTTCTCATGCTAGGAACTGAACCGACCAGCCTATACTTTAAGGCTTGTTATTTCACTGACTAAGGAAAGGCTACTTAAGAGGGCAAGCTCAGACATACATAATCTGGAGTGGATCTTCCATGGGAAAACACGTATATAACAGAAATTATTGGCAAAACTATAAGTATGGTCTACAGAGTAAGTAATAATATTTTATTATTTATTTAGTTAGTTTTGAGACAGAGTTTCTCTCTCGTTGCCCAGGCTGGAGTGTAATGGCACGATCTCAGCTCACTGCAACTTCCACCTCCCAGGTTGAAACGATTCTCCTGCTTCAGCCTCCTGAGTAGCTGGGATTACAGACACCCACCACCACACCCCGCTAATTTTTTTTTTTTTTTTTTTTTTTTTTTTGTAGAGACGAGGTTTCACCATGTTGACCAGGCTGATCTCAAACATCTGACCTCAGGTGATCCGCCCGCCTCAGCCTCCCAAAGTGCTGGGATTATAGGCGTGAGCCACCACACCCGGCCAATAATACTTTATCAATGTTGGCTTTCCTGTATTTAGTAACTGAGCTGTTTTTACACTAAAAAAAAATTCTATCTTAGAAACATGAAGAAGTGAAGAGGCATTATATATACAACTCACTGTTCAGTAGCTCAGGGTAAATATAATTGCATATGCAAAGATAAAGATGTAATGATAAAAATGTCAAGTGTTAGCACTTTACTAATATAGATAAAGAACATTCAGAAATTCTTTAAATTACTCTTAAAATTTGGGGGTATGAATTTTTATAAAAATAATGTTTTAAATCTTAAATAGTGAATAGAATTAAGAAAGTAACAAATTCTAATTCCTTCCTTTTTTTCTTTAAATTCTTCTAGATCCTGAATAATTTCTACTTAAACGTCCCAATATCAACTCTCTATTTTGCTATTGACATAATCTTATTTGAGAGGCAAAAAATTTTAAAAATTATATCATCTTTTTAATTTCTAAGCCCCAGAACAAGACAATTGGCAGCATTTTTTTCATGTCATTTTGCTACATTCTACATAATGTTAAGTTGAGGTTAGGGATTTTCATTTGTGGAGGAAGCTCTTACATTTAGTTTAATGAATCATAATTTTTTTAATGGAGAAGGAACAAAATACCTCATTGATTTTTCTATGAGTGGAGTTAATACACACAGCGGAGAAATCTCTTTGTTAATTCTACACTCTGCCTCTGATTGACACCTCTGCAAACAAAGATAAAGTAGATAAAACATGAATAATTCCAGGAAACTTATGCCCCAGAATACAGAATAATTTTGCATACATATGAATAGTAGGGCAATTCTATCAAATGATTCTTTTCTAATTCTTTATGGATGTACATAATGAAATATTCAGAACTACCACAACATTTAGAATAAGATAGAGCCTAACAATTTATTGTTGAATTAATGAAGATCGGTTAATTAATCCATGTTTTACATCAGCTTTCTTTGCCCTCAACCAGGAAGTCAGAGGCACCAATGTGAGGTTCCACCTGCTTTCCAGCACATTCTTGGTTTCCTCACTTCTGCTAGACAACGTTTGATCAGAAGGAACAGGGAACGAGAAGGAGCTGCTGGATGACAATAAGCCTGGGAAAGGGAGGCTGGGTGAGCAGAGACAGAAAAGAAACACCTACCTGCTGTGACCTCACAAACACCCAGGCTGAGTTTTGATAAGACAGGTTGAATCACACTGGGGTGACAGCCTCATCCCTCCAGGTACAAACAAGAACAGGCCATGGTTAACCAAAGCTCCCCCATGGGCTTCCTCCTTCTGGGCTTCTCTGAACACCCAGCACTGGAAAGGACTCTCTTTGTGGTTGTCTTCACTTCCTACCTCTTGACCCTGGTGGGCAACACACTCATCATCCTGCTGTCTGTACTGTACCCCAGGCTCCACTCTCCAATGTACTTTTTCCTCTCTGACCTCTCCTTCTTGGACCTCTGCTTTACCACAAGTTGTGTCCCCCAGATGCTGGTCAACCTCTGGGGCCCAAAGAAGACCATCAGCTTCCTGGGATGCTCTGTCCAGCTCTTCATCTTCCTGTCCCTGGGGACCACTGAGTGCATCCTCCTGACAGTGATGGCCTTTGACCGATACGTGGCTGTCTGCCAGCCCCTCCACTATGCCACCATCATCCACCCCCGCCTGTGCTGGCAGCTGGCATCTGTGGCCTGGGTTATGAGTCTGGTTCAATCGATAGTCCAGACACCATCCACCCTCCACTTGCCCTTCTGTCCCCACCAGCAGATAGATGACTTTTTATGTGAGGTCCCATCTCTGATTCGACTCTCCTGTGGAGATACCTCCTACAATGAAATCCAGTTGGCTGTGTCCAGTGTCATCTTCGTGGTTGTGCCTCTCAGCCTCATCCTTGCCTCTTATGGAGCCACTGCCCAGGCAGTGCTGAGGATTAACTCTGCCACAGCATGGAGAAAGGCCTTTGGGACCTGCTCCTCCCATCTCACTGTGGTCACCCTCTTCTACAGCTCAGTCATTGCTGTCTACCTCCAGCCCAAAAATCCGTATGCCCAAGGGAGGGGCAAGTTCTTTGGTCTCTTCTATGCAGTGGGCACTCCTTCACTTAACCCTCTCGTATACACCCTGAGGAACAAGGAGATAAAGCGAGCACTCAGGAGGTTACTAGGGAAGGAAAGAGACTCCAGGGAAAGCTGGAGAGCTGCTTAATATACTTTCGAAAGTAAGAAGAGTTTCTTCAAGATTTATGAACATGTTAAGTTTTCCAGACTACTACCCTTCCCACATACACCTGAGCCACTGTGGTGGGTCACAGTGTGGCTATGTTATCTATGAGAGGGAGAATGAGAAAGAGAGGGACAGAGAGATAAAAGAAATTGGGTGAGAGGAGATAGGTAGCTCCATAAGGCACACAAATTCAAATATTATCATTCCTATCACTGTCCATTCTTAATATTTCTATCCTCCATTCTGTTCTTTTTACTGTCATCACTTCTATAGATTTCCTAACTCCACCATGCCTATTTCTGGTTATATAATTGCTCTCCAATTGTCATGTCAGTGTAGGGGAACTACTCCATCATAGCATTCTGGACACCTTGCATGTATCTACGTAGGTCATGTAAGCAAAGGCTTGAAGAACAGCTAATCTGAGATTTAGAAGAATGCTTTTTGATCCTCCTGGAATATGAGAGGATGGGAGGCCCTTTAGAACCTGCCTCAATGCCATCTCTCACTCTCCTTCTTATATCCCTGGGAGTATGTCATGTGACAAGTCTTTACTGTCTCCCAGGTTTTGGATGGAGCATGGGGTTTTCTGCCCCACACCCTTTAGGATATAGCTGAAGAATATAATGAGGAATAGCTGGATTCTAGAACTGACTCCTCACCAGTGGTATATTCCACAACAGTGTCACAGTCGTCTGGCCCCTTTGGTTTCCGTGTCATCCTTTTTGGTGTGTAGGACAAGGAACCAGGGAATTGGCACGTTTGGCTTTTACTTCTTTTTTATATGTAAATAATAAGCCATCTAAGTGTAAAAGTGGCTCATATCTTCTCCAGCCAAATCAGCTAGGCCATGGCCTTGCCTTGCTTCTCATGAGTGTGCTTGACAGTCATCACCGTCACTCTATCTTCATTTCTGGTTCTTACCGTGTTAGCTTAGTTCATTCAAGCTACTATCACAAGCTACACATAAATTGGGTGGTTTATAAATAACAAACATTTCTTTCTTACAGTTCTGGAGGCTGGAAACTCCAAGATTAAGGCAGATTTCATGCCTATTGAGGGCCTGCTTTCTGATTATAGAAGGTGACTTCTTGCTGTGCCCACACATGGTGAAAGGGACTACCAACTCTCTGGAGTCTCTTTTATGAGGGCACTAATTCCAATTATGAAGCCTCTTCCCTCGTGACCTAATCACTGCCCAAAGGCCCCATGTTCTAATGCCATCATCTTGGTGGTTTAGGATTTCAACATATGAATTTTGGAAGGACATAAGCATTCAACCCCCTGCACATGTCTTCTTTCCTACTTCCTCAAGGTTCTTTCTGTCCAGTTGCTCCTTCTTCTATTGACCCTTTTTTGCCTTCTCTTTCTCCTTCACTGCCTCAAGTTACAGCCAGAGGAAAGGAGGAACTAAAACTTAGCAAATCTATAATCACATGCAAATACACAGAATGGATTGTTACAACCAAAATGCAGGCTCTATTGTTTTCAATTTAGCAGCCTTTCAAATGTATATGGTTCTGGCCACATTAAAGTTGCAAATAACACTTTTTTTGAGACTGAAATAAAGGTGAAATATTGGAAGGAAAAGTTTAATGTTTTATTTGTAGTATTTTTTTCCATTTTCCACTAAAGAGTCCAGAAAAAAAAAGCAAACATAATATAACCTTTGAGTTATAACAGAATATTTCAACAAGAACTTTGTTGCTATCAAGTAACCATATAGTATAGGTTACACAGAACTCCTATCTTCTGGATTAAGACTCCGTCTTCAAAGTATTTGGGCACCCTGGTTACTGAACATGAGCCAGAAGAAAATGAACTGCTTTTCCTTAAGCATCTCTCTACCCCTGGGTCACCTCCAGTGGAGTGGTATGTCAAGAAATGTAATTTGTCCTTTCTGATGCCATAATCTACCATATTTTTTTAAATTAAGTCATGCCAGGAGGAGATTTCTCTGCTCCTCATCACATGTTTCCACCAGAAACATGGGCAGCTCCGCATCTTGGGCTTCACCACCTTTAAGGTGAGGTGGATGGTCTTCTTCTTGGAAATTTCATAAGACGATAGCATTTTCTTGGGCTTTGGGGTCTTAAAGCCCAGCAGAAAAACCAAGTCCTGCATGGGAACCTTGGTCTTAGACCAGAGCTGTTCACCTACCTTCTTCACTCCATTTTAGCAGCCAATGTCATTAATTCCCATTCCTCACAATTGACACTCATTTAGGCAATTCTATATAAAGTTAAAATATTCTTCAGAAACGAAGATGAAGTAAAGATATTCTCAGTGAAAGTAGGTATCACCAACTCATCTGATTTAAAAGAAATGCTTTTAAGCATGGATTGCACTGCTTCAGGCAGAGAGGAAATAAAACCAGAGGGAAAATCAGAATATCATGAATGAAAAAGGAACAACAGAAAGAGTAATTATCTGGGTAAATGCAATCGTATATTATTCTCTTTTTGAATTATTTAAAATATGTATCTCTGTTGGAACTAAAAAGTACAACACTGATGGGGATTCATACAAATGTAATACATATGACAATTACTGAATAAACTAATAATAATAAATGGATCTATTCATTCTAAGTAGACCATGAAAGGGTAAATATTTATATCATAATCCCTAAAGCAACAATTCCAATAAAACAAAAAACCATACTGTTGTTATAGGCGTTTGAACCAGAGTGACTCCATCTTGAGTAGTGGCTGGGTAAAGTAAGGCTGAAACCTGCTGGGCTGCATTCCCAAAAGGTTAGGCATTCTCAGTCAGAGGATGAGATAGGAGGTTGGCATAAGATATAGGTCACAAAGATCCTGCTGATAAAACAGGATGCTGTAAGGAAGCCGGCCAAAACCAAGATGGCAATGAAAGTGACCTCTGGTCCTCCTCACTGTTCATTATACTCTAATTATAATGCATTAGCATGCTGAATGACACTCCCATCAATGCCGTGACAGTTTACAAATGCCATGGTAATGTCCAGAAGTAACCCTATGTAATCTAAAGAGGGGACGAACTTTCAGTTCTGAGAATTGCCCACCGTCTTCCCAGAAAACTTATGAATAATCCACTCCGTGTTTAGTATATAATCAAGAAATAACTGTAAGTATACTCAGTTGAGCAGCCCATGCCACTGCTCTGTCTATGGAGTAGTCATACTTTATTCCTTTACTTTCCTAATAAACTTGCTTTCATTTTATGGACTCGCCCCAAATTCTTTCTTACATGAGATCCAAGAATCCTCTCTTGGGGTCTGGATTGGGGCCCCTTTCCAGTAACACAGTGACATCAACAAAAATAACAGAGTAATGACTTCCAAAAATGACCTACTTCCTAAGAGTAAAATGAACTATGGAAGAATTGTCAGAATTAATATTGTTTAGAACTCTAGAAATTAACCAAAGGCTTGCTGCAATCTGGAGAGTGTTTGTTCAAGAATAATAGCTGAATCTTGATAAGAACAGTGAGCTCTGTGATGTTTTAACTGGTTCCACTCCTGTTCCTTCCTCCTCAGCTCTTAAAAACCAACGGTCCACAATCATGGTGAAAACCAGCAGACATGAAATCACTGGAGGGGACACAATAGGGTTACAGATCCTTTAATCCCTTATTTCCAGAGGACTGTTATTATTTTACCTGTCTGGTTGTTCCCTAGAACTCACAATGCTATCCTTATTTGACTTGACTCAGAGCTATCCCAGAGAGAACAATGTATTTCCTGGGGAAATGAGTAAAAAGAATCATAGGCAGTTGTTGAACATCATGGTTGCCGATGGTCATAAATAACAGTTGGAACAAACAATAGCCTAACCAAGAACTTAAAAACGAAATGTCAGGGAATGAGATGCCCATAAAGGGGATTGAAAAGCCTTAATATACTCCAGAAAGTTCCGACGGCCACATGCATGCATAGATGTGGGCATGACAAGTGCTGCATATATGCTTTGAACAGACCTGAGCAGGCTCTAAGCTCTAACCCTGAATAAGTTTGAGGCACTGCACAGACAGGAAATGAAGGCTAGGACACAGTGTAAACTGCTTGGTTGGGCTTTGAAGACCTGTATCTACCTGCACACAGAGCCTCTCTACATACACTGGGAGACATTACTTCCAGGAACCTAAGGAAATCTTTGTCCAGTCTTTACCTGGCCACTAAGCTAACCAAGCAGAGACTTCAGTGGCCACGTTGAACAACAACAACAACAAAAACAAAACAAAACAAAAAAACAAAAAAGAACAGACTTGACAGATAGTTTTTAAAAACCTGATCAAAAAACATCCACTAGCAATAGTAAAATCTGGGAACAGAAAAAATATGACTTCCAGAGTTGCCACATTATACTGTTTAAAATGCTAAGTTAAAAAAGAAAGAACGAAATAATACAACATGCAAAGAAACAATAAAGTAAGGCCCATACACAGAAAAACAAGCAGTTAGTAGAAACTGTCTCTGGGACCAGGCTCTGAAGGAGGTGTCTGCCTCAGTGCATCCAAAACAGCCAGGTAACCTTTGCTTTGGGACTGAAGTAATGGCTCTGATTCTGAGATGAGAGCTCACACTAGCCCTTAATTTAATCTTTACTTGAGGTGAAATTCAATGGATTATTAGAATGGGCCCTAATCCAGTAGGACTAGTGTCCTTATAAGAAGACGAGATTAGGATACAAACACCACAAGGGACAACGATGTGAGGACACAGGGAGAAGATATCCATCTAGGAGCCAGGGAAAGAGTCCTCAGAAGAAACCTATCCTGCCCACTCCTTGATCTCAGACTTCCTGCCTCCTAGAACCGAGAGAGAATAAACTTCTGTAGTTTAAGCTACTCGGTTTGTGGTCTCAGTCACGGGAGTCCAAGCTGATGATCACAGTTGTGATGAGAACTTTACAAATTGAATCATGGGAAGTCTTGCAATAGTGAGATCTACGACCTGGTAGATCCTATAATCCTATAATCTGAGATGCTGATTCTACAACTCTGAGCTGCTAACGCTTTGCTTCTGGGTCACAGAAGCTTCTGGAAATAAACTTGTCCCACAAACTGATAAATGCCTGTGATTTTTCTAGAAATATGCCACAGGCAACCCTGGCATCTGCAGTCACATGTCAGTATATCAGTGGGGTTTCAGGAGAAGTTTAGGGATCAGCTCCAAGTGAACCTAGTGTTTCAATCTTCCCTCCTTGCTGGGATGATGGAGTCCCCTTCAGTCAAGGCTCTGTTGAAATGAAAGGGTCTGTTCCCAGTTCCACTCTTCCCACCCAGGGTTCTGGACTGTTAATGGTTGTCCTTTTTTTGTTTTCTTCCCGTTGATTCTTTTACCATCTTCCTCCTCTTACTGATTTTGCGTGAAGGGGGGTTTTGATGGAGGTAAGGTAGCTGATAAGAAATGAGGTAGTGAGAAAACTAGTGAGGGGTCTTCTGGCTGTCCCCAGACAGTCCTCGTGTGGTCCCCAGCCCAGCCTGCAGGTTCTGGGCTGGCTACCTCTTGGCCTCTGTGCTGTGTGTCTAGAGCTGGCCTCTAAGGGAAGGGCCCTGTGAGACCTGGCAGAACAGGGTAACTGGTCCAACAAACATCCCTCCTTTCCTCTGGCTCCACAGCTCAGGATTAGATCTAGATAGCATGTCCAGTAGGTGCCAGACTACCTCATTATATCCTGTGAGATGGGCCCAGAGGGCCTTGAGGTGGGTAAGCTTGAAGCTGGGCACCCAGAGCCTGAGACTGACAGTTCCTCCCTCCCTGTATCCTGCAGGAGGGGCCCTGTCCCAACAAGAGCCCCAGGGCCTGGCCTGAGGGTGTGGATGTGGGGAGAGGAGGGTCTGTGGGCCCAGGAGGGGGCATTTGTAGGGGACATTGAGTACTGCAGCTCAGAAGACATGAATGACAGGGTGGGAGGTGTCTTCCATGTCTGTCCATGGCACAGCACCCCTGTGATTCCCAAGGGCTGCCAGGGGCCCATTCATCTGAGCTCTTTATAGATCCTACATATGAGTCCTTCATCAGATGTGAGATTGAAACCACTTCCTCCAGCCTGGAACTTGCCTTTTCATTCTCCCCACAGGGTCTTTCAAAGTGCACACATCTTATATTTTGATGAAATCCAATTGATCAATTTTTTCTTTTATGCATCATACTTTTTGTATTCATCCAAGAAATATTTTCCTAACCATAAGTTACACTGATATTCTCTTTTCTTTTCTTACATACAGCTTACAGCTTTAGGTCTTACATTATGGTTTATGATAAATTCTGAATTAATTTTTATGTATGATGCCACGTATGGATTGAAGTTCTGTTCATATGTGCATATGTATATCCAATAATTCTAAGGACCGTTTGTTGCTAAGATTGTCCTTTCTCCACTGAATTTACTTTACACCTTCTTCAAAATCAATTGAAGATATATGTTAGGGTCTATTCTGGACCCTCTTCTGTTCTGTTGACCTATTTGTCCATCCTGTTACCAATATCACACCATCTGGATTTCTGAACCTTTATAATAAGCCTTGAAGTCGGGTATTATAAACTGTCTCACTTGCTTCTTCTTTTTTCAAAGTTTTTTTTTTTTTTTTTAACTATTCTAGGTCTACTGCATCGCCACACACAGAATCACTTTCTCATGAACATACATACATGTGCACCAGAAATATAAATATATGCACATCAAGACCAAGTGAAATTTATCCCAGGGATACTAGGCAGGTTTAACATGAAAAATGAGCCAATATAATTCACCACATTAACAGATTAAAAGGCAAAAACATTATTTCAGCAGATTCAGAAAAAGCATTAGACAAAATCCAATAGGCTCATAAAAAATTTCAGTCAACTAGGAATAGAAATGAAGTTTCTCAAAATGATAAAAGGCAGCTACCAAAAAAAAAATCCTATGGTTGATATTTAGTGGGTATTACCCTTAATAATGAAAGACTGGATGCTTTCACCCCAGATGAGGAACAAGCCAAGAATGTTGGCTCTCACCACTTATTTCAGCGTCTTAAGAAGATACCATCAGGGCAAAGGACTCCTTCCTTAAATAGACACAGATTTCCATGTGGAGTCATTATTCTCTTGCTGGATGTATGTCTTTTACCACTTCTCAGTCTGCATATCTCCTGGTGATGATTTGTTTCATCTTTTTTGTGTCTCCAAAAACCTCTTTATTTTGCCATCTCTTTGGGAAATATTTTGACTGTGTAAAAAATTTTAGGCTGACAAATTTATTTCTTTTAATATTTTAAAGAATTTTCTCCACTGTCATACAACTTGCAACTTTCCAACAAGAAATCTGCTTCATTCTTATCTTTGATTTTCTGTACATATATGTCTTGTTCTTCTCTGGCTGTTTGTAGGAGGACTCAGTTTCCTGGGCATAGATATGCACGGGAAAGATGCAGTAACTACATCAAGTGTGGTGTTGTCCAAGGGTGGATAAATAGGCCAACAGAACAGAGCAGAAGGCCCAGAGACAGACCCACATAAGTCTAAACATGATTGATAACCAAAAATCAGAACAATAGTGAAGGACTATATTTGTTATAAATGTGCTGGGACCATTGGATAACAATCAGCTAAGTGGGCCAAGCAGCCTTTTGGCTTAGGCTGAAGCAGGATAATAATGTTACCTATTAATAGAGTGTGAAAACTGGCTTCATGTTTTCACAGTGATTAGAGCAATATTGAGATACAGTAAATCATCAGTGAACATATTTGCTCTAGTTGCTATTGCTACTATTCATCTTCCTGTCCCGTGCAGCGTCTTATGGTTACCATGATTCAAGTGCCTCCTGGTGAGGCCGAAACTCCACAAGACACTCTGGTCAGTCCTGGGGTACAGTTTCTTCCAGGTGGCAGAGGCTCAGTCCTGGTCACCCGCTGATCCCTTCTCAGGATGTGCCACACAGTTCTGCCCTACTGCGGGGTGAATGCTGGGATGCCTCTCTCTTTAAAAATTCCAAACAAGGGAACTGGTGTGAGAGGGTGGGTGCCTCCACTCCCTCAGCCCTTATTTCCAGGTGGGGATCACCCCAGAGGAGTAATTCTTGAGATGTGGTCCCCAACACCTTTTTAGGGGAAGGGAGGCCGACATAATCTTCAGGTAATACTTGAAGTATTGAAGTGAGTCTGTGTTTCTCACACTCATGCACTCCTGAGTGAAAGTGGAGTTTTCCAGAGACTGTATGAGGTGAGATGAAGCCGCCAACTGGAAAACTACACCAATGCAGAAGCAGCTGTGAATGTCCAGCTTGCTGCTGGGCCTCTAAGAGGTCTGCAAAATACAAAACCATCTTGCTCTTCTCAATAACATAACTTTTTAAAGAAAACATAGTTATTTTTTCTAAAATTTATTCATGTTTACATGGAATAGGCATACAATTTATGTTCTAAAGGAGTTAATAAGTAAACATTTGTAAAGTTCTGAGTTATAATTACTAATACTGTAAATATTGAAAGATACAACCCTGATCCACAAAAGTTCTTTGAGCTGCTCAATACTATTTAAGACTGAGAATCTCAGGTCTATTTTAAGCTCTGGGCTCTCTCTCTTTCCCCGCACTTTTTCCCTCCCGGGGAGAAGGAAAGAAACTGATGAGTGAGTTTGGAAGAATAACCTGGAGTGAGTGCTCCCTTCACCAGTGGGTGGTGAGTTCCCCAGAAGGACTGCTTTCCTCCAAAGAGAGATGGGCAGGAAGAGGGAGGAGGGATGGGATCCTCTGGAGTAGGTACCATTTAAGGGGCACTTTTGAAAGTCAGTTTTTTAGACATCCAAGCCCCTTTCTCCAGTTCAATTTTAGGAGCAATAGAAGTAATGCATTGTTCTCCATCTGACACTGTCCTCATTCCTTCATTCACTTTCATCAGTAGTTCTCAATTCCAGAGGGAAGGAAGGGGATTACTTACTAAACTGTAATAGTCCATACCTAGCCTTGACATTTTTGTTTTTCTGAGTGAGTGAGAGAATTCAGGAAACTGAGGACTGTCTGTGTTGCCAGGAGCTCATCAGCTGCAAGGATAATAGAGACGTTTCCACAAAAAACTAAAGAACCATAAGCCAGATGCTCACCTCCAAGGGAACTGTTGGCCCAGGGTAAAGGCACATAAAATGCCCAAATTGTATCCCCTGCCTGAACATAGCAGCAGCCCAACTCTGTGAGATCAACCTGCCTCTTACTTCCAGGCATCCAAACTTCACGGGCTAAAGTCCTAACCCTGAATGTGACAATATTTTGAGATAGGGCCTTTAAAGAGATAATTAAGGTTAAGGAGCTCATAAGACTGAGGTCCTAATCCTAAAGAATTAAAATCCTCATAAGAATAGAAAGTGTCCCCAGGGATGTGGGTACACAGAAAAAGGCCATGTCATGACACAGGGAGAAGGCGGCCATCTCAAGTCAAAGAGGGAGGCCTCAGGGGAAGCCCACCCTGCTGATACATTGATCTTGAACTTCCAAGCTCCAGGACTCTGAGAAAATAAATATCTGCTGTTTGTAGCCTAATCTATGGCATTTTGTTAGAACAAAACACGCTGACTAAAGACAGGCAGCCCGGATCAGCCCTTCTGTGCTCTAGGGCCAGGGTTTCTGCCATTCACTTATCAAAGGACAACATCAAATTATGTAAATCAAACTCTGTTTCAAATTCTAGTGTGATGTGAAACAAACTAATAGGAGATATGAACATGTCCCTATCAATTTTGTCATTTACACTAGGCAGAAATCAATATGATCCAAGTAACAGCATTTAAAGAATTGCTGTAATCTAAACATCTCAGAATTGCTTTAGAATGTATCACATTGAATATCTAAAATAAGAGAATGTACATTGCTTACCAGTATCACTGGCACATTTACAAACCTGAGCAAGTTTTCGGCAACAGAGAAAACAGTGTGAATTTCACATAACAGTCATAGTATTATACAAGTGACATTTTCCAAGTGAGTAAAAAACTGACAAATCAATTACAAGAACACTGGGAACAATCTCCAAAGACGTGTTCGTCGAATTCTAGTTAGAATATGGTTGGGAAGCCTCAAGAAGGCAGAGACAATGAAAACATGTGGAAACATGCAAGGTGGAAAGGTGGACTAGTGAGCGATGGATAACATCAGATGATGGGGGGTTAATGTCAGACTTGCAGGGCATTTTGCTACTTGCTGGGAATTTGCTAGGGTAGGAGGAAGGTGTGGCCTCTGCCCTACTGGGGCTTCAAGTGCAAATGAGGCAGGAGTACAATAAACTGATAACAACACACAACACAGAATACATAGAAAATAATTATAGACAATTATCTTCACATTAAAAGAAACAAACCTTTTAGAGAAGAGTCAAAAAGGGGTGGAGATTTAAATGGGGTGGTCTGGACAAACATCTTTAAGGAGTGAAGGGTGAAAAAGAGTAAAATGTACAGATAGTGTTGAGGGAGTGCTCTAAGCAGGGAAGGGAGAAAGGGACCTTGCAAGGTTGGGCGCGAGTCTGGTGCAAACAAGGGAGAGAGTGAATCCTGTGTGAGGATGTCATGGGACAAGGTCAAATGGTGCACCTGAGGACAACTCAGGGGGTGGACACCATCCTGAAATCTAAGAGTTACGCTGGCTGGGGTGCAATTGAACAAATGAAGCAGGGTGATGTGCTGCTGTGATGGCTATAGAGCATTGACGGGATGGAGCTGGGGCTGGTCAGGGGCTCTCATTAAGGTTCTGACCATGGTGGGTGCCGGGCAACACCCTGGTCAGGGTGGGGAAGAATGCATGACATTCTGCAGGGTGGGATTCCTGTGAAGAAGCACAGGCGCTAGATTGTGTGATGAGTCTGGGAAAAACACAGAGAGTAGCCTGTGCGTGGAACCTGGAATGAGCAGAGTGAAACAGCTTGGAGAAACCAGGCTGTAGGCCAGACTGCCAGCGTTAGATCTCTCCACAGTGAGCAACGCCAGAAACAACTTGTTATGGCACTCTTACTGAATCGCTTTCCTGGCTTTTGTAGGAAGGGATGGATGGAAACTTGAGGCCATAATGGTGGAGGAACATCAGGATCATGAATCAGTCTCTGCCCAGGGGTCCCCAGGAAGGATGGACTGGGGTGACAGAGGACAGAACTCCGAGCAAGGTGACTGAATAAGGATGAATGACACTTGTCACTCTCAGAAATATGGAGCTTGCAGAAGCCAGGAAGGTTGAACTAGTTTACAGTCCCACCAACAGTGTAAAGATGTTCCTATTTCTCCACATCCTCTCCAGCACCTGTTGTTTCCTGACTTTTTAATGATCACCATTCTAACTGGTGTGAGATGGTATCTCATCGTGGTTTTGATTTGCATTTCTCTGATGGCCAGTGACTATAAACTAGTTCAACCATTGTAGAAGTCAGTGTGGCGATTCCTCAGGGATCTAGAACTAGAAATACCATTTGACCCAGCCATCCCATTACTGGGTATATACCGAAAGGATTGTAAATCATGCTGCTATAAAGACACATGCACACGTATGTTTATTATGACACTATTCACAATAGCAAAGACTTGAAACCAACCCAAATGTCCAACAATGATAGACTGGATTAAGAAAATGTGGCACATATACGCCATGGAATACTATGCAGCCATAAAAAATGATGAGTTCATGTCCTTTGTAGGGACATGGATGAAGCTGGAAACCATCATTCTCAGCAAACTAGTGCAAGGACAAAAAAACCAAACACCGCATGTTCTCACTCATAGGTGGGAATTGAACAATGAGAACACATGGACACAGGAAGGGGAACATCACACTCTGGGGCCTGTTGTGGGGTGGGGTGAAGGGGGAGGGATAGCACTAGGAGATATACCTAATGTTAAATGATGAGTTAATGGGTGCAGCACACCAACATGGCACATGTATACATATGTAACAAACATGCACGTTGTGCACATGTACCCTAAAACTTAAAGTATAATAAAAAAAGAAAAATAAAATAAAATAAAATAAAATAATTAGCTGGAAAAAAAAAAAAAAAGAAGAA
This sequence comes from Homo sapiens, assembly GCF_000001405.40. Lineage (NCBI taxonomy): Eukaryota > Metazoa > Chordata > Mammalia > Primates > Hominidae > Homo > Homo sapiens. Next base: position 740,206 of record NT_167248.2, read on the forward strand.
GCCAGGAAGGTCTGCTTTGCTCCTGACCTGCCTTTCCAGAGGGTTTCCATGGGAATTGAGAATAATGGGCTATCAACAGAAGCAAAGTAATTTTGTCTTGAATTCAGTCAGAAATCTGGTTACTCTGAAAATACACAAAGGTAATAAATAATCTCAAGAACATTCACCCTGCTCCTTGGAGGATCCAGCATGTTTTCCAGACATGATCCCTTTTACAGCCTTGTGCATAGGCAGTCCCTGCCTTTGTGGAGGAGCTGAGCCCCCTAGAAGAGCAGTTTGTTTCCAGCTGTGAGGCTGAAATCTGCCCTGGGATCGGGGGCCTGAAACGCCTCATTTTATCCATGCCTCCATCTCACTCAACAAAGCCCTCTGAAAAACAGCCTTTAGGGACTCCCTGTGCCTCTTCCTGTAGAGTTACTCAGCCAAGAAGTAGATGACTAGGTGAGGCATGCTGACCACAATGGACAGTAGCAACAGGAGGTCAAAGGCAAGGGTCAGAAACTTTCCTGGCAGGCACACAAGGACAACTAAGGGCAGGACCCAAAGGAAGAAGCTGATGATCACAAAGCAGACAACATGATAGGTCCTGATGGGGGAACACCACTGGGGACAGCACAGACCCCAGATGATCAGGATCAGCTTGGACATGCCCATTACAAAGCAAATAAGTACATGACATGTCATAAAGCCTCATGAAATTGGTCACATGCCAAGCACTTCTCCCAGTACTCACAGACCTGGCTAACTGCATACAAAGAAAGGGCCAGGGCCCACCTCACCATGGCAGAGGTGTGCTCTGGGCGGTGGCAGCACCAGGTGGGACAGAGGGCACAGAGAAAGCTCTCAATACTCATGGCCACCAGGAGACAGAGACCCACTGTGTCGGAGAAATAGGAGACAGGATCCAGAAACACAGCCACCTGCAATGCCGCCTGGTGATACAGCATGAGGATTTTCTCCAGCAGGATCACAGTTACACAGGAGAGGTTGACCATATCAACAGTGGCCAGGTTAAGGATGTAGGTCACATAGGGGCTGCTCCAGACCTGTGAGTAGAGAAGCCAGCAGATCACATCATTGCCTACCAGTCCACAGAGGGCCACCAGCACTGTCAGGGAGAAGACCACCTGCCTGTCCACCAACCACTCACCTCCCGTATGGCTCATGTTCACATGTCCTGAGGTCTCAGTCTCATTGTCCCAATCCAGCTTTCCAGAGAGGGTTGCGAGAAGCTAGGCTATGGTGGGCTACCTTTGCTGCCTGCGCACATCCTGCAAAAACAAAGGCTGGTAACATACCAGGTCTGGAGAGGAGAGTCAGGGTTGCCCTCTGTCCTCAGAGGTTCCTGCTGAGCCTCATGAGATTGGCAGGGATTCTGCAGAGCAGAGTGGAGGAAAGGAGCAAGCTTCTTGTGGGAGACCCATCCCTTCCCTCCCAGATTCTCCATTGCAGGATGCCCTCTCATGCATACCCTTACCCCTCTCTCCACCGCATTCAGTTATCCCTGATGCTTCATGCTGTGCCCAAGGCCCAGTGTGTATCCCGTGCACCCAGATTATCTATAAGGCTGCATAAAAAAATACATTTGTTTACATTAGCCCATAGGGATGGTTCTCCAACTTTCCCACTGGTACAGGCTGTTTTTGTGACATCGTTTTGGTGGGGGCACTGAGTGACTACTTTACCTTGAGGTTCTGAGACTCCTTGAGTCCTGGATGGGGAGGTTGCTGGTCAGTACTCAAGGGAAGGGCTCCCAACCTTGCTCCTGCTCACCTCTTCTCTGTTAGCTCTCAGGCCTCCTCCCTGGACCTTTGCACATGCTGTTCTCCTGCTTGGAAGAGCCTCTGTGCCTCAGTGAGCTCGGTCTCCTCCTTCCAGTCTCTGCCTCAGGGTCACCTTCCAGGTGATCTTCTGCTGATCAGCCTTTAAACATTGCACTCTTGACCTGCTGGCAGTCTATGATATTCACTTACTTGCTTTTGTGGGAATCATGCCCTGGAATGGAAGTTCCATGAGAATTTACTTTGTCTTTAAAATTCTGTTCACTGCCTTTTCTCCAGCCCCTGGAACAGGGTTTGACACTGAGGAGCTACTTGGGGAGGGTGCCTGCAGAGGACTTAAGTTGCTCTGTTACATGTAGGTGAGAGCAGGGGACCCTGCACACCAGAAGCTGCTTCATGGGGTCCCGAGGGAGACATGCACTTGAGCCATGGGCTCTGTCCACTTCAGGAGCAGGCACTCCGCTTCAGGCTGCCAATCACAGGTCTTTGTGTGAAGAATTGTGCAGGGAGGGCAAAGGTACCACTTTGCCTTAGAATTTCCTAGTTTGTATTCCTGAAAATTCCTTGTCCTGAATATCCCGATAGCCCTGGGAAAACCAAGCTGGTTGGTCACCTAACTAAAAATGAAACGGGAGAGGATCAATACCTCTTCTGGGAACCCACAGCTGAGTCAAACCTAGTAACCTGGGAGTTCAGGCCAAGGGTATGAAAGCTGATCTTATGTGGGCAAATCACAGCTATCTTTGATAAGCAGTGGATCCTTTTCTGCCTCAGTATTCCCAGCTATCTAAGGGTTGCTGTTATTAGCTGAATTGTGACCTTCTAAATTCATATGTTAAGGTCCTAACCCCTAATACTTCAGAATGTGACTGTGTCTGCAGACAGAATCTTTGAAGAGGTAATTATGTTAAAATGGGTCTTTAGGTTGGGCCCTAATCCAATAGGACTGGTGTCCTCATGAGATGAGGAGATTAGGATTAGTTAAACACACAGGGACAACCATGTAAGCATGCAGGGAAAAGACAGCCATCTACAAGCCAAGGAGAGAGGTCTCAGAAAGAACCGACAGTGCCGACCCCTTAATCTCAGAATTCCAACCCCCAGGACTGTGACAGAATAGACTTCTATCATTTAAGTCACTCAGTCTGTGGTCTTAGTCATGGGAGTCCAAGCTGATGATCACAGTAGTGAAGAGAACTTTATACATGGAATCATGGGAAGTCTCAGAATGGTGAGACGAACCTGGTCCTACAACCCTGAGCTACTGAAGCTTTGTTTATGGATCACAGAGGCTTCTAAAACAAAGATTGTTCCACAAATTGATGAAAGCCTAAGATATGCCAGGAAATATCTCACACGTGACCCTGTGATCTGCAGTCACATATTGGTGCATCAGTGGGGTTTCAGGAGAGTGCTAGGGACCAGCTCCAAGTGAGCCCAGTGTTTGAATCTTCCCTCCTTGCCAGGATGATGGAGTTCCCCTTCAGTCAGCAGCTCTGTTGAAATGGAAGGGTCTGGCCCCAGTCTCGCCCCTCCCTGTGCCTGTTGCCTAGACTTTCTTATCTGAGGCCAGGAGAGGAAAGCAGATCCAGCTTATATCTAATCTGGTCATAAGACGAGGCTTGGGGCTTAGTAACATTGGTGTCCATGGAAACATCAGGCTGATGTGCGGTTCTGTGCCCAGGCCAGGGTGTCAGAACTCGTGATGGTGACAGAAGAGAAACTGCAAACAGGACTCCATGGCCCACCCCAGGCCACCAGGGCACCAAGCAGGAGCAGCTGGGCTTTGGTCTCCAACAAGGAGAGGAGATTTATAGATAAAATAGTTTCATGGGAAGAAGTGACTTCCCCTCCAGCCAGAAGAAAAGATCCGCTATGGAGGTGGCATGTGGCCTCAGGGGCAGAGTCATGCTTCCCATTCCTGAGCTCATTGAAACCCAGCTCATGCCCAGAGACGACCACTGAGCCCAGTGACTGAGCAGTACATTCTTCATTGTCACCTAGGAGGAGGAGGCAGCCCTCCTGGGGTGGAGAGGCCTCGGCATCTGGTGTGGCCCCAGCACTGGGCATAGAGACATCCTGGTACTTGGAAATGTCATTTGTGGTCTTGGGAATGTCATTTCCAAGTTGGGTCATGAGCCAGGCTCCCCAAGGAGTAGATACAACAGGCTGGATCCTGGGATTCAGGGAGCCAGCGCTGTTGGAAGTGCTCAGTTTGGTGCAGCCAAAATAGCCAAGTAGCCTTTGCATTGGGATTGAAGTATTTGCTCTGATTCTGAGGCGAGAGCCCACCCTCCCCACTTAATTTTTATCTGAGGTGAAATTCACATAACATAAATTAACCAATTTAGAGTGCACAGTTCTGCCTCACTTTGCCTCTTCACAATATTGCGCAACCCCCAACTCTATCTAGTTCCAAAACATTTTCATGCCCCATAAGGATGCCCTTAGCAGTTACATCCCTTTCTCCCTCCCAGCTCTTGGCAACCACCATCTGCTTTCTGTCTCTGCGCATTCACCCATTCTGGACACGTCCTATTAGTGGAATCAAACCTTCCGTGACATTTTGTTTCTGTTTCTTTCACTCAGCCTCATGTTTTCATGGCTTGTTCATGGTGCAGCATGTGCCAGAACTTCATTTTCTGTGTTAGATGAGAATTAAATACGAATATAGAAGCTGGGAAATTGGAAAATCTGAAAGGTTACACCCAGAAGTCATAGACCACACCTCAGTAACACAGTGGCTCAAATCCTACTTCTAACAGAAAAACACACCCTCTGCCCATCTACACAGCCAGGGCACCTGTGAACCAGGGACCAGAACACAGAAGTAGCTCACCCACTGGGGCTACCTTGGGAACCGCAGGCCCTCCTTTTTCCAGGAAACTGGTTTCTATCCTGTCAATCTTCAAATGCACCTTCCTCAGTAAAAAAAAAATCACAAGGTTTTAAATTTTTTTAAAAAATGAGTCTTTGAGTTAAAATGCTTTGAAAATGAAAAAAAAGGTAGAGACCTTTTTTCTCATACCTGGGAGGACTTGGACGGACTTGGTATCACAGAGGCCAACCTCCTGAGAGATCAAAGTTCTGCCCTCATGTCAGGAAGCTCTCTAAGCATATCTGCTTTGAACTGGGTCTTGACAAGCAGTTATCAAGTTCCCTGTGTCCCTTAGGTCTTCCTGTACCAGGGCCACTTGCATATCAGAGCCCAGGCCTTTAACTGAAGCATCTTTATCTCAACATCTCACGATATCCCCCAATCCTGTCTGACTCTATTACTCTGTCCTTAAGAACTGTCCCCTGAAACAAAGAAGAATCTTTAAGAGAAGTCAGTCTCTCCACTTTAATGCATCTCCCAGACTGAGGTCCAGCCCAGCCCAACCCATCCTAGAAGGCAGAAGAGGAAAGTCAGGTCAGCATTTTCCCAATGAACTCAGGAATTCCAGTAGCTCAAACGTGCTCCTTGGATTTTGTCATGAATTGAATTGCATGTTTTGTAAAGTAAAATTAATGTAAGAACTTTACTTTGCTGTCTTCTCAAAGATCAATTTGCTCTTTCTTGATTTTCTCTAGTGCATGTTTGTTTTTGTTGGAAAATTAGTCATGAATGATCCATAAACATAATGTAAAGAAGTCTTGGGAATGTTTTTGTGCTGTGCCACTTACCAAGCAGGTTCTGACACAACATATTGGCAAATTCTTACTGAAAGCCAGATCAAGCTCACACTCCATGTATCCTCATGCTATTCCCCTCCGTTCACCTACAGCTGTTTGTGAAGGAGCCAGCTGATCATTTCATATAGACTTTTGTTCACATGTGGCTCAACTTGAGAAAAATGAGATGGATGCAAGGCTCCTTTCGTTGGTTTCTCTAGCAATTCATGCATTTCTAGCTTGAAGTTGCTTCTTATCCCTGCAGGAAATAATCTTTTATTATATTCCCTCTTAAAACCTTGTGGTTAAATGTGATTCACATAGTGGGGCAGATGGTTTCTGTATGGTTCTACAGTGACCAGGAAGGAGAGATATATAAGAATGAAATACACTATGATCAAAGGGTGACAAGATGTTAAAATACACCCCTCCTTGTCCTTCGGTGCTGACTGGCTGTTTACCTCACTGCAGAGATAGAATCTGAGAAGACCTCAAGGTCACATAGGGAATGTGACTTTATGGGACAGTACTGATCCTCCCTACAAGGGAGCCATTAAGGGTCTAGAGCAGCTGTTACCTTTGGTCCTATCTCCTCTATATTTCATGTAGTTTTTATATTCAAGAGATTGTGGATCTTGAATTTTTTTATTATATGTACCCAAATTATTTTTTCATTATTATTATTTTTTAAATTATACTTTAAGTTCTGGGATACATGTGCAGAACTTGCAGGTTTGTTACATAGGTATACATGTACCATGGTGGTTTGCTGCACCCATCAACCCATCGTCTACATTAGGTATTTCTCCTAATGCTATCCCTCCCCTAGACCCCCACCCCCAACAGGCCCCAGTGTGTGATATTCCCTGCCCTGTGTCCATGTGTTCTCATTTTTCAATTCCCACCTATGAGTGAGAACATGCCGTGTTTGGTTTTCTGTCCTTGCGATAGTTTGCTGAGAATGATGGTTTCCAGCTTCATCCATGTCCCTGCAAAGGACATGAACTCGTCCTTTTTATGGCTGCATAGTATTTCATGGTGTATATGTGCCACATTTTCTTAATCCAGTCTATCATTGATGGACATTTGGGTTGGTTCCAAGTCTTTGCTATTGTGAATAGTGCCGCAATAAACATACGTGTGCATGTGTCTTCATAGTAGCATGATTTATAATCCTTCGGGTATATACCCAGTAATGGGATCACTGGGTCAAATGGTATTTCTAGTTCTAGATCCTTAAGGAATCACCACAGTCTTCCACAATGGTTGAACTAATTTACACTCCCACCAACAGTGTAAAAGCCTTCCTGTTTCTCCACATCCTCTTCAGCATCTGTTGTTTCCTGACTTTTTAATGACTACCATTTTAACTGGCATGAGATGGTATCTCATTGTGGTTTTGATTTGCATTTCTCTAATGACCAGTGATGATAAGCCCTTTTCATATGTTTGTTTGCCACATAAATGTCTTCTTTTAAGAAGTGTCTGTTCATATCCTTCACCCACTTTTTGATGGGGTTGTTTGTTTTTTTCTTGTAAATTTGTTTAAGTTCTTTGTAGATTCTGGATATTAGCCCATTGTTAGATGGATAAATTGCAAAAATTTTCTCCCATTCTGTAGGTTGCCTGTTCACTCTGATGATAGTTTCTTTTGCTGTGCAGAAGCTCTTTAGTTTAATTTAATTAATTTGTCAATTTTGTCAAATTTTGTCAATTTTAATTAGTGTAATTTGTCAACTGAACTAAAATTTGTCAATTTTAATTAGTTTAATTTGTCAATTTTGGCTTTTGTTTCCATTGCTTTTTGTGTTTTAGTGATGAAATCTTTGCCCATGCCTATGTTCTGAATGATATTGCCTAGTTCTAGGGTTTTTATGGTTTTAGGTCTTATGTTTAAATCTTTAATCCATCTTGAGTTAATTTTTGTATAAGCTGTATAAAAGGGGTCCAGTTTCTGTTTTCTGCATATGGCTAACCATTTTCGCCAACACTATTTATTAAATAGGGAATCCTTTCCCCATTGCTTTTTTCTGTCAGGTTTTTCAAAGATCAGATGCTTGTAGATGTGTGGTGCTATTTCTGAGGTCTCTGTTCTGTTTCATTGGTCTATATATCTGTTTTGGTACCAGTACCATGCTGTTTTGGTTACTGTAGCCTTGTAGTATATTTTGAAGTCAGGTATCGTGATGCCTCCAGCTTTGTTCCTTTTGCTTAGAATTGTCTTGGCTACACAGGCTCTTTCTTGGCTCCATATGAAATTTAAAGTAGTTTTTGCTAATTCTGTGAAGAGAGTCAATGGTAGCTTGATGGGGATAGCATTAAATCTATCAATTACTTTGGGCAGTATGGCTTTTTTCACGATATTGATTCTTCCTATCCACAAGCATGGAATGTTTTCCCATTTGTTTGTGTCCTCTTTTGTTTCCTTGAGAAGCAGTTTGTTGTTCTCCTTGAAGAGGTCCTTCACATCCCTTGTATGTTTTTTTTTAAGAAACAGAATCTCACTTTGTTGCCCAGACTGGCATGGAGTGAAATGATCTCGACTCACTGTCTCAAATTCTTGGTTTCAAGAGCATCCTCTGTTCCCACTCTCTCATGATACCTAATACTGGTGATTATCAGGCTCAAGTCCTGCCTATAGTCATGTATCTGAAACACAATTGGGATTCTATCCAGGGACTCTTGTCCACAGGACACCCCTAATAAGATTGGCCTCCCCCATATAGTGTATCTCTTATGCTTTTCTACCTTTGAGAACCAGCACTATTTGCTTCTATCACAGTAAAAGCCACACTCAGATAATTTTATAAACATAAATCTAGGCCCTGGTTTAACAACAATGGGCATCAATGTATGAGGCAAGCTTATCTAGTACTAGGATTCCAGTTTGCTGTGTAGCATTCCCATAGAAGGCTGTCTTTGCCTTTTCATTCAAGGATAAGAAAATATTTCCAGTTAGAAATGTTTTTGGCTGCCAAATAGAGAAGCTCAATTAAACTAATTTTAGCAGTCAGTGATGTATAATATTGAAGCACAAGACACCTGTAGATAGGGCTGCTGCAAGATGTTCAAGTCAGTGGCACAATGTCTTGAAAAAATTAGAATTATCCACTTTTACTTCTGGCATCTTCAGAATATTGTCCTCATTCCTCACTGGGCATGTTTTCCGAATGCTTAGGATATGACTTCATACTCAGAATATGATATAAAAAATGCGAGAAAAAAGAACTTCCTTTCCTTCCATCTCTTTTTATATCTGTGAAAACTCTTCTTAGAGTCATACCACATAGAATGTCCTGCGATATCTCATTGGAATGCCCTCACCATAACCAACACTTAGGCCTTTTTCACCTACCCCCAAATTATATACACCTCCCTCCCTTGTCCAAGTTAAAATTAAAATATTTGCATCTATTTGAAATGCATTCATTATTTTGTCAAGAACTGTATGTACCTAGTATCATCTTGTTACTGCCTCTAGCTCCATTCTGGCACCCACGTGACAGGCATTTAATTCCATTCATTCAGTGAGTGTCCTTTCCAGCTAGACATTCTTGGGTAAAAGAACAGACAGAATCACACTTGTTGTCAGGAAAGTAAGTTCCATCACTCTCAAGCTCACAGTTCTCTGTTCTTCTCATTGGAAGGATTCACCTAATCTATTTAGTGAATTGTCCATAGACACTGGAACTTCCCTCTGGGAGATTTTCCTTATTTGGTTTATTCCGTGGCCACACCTGGGTGTTTGAGGTGAAACACCTTTCTAATGTTTGTTCATATTTCACAATCCCATTTCTTTTGGCAAAAGGTCAGGGTTCAGGTTTGGACCTTTGGGTCTGAACATATGATGTTATTGGCCATGTTATTTTCACTTATTAGTTTGATTTTATTTGTTTTATTTTTTCCTTTTATTTTAAGAGGTGGGGAGTAGTAATTTCATTAAAAACTTTTGTCTTACAAATTCCCTGGAAACAATCTCATGAAAATATTTATCAATGTAATTTGTGTGTGTGTGTGTGCGTGTGAGAAGATTCCTGTTCCTAGCTATGGGCACCAGTTCCTGCTAAGTCCTACTTCATGGCTTTGCCTTGGAGAAGTACATAACAGCTACAGGTGTGAAAGTGCCCAGTCACCCAATCCCTCCCAGATGCATCTCTGCAGTAGGGACAGTGGGATTTTCTGCCTTGGGAGCAGGTAAAACCAGTATTGTTGCAATAAACACCCTGTCACGGATATCACTTGGTAACACTATTTTGTCTCTGTAAAATGGAGCAATAAAACTTTAAACGTTGATTATAAGTGTATGTGTGTTTATAATTTTAAGGTACAGTACTCAATTTTTCCCCAACAAAAGCAATAACTTAAACTCACCACTTTGGTTGCAGAAGACATTAAATCCTCCATATTCTTCTGTGTGTCCAGCCATTAAAGCTTATTAATAACAGGGGTAGAAAATCATATCTCATTATGCAGTGCTCCTGATGACTAACAAAGTTGAATAATTTAACCGTTTAACAAAAAAGATTAAAGTGGGCTTATACTTCACACTATCCTCCAGTAAAAAAAAATCAAATTGATCAAATATTTACATGTTTACAAATGAAATAATTTAATAGTATAAGACAGCATAGATTCATTTTATATTATCTCATGTAGGTAAGACTTCTTTAATCATAACTCAATACATAAGCCATAAAAGACTGACAAATTCAAATTTATAAAAACGGTGTGCTTGACAATAACATGTTTTTAAAATCATAACCGAAGTAAGTGACCAATGAAAATGTTGGAAATTGTATCTGCAGCTCAGACAACTGAAAAAGGACTAATCTGCTTATAGATGGAGAGCTAACAGAAGTGGAGAGACAAAGACCTGTCCACGAGAAGTCTCATGCCCCTTCCTTCACTCTGACACCTCCTTAACATGCTCCTGAAATGTCAGCATCATGAGACATGAGCTACACAATGATGCAGTATGGGAATTAAGAGGTAACCATATATTTTAATATCAGACTTGAATGAATCTTCTTTGTTTTGAGTAACATGTACACATAATTGAATAAGCACATATAGAAATCATTAAAAAAAGTTATTTGACAAATTACACCTTAAAAGGAGACTATACATTATTTTAAACACCATGGTGGACAAAACTGACCATGTCTTCAGCCACAGAGTAAATCTGAAAGAAATACAAATAATAATATTAATAATAACATTTTGTTGGTTATATTATTTGACCACAATAAAATAATATATACAATAACTAGAATTTAAAGCATATATATATATAAAGCAATATTATAGAATGGCAATTCTAGTCCTTGAAGGATTGTCTAAAATCACAGATATAAAATTAATAAGGCTTAAATAAAGGGTATGTACTTAAAGGGAATGCAATTTTTATTCAAATTACAAAGAGGTATTATTAAAACAACTTATTATGTACAAAGCACTGGGACATTAAACTGAATCATGAAGTAATGACTTCAACCTCACAAAACTTCTCGTCTTCTAGGGGAAGCTTAAAATAAGACCAAAATGGTGGAACCATTACAAATTACAATAATGTTGTAAGAAATAAAAGATCAATAAGACCAGCCAGAGAATGTGATCATAGAAATGCTCTTAAAGTTGACCTTTTTAACTAGAGATAAAACATGGAAAAGGCAAAAACAAGGAAAATTGTGAGTGACATAATTCCTCACAGAGGAAAGAAAATTTGCAAAAAGGATGTGTTCCATTTAACAAAAGAAACCCAATATGAGAGTTTTGTAAGCAATGTAAGCAAGATGAAGAATTAAATGGTATTAAGTTGGAGAGAGGATGAGGTAAATTTGCTTTCTTCAAAGTAAAAGGTTTGGGTGTAAATTCTAACCTAGTGAGGAGGGATTATATTATCCAACGTAATGTTTTTGTACATTTATTCAACACACTGCAACATATTCATCATCCTTACTAAATAATTGTTACACATGTTGTAAATAAAATCCAAGGAGTCCTGTATATTCATAAGGTTAATTAATCCTCACACCAACCATGCATATTAAATACCAACTTTATCCTCCTCTTGCATAAGATGAAACAGAGTTACAGAGAGTTATTTGCCCACAATAACATGCTTTGAATGGGAGAGCCAAAGTTTGGACAAAGGCAATCTGGGTCCAAAACCCTGACTCTTACTCTTATGTGATGATGCCTCTTGGTAATTCCGACAAGCTCAAGCTCTATCTAAGGAGGAGATAGACAAAGGGAGGAAAATCTGTGGCTGGATTTGGAGGATGTTCCAGGATAATGATTGAGAATAATGCATGGCCTTTTGTATGGTCTTTATTTGGGATTCCACAGGTACCAGGAAAGTCTCACTGGGTCCCATTCCCCTCATCGTTGGAACTGGAGCACATTCAAACTGGGCTTACTGCCTAGGAAGGAAGTTAATGTCTCTTCCAACCACAAACAGCAAGGGGTTGTTTTGAAAGTCCATGAAAGCTGAACTTGATTAGAATAAAGCATTGATTTGATGCAGCAGCCTTATGATGCAGAACAGGCTGGGTTACTATGTGTACAATTCCCCAGCTCAGATGTGGGAAATTATGTTTCCACATCGACCCTGTGCTCCCTGGGAAGAAGGTTCTCCACATGCTGAGTAGAGTGTGGTTGCTCCATTGGGTCGATGCCAGCTGCCTTTTTGTTCCTCCCCACCTCTGGCTTATCTGCTAACGCCCGTTGGAGAATCACTCTGAGAGATTCCTTCAGCCTTTTCTTTCTGAGGCTCCCCACAAAGAAATAAATGATAGGGTTGGCGCTGCTGTTTATAATGAGGAACAAGGAAATTAAATAGGAGGTGGTGACAAACATTTTGAAATCTGTTATGAGGGGTGCCACGCTCAGGGGTAGGGCCCAGAGTAGGAACATGGGGGCCGAGATCTGCACCACCGCATAGACCCTGGTGGCCTTTTGCTGCTGGGAGCAGCACAGGAATCTAATGAGTAGAGTCAGACTCGACACACACATCACAAGTGAAAGGATAGCATGGAAGAGCCCAGAAAGCTTTAGAAATATGACACATGCCTTTACATGTTTCCAGTAAGTTAGGAAAAGTGATTTTACTATGTTGATGCAAAAAGGCAGGCCCCAGATGAGGGTGCAGACAACATTAGATGTGTATTTTGGGCGGTGGCATCTGTACCAGATGGGGAAGAGGACACACACACACCGCTCTGTGCTGATGGCCACCAGGAGACAGAGACACACCTCAAAGGAGAAGGGAGACAATATGGCCAGGAAATCAGGGATAAAAAACACGACTCCATGATAAGTTAGCAGAGTCACCTGTAAGAACCCCACTGCCGAGCAGCAAAGATAGATCACGTCAGCAGCGACCAGGTGGAGGATGTATACCATGTAGGGATTCGTGGCCCCACAGCAAAGCAGCCAGAAGACAGTGCCATTCAATAAGACCCCACAGAGGGAGACCAGCACAGCCTTGGGGGCAATGATATTCAAGGGCAGGGCCTGCTGTCCCACTGCCATGCTCATCTGCATATGTATGGTTTCATTCGTCTCATTTTGAAGAAAGACGCCACAGAGCTGAGATACCAGGTTTGGGTTCTGTGCCTCCTGGTCACCACTGTGGAGACAAAGGCTACATGAGAGAGATATCTGTGACTCAGCAAACACTGTCCATCCAGCCCTCTGGCTGAACCAGCAAATTTTCCCCCAGACCATGGGGTGCTGGGACCTGAGTGGGCCACAACATCACAGTCAGGAGCAGTGGTCCATCTAGTGGTGTCCTCTGGCCTCAGACCCCTTGCCTCTACATTTTCCTAGGCTGGAATAGAACACCCATTGTTGGGTGTGCTTTTTAGGAACAGCTGAACATTAACTACATATCAGAGTGGATGGGAGTATCTGCTCTGCAAATAGCTCTCCATGAATTTGTGATCTGTTCTCCCTCCCCTAACACATCTCCTGTTGTACAGGATGCCCCAGGCCTACCCACATAGACCCAATATCTTGTTGTTGGGCACTAATGAGGCACTAAACATTGGGAATGGAGATTTGTGTCTGGTCCAGGTTCTACTCATGAGACACTAGTGTCTCATCTCTTTTTTTTTTTTTTTTTTTGAGTTGGAGTCTCACTCTGTCACCCAGGCTGGAGTGCAGTGGCGCGATCTCAGCTCACTGGAACCTCCACCTTCCAGGTTCAAGCGATTCTCCTGCCTCGGCCTCCTGACTAGCTGGAACTACAGGCACCCACCACCATGCCCGGCTAATTTTTTTGTATTTTTAGTAGAGATGGGGTTTCACCATATTGGCCAGGCTGGTCTCAAACTCCTGACCTTGTGATCCACCTGCCTTGACCTCCCAAAGTGCTGGGATTACAAGCGTGAGCCACGGCACCTGGCCATGTCTCATCTCTTTCAAACCCAGTCCTGGGCATCCTTGGGTAGCCATACAGGATGCAGCAGTGCCACAGTATGGCATTTCCCTGGGCTCAGACAGGTACAAGGGAGCACTGAGATTTCCAAGGCAGGCATTTCACAGCAGTTGGCACCAAAGAAGTCCTTTCTATGGCTGGCAGGACTTGACCTGGAAAATAAGGAAATCTGCGTTTCTCCAGGGGCGTGAGTCTCAGGCAGTGTCTGTGTGGGCATCATCGACTGCTATGCTCCAAATGTCAGCTGAGGAGAAGGAAATGAACAGACTTAGGGTGCAACAAATACAAAAGAGGCCTAAGAATATTAATATAAATATTAATATAGAGAATAGTATTTTAATGCTATGTAAATATATTAATATAGAGAGACTAGCATATTAATACTATGTAAATATTTATATATTAATAAATTATATTAATATAACATTGCTATATTAACATGTTATTAATATTGATGTTAATATATTCACATTATATATTTATGTTAATATATTAATTATATTAATATAACATATTCTCAATTATGCTATCAAGGATATTGATAATTAATATTGACATTAGTTTATTAATATTTATGTATTTATTTATTGCTGTTGTCCCAGGTTTATTGAAAATAAAATCCAGTGACTGCTGTATATTACAGCATTGGAGAAAGAGTCAAACAGCTCCACGAGGCATTTTGAAATTCATCCCAACTGTAGGCCGAGTGACCTGCAGGTTGGACAGGCTGCCAAAGTCCAAAAGCTTCAGCATTTCCTTAGTGTCAGGATCTACTTCGATGATCTCCTGATCCAGGGCTGAGACCTTGGGGACATAATTGTCCCTCCTTTCTTTCTCCTCCTCCTGTAGCTTGATGGAGATACCTCTCACTGGACCTCTCTGAATCTGGTTCGTCAGATGCGTGACGCAGCCTGCTCTCCTGTTGTGGAGCTTCTTGCTGAGGATAATGGGGATCTCCTCACACACACTTGTTTGTGTGGAAGTCATTGCCCAGGCACATGTAGTACTTTTCTACGATGACCTAGGCCACCTTCGTCACAGTCTTGATGCCAACACGACCCATGTTGGTGGGTCTTTGGTCATTAATATTAATTGATATTAACATTATTCAGTTTATTAATAATGTATCATTAATAATATTTATACAATATTAGTAAAATAGTTTATCAGTACATTTTAATGTTGATATGCTTTCAATATTAAGATATTAATGTATTATTGATTACATGTGAATATATTAGCATATTAACAGTATATATTAATATATTTGGTATACTATATTAATATTATTTATATGATATGAATATGCTATTAGTGGCATATTAATAACAATATATTAATAATATAATGTGATTAATAGTTGTATGTGATTATTAATTATTTATGATTATATTATGATTAACAAGTAGTACTATTATATCTTGTTTCTAATGAATAATTATTATTAATATTCAAAAAACTAATAATAATTGTTATTTTTATAGAATCTGGAATTGTGGAGCAGACTTCGCAAGGCTTCTCTGACCTCTGCCTCCCGCTCTGGGATCTGTGAAACACACTGGGCTCTTCTTCTAGACCTCCCTTTTTGAAGCTCCTCCAAAGACCGTTTCATCATCTCTACTCAACAGTCTCCTCAGGAAATTGCCTCTTCAGTAGGCAAATGTCACTTGCCACAAACTTATCTTTGGCATGAGGATAAGACAGTGCTAAGGTAGAACTGTCTGTACCTTCTTTGGGTTTACATTGTGATAACTGCAAGGAGAAAAATAAATTGGGCTGAGTGGATAGAAAATGATAAGGGTAATGGATGTTTCCTAGTGGGATAAATGAGGGGAGTTTCTTAGTAGGACATGGAGATCTGAATGACCTACTGGAGCAACCAGGTGACAGCCAGAAGGAAAGAGCCACAGGCAGGCTCAGCAAGTTCACCACCCTGGGGCAAGTGGCTTCATCTGCTTTGTTAATCTTTGATGCTCCTGTCCAGAGAGGGCCTCTTAAGCAACTTGAGTGCAATAACTATTTTTCTATTATTGCGTTAATAAACCCCAAGAAGGTCCCTGCAACTCTAGAGAGTTAAAGACTTATAGGCCATTTTCAAGATTGGAGAATATTCTTATCTCAGCCATCAGTGGACAGAAAGGGGCAGCCAGGCCCCTTCAGAGCAGCACTGAGCTACTGTCCCTGGAGTGGTGGGGCCTGACCACAGCTTCCTCTTTCAACCATGGAATCCTTATCACTATTTTGCAAACACCAAAGATGTAGCCTCAGATGTGAATCTACTCACATGCTGGAAGTTTGTCCATGATGTTGAGAGCTCGTTTAAGTGGAAGATCCTGGATGAGTGCAGATACAGACTGTGAGCAGGAGAGCTCTGCTCTGTCTCTTTTCAAGACTCTGAGACAGAGGCCAAGAGCCTAGCATGCAAAACACCTCAGACAATGCATCCAGGGTAGGGGAGAACTGATATGAACCATTCACCCTTAGCCAAAAACCTGCTCACCTTGGGCAGGTGTGGTACCTCAAGGCTGACCACAGACTAGAGGAGATCTCATGTGTCTTCCTTAGAGAGATTCCTGTCCACCTTCCTGTCTCAGGAAGATGGATGGAATCATTTCATTGGAGGATGCCAACATCCCCTGTCCAGGGCCCACTGCCTGAGCCTTGGACATTTCGGCTGAGCTGGCTAGGCCTCTGAGAATCAGCCCTGATGACCCTTGATGCCCCACTATGGAGTCCAGAACACTGAAGAACTTAGGATGCTTGAGAGGTGAAACGCTCTGGGCCCAAAGAGATCAGACCATCCTTTCCTGAGATCCTGAACACTGATAATGACTTCTCATACTTTAAGACAGCTTCACAGATGAAGTTGCCAGAGAAGCTGAGCTCACTAAAGCAGGATGTATCTGTAACAAGAAAAAAATCCTTAAATGAGTTGCTATAGCTGATCCATGGGAATGCCCAAAAAGATGTTACAGATTTCACTAGGGCTTAATCTTAGTCCTGCAGCACCAAGTACACACTCTTCCTCCTACTAACCTGGGAAGAGCCAGTTCAGGGGAGAACGGGAGGGAATAACCCAAATGTCCATTAACAGAGAGTGCCAACAGCTTCCAAAATGTGTCTCCAGTCAAGGACAGGCCAAGATGACTCATCAAAGAAATGCAAATCAAAACCACAACTAGATAGCACCTTACGCCTGTTAGGATGGCCATTCTGGAAAAACAAAAGATAACAAGTGCTAATGAGGATGTGGAGAAAGGGATCCCTCACACACTGTTGGTGAAAATGCAAAATGGCGCAGCTGCTGTGAAAAGCAGTATGGAAATTCCTCAAAAAATTAACAGTAGAACTGCACCGTATGGTCCAGAAATCCCACTTCTGAGTATTTGTCCAAAAGAATTGAAATCAGGTTTTCAAAGAAATATTAGCACTCTTATGTTTGCTGCAATACTATTCACAATAGCCAAAATGTGGAAACAACCTAAAAATCCATCAAAAAATGAATGGATAAAGAAAATGTGATATAAACATAAGATAGAATAGTATTCAGCCTTTAAAAAGGAAGAAATTTGGCCAGGTGTGGTGGCTCACGCCTATAATCCCAGCACTTTGGGAGGCCAAGGTGAATGGATCACGAGGTCAGGAGTTCAAGAGCAACTTGACCAACATGGTGAAACCCCGTCTCTACTAAAAATACAAAAATTAGCTGGGCATGGTGGCAGGTGCCTGTAATCCCAGCTACTTGGGAGGCTGAAGCAGAGAATTGCATGAACCTGGGAAGCGGAGGTTGTAGTGAGCCGAGATTACACCACTGCACTCCAGCCTGGGCAGGGGAGGGAGACTCCATCTCAAAAAAAAAATGGAAGAAATTCTGTCATATATGACAACATAGTTGAACCTGCAGATCATTATGGTAAGTGAGATTAGCCAGTCATAGAAGAATAAATCCTGCATGCACTTAAATAGGGTATCTAAAATAGTCAAATTCATAGAAACAAAGAGTGGGATGGTTGTTCCCTGGGCTGTAGGACAGGAAGTAGGGAGCTAGTAGTCAGTGGGCATAAAGTTTCAGTTTAACAAAATAGATAAGCACTAGAGCTCTACTGCACAAAAGTAGTAGTTGCCTATAGTTAACAACAGTGTACTGGAATGTTTTTGCAACTGAAGCTGCTTCATCTTTTTGAGCCTCTGGTATTTCCTCTGCAAAATTAGAATACTGATAATACCTACTTGTGGGTTTGAAAATTAAATGGGTGGATAGCATGTAAGTGCATGGAACAGTGATGAGCATATAGTGAGAGATGAATGAATAAATACTGTCCTGTTGGGACAGATGAATGTCAATAAGCAAATGCAGTAAATTGGATCATTTCAGACGGTGCTTACTACTCTGAAGGAAAAAAAAAAGTGGCAGTGGGATGGACTATCTTAAGGAAAACGGGAAAGACAGTGAGCCACTTAGGTTGGTCCTTTCTGAGCTGACAATATTTTCTGGCTTTTTCAGGAAGCCAATCCTGGGAATATCTAGAGGAATAGTGCTGCAGGTAGTGGGAACAGGAAGTACAAAGGCGCATAGGAAGAACAGTCGTATGGTTGAAGAAAAGAAAGAAGGCCAGTGTGGCTGAAGTTTAGGGAGGGAAAGAGAGAGTGAGAGAAATAAGCTTTTAGAGAGGTAGGCAGGTGTGGAATCATATAGGCCAAGATAAGAAGTTTGAATTTTAAGTGCAATGTCCAGGTGTTGGAAAGTTTTAAGCTCAGATAATAATATTATCTGGATTTATTTATTTCTTTAGAGACAAGGTCTCACTCTCTCACCCCCAGGCTGGAGTGCAGTGATGCAATCACTGCTGACTGCAGCTTCCACCTCTCCAGCCCAATCGATGCCTCCACCTCAGCCTCCTGAGTGGCTGGGACCACAGGCGTGTGCTGCCACATCTGGCTAGGTTTCTTTTTTAATTTTCTAATTTTTTTCTTTTTGTAGAGATGGGAGTCTCCCTTTGTTGCCCTGTGCTGGTCTCAAATTCCTGAGCTCAAGAGATCCCCTCCACCCCGACCCCACAAATTGCTGGGATTACAGGGATGAGTTGCCATGCCCAGCCAAGGATTTGCATTTTAAAGATCACTACTGTGCACTTAAAATTATTAGGATAATAGATCTCGTGTCAAGAATTCTTACCAAAATGAAGCAAAATTCGCACACAAAAAAAGAATAAGCAAGGATGGATTCCAGTCCCCAGTCCTCAAATGAAGGGTTGCACTGTCCTGATAATGTTCTTTCCCTTGGGGAAAACACATCTAAAATCCTTGCAAAAACTCCTCCGAATTAGAGAGATGAGAAAGAGAGTCAGATGAAGAGAGAACACAGTTCTCATCTTACCTGTGACATTTTTCCTGGGGGCAGGGGTAAGTCAGGGGGCAGTGAGGCTGACACAGACACAGAAGGACAGGTGACACCTCTGTGGACCAATGGTCTGGAATTGTCTTCCTGTCCTCTGAATATGAGCTCTCTCTTGGGCTTCCAGAGGTTACTGGACCTTGAGCAACTTTGATCAAGATTCCCATGTGCTCCTTGTTTTTCTTCTGGCCAATGAGTGGCTTCTATCTGTGGGGACAGATAGCTGAGCATCCCGAGGTTTATCACATGGTCAGCTGCTCCACTGTGGCTTTATGTGCCCAGGCAGGTCCTTCCTGTCTCCATAGGGCTCCTTTCTCTTACTCTGGTCAGAGCTCCGCATAGCCCTGGCAGCCCCTGACTCCCTCATCCTAGGGACAGGGAATAGGGCCTTGCAAGGAGTAGACCCAGTTCCAAGTTGGATATGTTGAGTCAGTTTCTAGTGAGCTGAACTTCATGGCATTGCTCTTGATAAACACAAGATCAAGATCAAATTCAGAGAACCCCTCAGGCAAAAGCTTTCACCATGCTTCACTCCCAAAGAAAGCACCCCTTGAGGGGTGTTCCAATACAATTTGTGCAGAGAGAAGCCAGTAATGTGGCCCTTTCTTCACCTCAGTAAGAAAAGCTTGGCCCTAGCCCTCACAGTTTGAAAAGAGTGTCCTCCTATTACAGGCATGGGTATGTATTGGGACTTCTGTGTCCACATTTCACCTGCATTCTCAACTCTCAGGGACCACAGCAGGTCTGAGAGATTCTGCCTGTCTTTCTGACACACATCGGGTCAACCCTGTGCACTGACTGATGTCTTAGGACTCAGATTCGGGGTTGCCATGAGCTCACTGTCATTTTACCTTCTCAGTACTTTTCCCTTGCTCTGATCTCACCTGCCACATTCACTTTAAGAATGCACATTTCTAGATTATTGATTTTCCAACTGAGTTGTCCCGAGGGCTGATGTTCTGTAAACAGTTATTTCATTTTCTCTGTTCAAAGATGGTTTGTACCCACCATCTTCATGTAACAGTTTCTTGGTCACTTACCATGTGAATATGCAGTCTCTGGGCATGGAGTCCCCTGGACTCTCAATATCTTGTGTCCTGTTTTGCCACCTGATCCTAGTTAGGACAGGCACTGAAAATCAACACCAATGACGTATTGTTACCCTGAGAGAAAATGTCTTGCTTAAGTGTAGAATAACATTTTCTGTTGTCTCTTGTCACCCCTCCTAGCCTTTTCCCCACAATCCCACAGTCATGTTGATGCATGCTGAAGGGTGTTATGCCCCACTCTGTTCCTCCCACACTGACCGGCTTTTCTCACCCATCAGCTCTGAAGTACAAGAGGCTCCTGGACTTCAAGGTGCTCTGCAAGCTCCTCACCTGTATCTGCCTCCCAGTTTCCACAGTGCCCTTTCATGGCCTTTCTCCTGGACATACGAAGTGTGCTTCTCAGAGGAGTTTTACTTAGTGGAATTATCTGTCTCTTAAAGTGTAATCTGTATCTTTTGAATGAAAAAAAAAAGACCTACATTTGTTCTCTCTGGTATGCAGACACCAGACTCTTTTGTGACCCCTGAAATCAGTTTCTCTGTTTCTGATGAACTCTGGAGGTTTTGTCACTGCTGCTGCACTGCTTTACTTGATTCCAGGAATTCGTCCTTTGTCCTCTGTGGAAGTTTTAGTTCAGGTCTCATTTTTTTCCCTTAAGCACAAGACCCCTCCCTTAATGTAACACCACACGTTCTCCAGCGCAGGCCATCTGTTCTATTGAAGCGATTCCAACAGCTTCTGCAATTAACTTGTCAAGAGAAGGAAGAAAAGAAAGAAATGAAATGGTCAGGTATCCCTTGAAGATTCTGATGGTCACACAGAGGGAAAGAGCCTTGTGTGTGGGACCTTGAGTGTCAGGCCACCTCTTCTCCAAGATGGGCAGGGTTTGGTCCATCTTCCCAAATGGAGCTAAAGATCCATGCTGGAAATTTCCCTGCTCTAGAACAGACAGCTTGGAGTGATGAGTCATGATGAAGACCTTTCTATTGATTCTTCATTGCTGGGGTTTCCAACCTACAGGGATGAGGACTGATGCATCTGTGAATGAGCATGCCATTCCCTGGCAGACACCTGAGTTCATTGCTTGCTAAGAACTTGGTTCTACATCACTTCTTCTGAAATAGAAGGGCCTGCTGGCTTGTCAGCAAATAAGCAAAGTTTGGCTTGCTGTTTGGAGAAGCCTAATTTTATCAGTGTCAGCTCAACATTTAAATTTGAAAAAGGAAATTCAGCATAAGCAAGGTTCACATTCAGGTGTATGCTTAAATTCTAGGTATTCATCTCATTCATGAACTCAATCAGTAGCCAGAGTTTCCAGGATGCCTAGGGATTGCCCCCAAGGATCAGTGCTGGTTTGCAGCTACAATACCAGAGTTTGACTCTGATGCCACACTCTGAGGGCAGTCCTCACCTATTGTGATAAAACCCTTCAGGTCCTGTGGCGTAGCCATGGCCCATCCTGGACATGTTTAACTTCACCCACCAGGCACCCATCTCACTAAGAAGACTTTGATGTTCATGAGAAATGAATTTCTGCTGCCTACAGGAAGGAGATAGGACTTCTCTGAACCGTTGAGGCTCCTGCTACCTCCAGAGCAGGCAACAAAGATTAGACCCTGCCAGGAGGGAAGCACACCAGATAAGGATGGAGAATTATCTTGACAAGGGGCATGAAAAAAATTACTGGATGACAAAAAAAATACATCACCAAAGATCAATAAAACATTTGTAGAACACCCCACGGAGATGTGATCTGCCCACTGTACAGATCAGAAGAGCTTCCTTTCTTCTTCTGCGTCAGAAAATATCTGCTTGCTGGTCAATGTCCAGAGGATGATGTGAAGATGGGAAAGGACATTTTCCCTGGACACCATTTCTGAAGTTACATCTCTGTGTGTGCTTTCATTGGTGATGCCATTTCTCTTTGCTTTCTCTTCTTTTCTTGGGAAGACTTCTCTGTCTACATTTGTATATTTATTTGGCTGACTTTCCCTGAATTTGCTGCCTGACTGAGTAATTTATTTCAAAATAACTACATGGCAAGCTGTTTTATGCTGTTTAACTAAATCCATTGATTGAAGCATTTTCTGACACCTGGCCGTCCACATGGAGATTTCTCTTTTCCAGTCTTCCTAGTCTGGAAAAGACGTCACCATCCACAGGAAGTGTTTGTCATTGTACCCAATCTGGTCTCAGTAGCACCATTTACATACCAATAGTGTAAATCTCTGTGTTTCTTATAGACACATGATATGGTTTGGATTTGTGTCCCCGCCCAAATCTCATATCGAATTGGAGAAGCCTGGTGGGAGGTAACTGGATCATGGAGGCAGATTTCCTCCTTGCTGTTCTCATGACAGTGAGTGAGTTCTCATGAGATCTGATGGTTGAAAATTGTGTGACCTTCCCCCTTCACTCTCTCTCTTTCTCCTGCCACCATGTGAAGAAGGTGCTTGCTTCCCCTTGGTGTTCTGCCATAAATGTAAGTTTCCTGAGGCCTCCCAGTTATTCTTCCTGTTAAACCTGTGGAACTATAAGTCAGTTAAACCTCTTTTCTTCATAAATTAGCCAGTTTCAGGTAGTTCTTTATAGCAGTGTGGTAATGGACATAATGGACTAACACTATCTTGTTCTCTGGTATCTTTATTAAAGCATTTTCAGTGTCTGCTCATGCTCTCTTCTTTAACAATAATGTGCTTTCTGTGTTTATTCCTGTGACATGCAGCAGCCAGCACTGCCAGCCCCCATGGCTCTGCATGTCCCCACTGAGGTCCTGTTCCAGTGTCTGCAAGTCCCTCCTGATATTAACATATAACCACTGGCAATTATCTCAACATTTCTATTTTCTAAATAATTTTCATTTTAAAATCCTCCAGTACCAAAAGTTGTTTAAGACAAAAACAAATAGTTAATTTCCAGTTAGCAAAGCTTTCTCTTTGTATTAAGTATGCTTTAATCACATATTCAAAAACATGTGGTTTCTATTTTAATAACTTCTAAAAAATAATTTGGATTTTGTTTTGGGTGGATTATATTGTATGAAATCCCTTGTCTTTTCATATTTTGACCATTGTATTTTAATGTTTTGTAGCATGTCTTAGAATGAATGCAGGCATTCCTTTGGAGCATATATCCAACGAAAAGGAGTGAAATTACTGGGTCAGCAACTTCTTTTTTTTTTAATATTTGATTAAATGAAATGTTTTACATCTCTCTGTTCCTCTTGCTCTTCTGTACATTATCATTCTTGTGGCTTTTTAAATTCAACTTTTAATTTTTAGATAATTGTAGATTCACATGTAGATGCAAGAAATAATGCAAACAGATCCCATACCCAGTTTTCCAGTGGTAACATCATGCAAAATTATATTATAATATTTTTAATGTGGGTGTTTATCACTGTAAACTTCTCTCTTAGAACTATTTTGCTGCATCCCATAAGTTTAGGGATGTTGTATTTCCATTTGTGTTTGTCTCAAGATAGTTTTTAAATTTGCCTTTTGGTTTCTTCTTTGACATACTGATTGTTCAACATGATATTATTTAATTTTCAAAAATTTGTAAATTTTCCAATTTTCTTCCTGTTACTAACTTTTAATTTATTACCATGGTGGTCAGAAAACAGACTTGATATGATTTTAATCTTCTTAAATTTGTTAAGATTTGTTTTGTGGCTTAATATATGATCTATCTTAGAGAATGTTCTGTGTATGCTTGAGAAGAATGGTCATTCTGCTGCTGTTGAATGTAATGTCCCATAAATGTCTCTTAGAACCTCTTGGTCTATCGTGTTGTTCAAATCCAAAGTTTCCTTTTTGATTTTGTGTCTGGACAATCTATCCGTTGTTGAAAGTGGGGTATAAAAGTTTCCTGCTAATGTTGTGTTGCTGTCTGTTTCTCCCTTCATTGTGTTCATATTTTCGTTACATATTTAGGTGCTCTGAACTTGGGTGCACATACACTTAAAATTGTTATATTTTCTTGATAAATTGACTCCTTCGATCATTACAAAATTATCTTCTTTGAATCTTGTGGCAGTTTTTAACTGAAAGTCTATTTTATCTGATGTGTGTATAGCCACCCCTCTTCTCTACTAGCTACCATCTGCATGGAACATCTTTTTCCATCCCTTCACTTTTAGCCTATGTGTGTCCTTAAAGATATATTGAATCCCTCAGATGCAACACATAGTTGGATCTTGGTTTTCTTTTTCTATTCATTCAGCCACTCTATGTCTTTTGATGGAGAATTGAATTCATTTATATTTAAAGTGATTATTGACAGATGAGGACCTATTACTGCCATTTGTTCAGGGGTTTCTGACTATTTTGTAGATATTTTGTTCTTTCTTCCTCTTGCTGTATTCCTTTGTAATTTAATGATTTTTTTGTGTGGTAATATGCTTTGATTTTACTCTTTTTGTCTTGTGTGTACCTACTACAGGTTTTTGTTTGTTGTTGCCATAAGACTTACATAAAATATCTTACAGTTTTTAGTCTATGTGAAGCTGCTAATAACTTAACTTCAACTGCATACAAAAACCCTACACTTTAACTTCTTCTCTCTACACATTTTTATGTTATTCATGTCACAATTTACATCTTTTCATACTCTGTATCCACCAACAAATTATTATGGCTATAATTGTTTTATTTTATCTTTTAATTTTATACTAGAATTAAAAGTGACTTATGCCATCAGAGTATGAGAGAAGTCTGAATTGTACTATATTCTTATTTTTACAGTGAGTTTTATACTTTTGAAATGAGAAAAGTTCCCTTGTTCCCCTCGCGGGGCACGTGATGGGGGTGTGGCTTGCTTCTTCAGTGCCCCACTGCTCAAACCTCTAGGGGAGCATACAGATGGGCAGATTGTGGGGCTCCGACCCCACGGTGGCATCTAGGGGTGGATGTTTACAGCTCCTGAAGCCCTAGGAGGAGAAACTTCTCATCTGCTAAATGGGGCTCCCTTGCAGCTCTGAGGTTCTGAGATCTTAATGTGTGCACTGTGTCTTCAGTGCACACAATACCACCCAACACAAATTCAATGCAATTGATTCCCCAGCAGTTGAACTCAATCACAATGCCACTGGCCTTGTTCTAAAAATTAAAGAACTGCTGCAGGAAGGGCCCTATAAATTTTGTCATCATAACTGCCTGAGCCAGAGATGTGGGGTGTTCCCTGCCAATCAGGGCAGAACAGGTTGACATGGGCCAATGAAGCCCAGAGGTCCTGGAGGAGATGAAAGTCACACAGGCCCCCTCAGAGATATCTGCCAACGTCAGTGTTGGGGTCTCTTCTGAAGGACGCTGTCTGTGAGATTGGGAAAGGTACCCAGCAGCCTTGTTTCTGTGGCCCAATACTTTTTCCACCAGACTCCTTCACGTGCCTAATTTGGGACATGGTTTCTGAGCTGCAGGTGTTGCCCACTCCAGCCCAGAGATCCCAGAACATCCTGCAAGCTCAGACGCAGGATAAAGGGCCACAGGAGCAGGAGCCTCCTCTCTCTGGGCAACTTCAGACTGTTTCCCCACTGTGCTGTCCTAGAAGGGGCTGATGCAGTGAACAGAGCCCTTGGGGCAGGTGGGGCCTGGGCTCAGCTGCAGAGACCAGGGGACGGGCTGGACCACATTCTCTTTCTGCCATATGCAGCTGCCTTACACTACAAGAGGGGGAAGAAGGGAGCTGAGGAGGTAAAAAGAGAAAAGACCCAGAGCCAGCGGGCTTTGTCACATCGGCTGTGACAGTTAAACCTGGCATTACTCGTAATTGCTTACATTTACTACACATTCATACAGAGGCCATGCTGTGGCTAGGCGTCTCTGGGCTAAGAATGTCTTATTCATTTAGAACTAGTACCTCGGACTCTGATTACGGGCCTTGCTGCGTGTAAGGAACAGCACTGCTTTAGCATGAAGCCTAGCCTATTGTCAGTGCTCAGAGAGCTCTGACACCAACAATTGGTTTTCCTACAAAGAATCACGTAATATTTGGGTTATAGAAGCAGGGCAGTGCTAACTGGATGTCCTGAAAGGAATGGACCTGGCATAAGAAGGGATGGAGAGCAGAATTTGAAAAGCATCCAATCCTGAAATTGGGCTGGAGGGAGCATGTCCCAAGCCTGTTAGGGACTGCAGGAAATTCATGACCAGTATGAAGGTGAAGCTGGGCACCTGCAGGCAGGCTGGTCTGCTCTCTCTGCTGTGACCCTCCTCAGGGCAGGCTGTGCTGTCAACAGGTGTTGTGCAATGCCAAGAACCCATGAGAATTCTCACTACGCCAGGGTTTTGAGGCACCCCTGTTCCCAGGTTCCTTCCTAGAACCCTGGTCGCCTTGGGATGACTGGGGGATTCTAGTTGACTACCCAAGGAAATCTGAAGCTTGGGAAGTTTGCAATGTTAAGTCTCGGTCCAGAGTCGGACCTGGCTCCGCGCCTGTCTGGCAGCAGCAGCAGCAATCCCTATCCGGGTCCAGAGCCCTGCCCAGTGGATACTGTGTGGTGTTTCCACAAAGTTGCATCTTTGAGCACCTCACAGAGAATCTGGAGCCTCTCAACCAGGACAACGTGAGAAAAAAATCTGAAGAAAAAGGCCCAGGTGCTTGGGGTAAGAACAGCCAAGCAAAGGGCAGAGGCTGAGTGGGTGCCAGGAGGACACTTTGTCACTTTGGAGACAGAGCCTTTGGCTTAAGGAGTTCCAGGCTGCTCTGGAGGCGTCGGGGGAGGCCTCTGGGACCACCTAGTCATTTTCCGCAAGAAAGTAAGAGATTTCCCAGTTTTGTGCTCATGGGGAGCATTCACCTGAGATATAAAACTTTAGCTGCTTAACTCATTTTAAGGGAATAATAACATATTTGCATACACTTTATTTGGAGGCAAAAGAAAAAAAATAGTCTGTTGAATAAATTATTCTAGATTTTACTTCCCAGGGATTTTTTTTTCTTTCTAAAAATTATAGACAATTCATCTCCTATTCTCCCTTCTTGAGAAATTAACCATTTGAAAACAGATATGTGCCCTTAGTCTGCCTTCCAATATCTCTCATACGATCCATGATTTTTAAAGAAATACAACTCCATTGCATGACCAAAGGGAGGAGGGGGAAACGGAAAGAAGGAGCTGGGCAACACAAGCACCAGGGGGAAGGGCCTGGGGCCCAGGGCCAGCACCTCCCTACTTGTGGGAGCCTCAGCTGTTCCTTCAATCCCCAGGCCACACCTAACCTTGGGTTGAAAAGTGCTTTCTGGGCTGACTCCGCTGTTAGAACAGGTAGGAGGTTGCTTGGTAAATGTTGCAAGAATGTGAACTCTTGTGGTAGAAATATTCTGAGGCTGATTCAGAGGCTGCCTGGGACCCCGTCACAGCTCTGGGGTCCGTCTCCCACAAGGAGCCATGCCCCGAACAGAGGTACCTGTGTCCACTCATCCTGCAGAGAGTGGGAGCCAGTTCCTGCCCCACCTGCTGTCTCCTAAGTGCTTCTTTGTGCCCAGGAGGGAGAGGGAGCAAAGGGCATGGGAACCTCCTGGGCTGTGACCAGTCATCACCTGGGATCCCACTGCCACAGCTCAGAGCTAAAGACAGAAACACCCAGCATTTCACTGCACGCTGATCTCAGCCAGCACTGGGAAGGGCTGGGAGCATGTCCTGCGTGCTTGGTTTCCCATGCCCCTGAGACGCTTTTCCTGCTTCCGCACTATCTCCTTGGGTTGCACAGAGAGTTCCAGCACTCCGCTTCCCTGGGGAAACTGACAATGACTGGCCCTTGATTGACTCACCCAGTGAGTTGGTTTCCTGGGGCCATGGTAACAAACTACCACAAACCAGATGGCTTTAAAAAAAAAAAACAAAAAAAAAACAAAACAAAACAGAAACTCATGCTCTCCCAATTCTGGAGGCCAGAGGCCATAGTCTGAAATCCAGGTCTGGGCAGGGCCAGGCTTTCTCTCCCAGCTCTGGTGTATCCTGGCAGTCCTTGGCTCTCCTTGGTTGCAGCTGCATCCCTCCCACCTCTGCCTCCGTTTTTGTGTGACATTCTCTCTGCCAGCATCTGCCTGTTTCTCTTGTCTTGTACCTACACCAGTCATACTGGATTAAAGGCCCTCCCTGCTCCACTCT
The DNA here is from genome assembly GCF_000001405.40 of Homo sapiens. Lineage (NCBI taxonomy): Eukaryota > Metazoa > Chordata > Mammalia > Primates > Hominidae > Homo > Homo sapiens. Next base: position 768,638 of record NT_167248.2, read on the forward strand.
GATCTCATCTTAACTGACATCCCAATGACATCTACAAATACCCTATTTCCAAAGAAGATCACATTCCCAGGTATCAGGGGTTAGGACTTGAACATATCTTTCTGAGGTCACACCAGGTGACCCTTCTTCCCTAACAGACCATCCAGATCCTCTGTGGCTTTGCAGTTATGAGCATGGGGATCCTTTTGGCATGTACTTCCTTTCCCTGTCACTTTGGCCCAGTGGTTCTCACCTTGGTGAGGTCTGGATACCCATTCGTAGGAGCCAAGTATGTGAGTAGGATGGGTGTTCATGGAGGGTGGTCTCTGGGATGGAGCAGGGCACAGACAACTGATATGCTACCTAGCAATGTCTCTGTGGAGAGCAAAGATGCAGGAATGGAACTTGTTTTGAGGGCAATCAGCCAGGAGTGAGAGAAGGCCTGGCAGGAGAAGGGGTTTTGCCAATGGGAACAGAATTGATCATCTGGCTCAAATATCAGTTCTTCCAAAATCCTCATAGTGCCATCCTCGAGGGCCCTGGGAGCCCTGCAGCTTCTCTCTGGGGTGACAATAGCATGTGTAGCCTCAACAGGGACACTATAAGAATAAAAGAGTGTGCTATTACTATTTATGCCATGATCACAGGAATACCCAGGACTGTCCCTGACACACTGGACATAGGGTCACCCTACTTCTCCCTAAGTTCAGGTGACACAAGGAGTAGGAGTGAGGTGGGCAGACAGCAAGTGAGAAATGGGGTGGACAGGGCACACAGTGGGGTGGCCAGGCTGGTGCATTTGTGGCCCTGTCTATGGGGCCAGCAGGACCAGTGGGGTCAGTAGAGCATATACTGAGCTTGAAGAGGTGGCATGGAGCACTTAGAAGCTCTATCTGCTGCTTGTCATCTCTTGGCATGTGGAAGGCCTTCTGCAGAGTTACGCTCCAGACATAGCCTCGGAGTCCTGAATATCCCCCAGGCTCCTGGAATCAAGGAGTGTCTTAGACGGCTTGAGCTGCTTTAACAAAAATACCATAAGCTGGGTGGCTTATAAACAGCAAGCATCTATTACTCACAGTTCTGGAGGCTGGAAGTCCAAGATCGTGACACCGACAGATTTGGTGTCTGGTGAAGGCTGTTGCTTGTTCATAGATAGAGCGTTCTCGCTGTGTCCTCATGTGGTGGAAGGGCAGAGGAATCTCTCTGGGTTCCTTTTATAAAGGAAGTAATCCCATTGATGAGGGCTTCACCCTTACGACCTACTCACCTCCCAAAGACCCCACCTCCAGATACCATCGCATTGGAGGTTAGGTATTTAGCACATGAAATCTGGGGGCAACAGACATTCAGGCCACAGCAAGAAGCTTCAGGAGAAAGCTTTCAGTCTTGTGAAATGTGAATGAGGCTTTCCCACAGCCTAGACCTGTCTTCACGCCCCAGCCGCAGCCTCTTGCATTCACGGTGGCTTTTGAGCATCCTCTGACCACTGAGTCACAAACCTCCCTGTTCCCTCTCTATCTGGCTATTTTCTTGGTAGGACCAGAAAAACTTTTTTTTATAGTCTTGCCACCATGCCATGTAGTTTTCGTACATTGCAGCTATTTCAAATTACTGCATTACCACAGAACACTTTTTCTGTAATAACCCAGAATCAACAGTTTTTTTCTAGCTGTTAACCTGGCCTCAAAATCTTCCCTTTATTTGGGCCCCCTTTTTCTTCTGTCCTTAACTCTGACTCTGGTAGAGCCCATGGAACTGACAGTTCAAAGCCCGCGTGGCTTTTCTCTCCCCACCACAACATCTTCATCTAAATAGAGTCTTGTAACATTTACCTGCCCTCTCTCCCTTGAAAATCACTGTTCCCTGGTCCCTGTTGGGGAGCCTGGGCCTTAAGCCCCTTTGTCTTTGCCCTAGAAGAACTTCCTCTCCAGCTGAGTCAGGTTCTCATGAGATTCTAGGGGTGGCTTGGCCTCCTATATCCACTTCCCTCAACATTGGCCTGTAGCCACATATGGCCTGGACTTTGGCCCAGCTTCCAGCATGCCCAATAATGTCAGCCCTGTGGGGAAGTTCCTGGAGGTGTACAAGGACGTGACAATTCAGTGGTAGGGACATCGGGGTGCTTGTTCATGTGGAAACTGACTTTACCATTTTCCTCTTTTCTGAGTAGTTTATCATTTCTGGATTGCTGTCTGTCATTTTGGGAAGAAAATCAAACAAGCATCTGGTGAGTATAGGAACAACAGTGCCTCACTTACTAAAAAGAGACTTTAGCGGAACCTCATCCAGTTGGATCTTTCCAAGGTTCAGACAAAGGAACTGAACCCCAGGTTGCTGACAAGTGTCCTTTGGTCAGTGGCCCTGTGGAAGTACACAGGGCCCACTGATCTGGGGGACACCTTTCATGATCCTCATTTTGAAGAGAGTCCTGTACCCTCTCCAGGCTCTGGGTGGCTTTATGGGAAAATTCTGCCTCATCATGACACCCTTTGGTGTTCACTGACCACCGGGGTTCAGGTCCTTGGTGAGCACAGGGGAAAGAGGACAGTGAGAGCATGGGCTGTTAGTTGTGCACCACAGCCTGGGTGAGAAAAGCATCAATCAAAAGAGATGAGCCTTGCTGGTGGGGGCCAGGAAGGGTGCAGAGTGAAAAGGGGGTGTTCAGTGATGGGTGCACATCTGATTGACAAACTTTTGCAGAATCATTTCCAGGCCTTTCTTAGGAGGCTAAGAGGCATGGGTTGGGGGACAGAGATGGGTATGGTGGAGATTCTGGTGACCTGGGATTTGGGGGTCTCCCTGTCCTGACACAGAAGCTGCCAAGAAACTGGCAGCCAAGCCTCAAGGTGGCAGTGCCAGGTTTGGACACTGTCATTCTCTCAGACCTCCCTCAAAGGATCAGATGCCCTTCTTCATCCCCACCCTCAGCCTCCCCTGAGCCCTCCAGGAAAGCAGCCTGTGTGGATCCCCTAAACAAGGGCAGGAGCACCAGCCCTACAGAGCAAGCAGCAGCTGGGTGAGGCAGACGGCGGCACAAGGTGGGGACCACGGTGTTCCAGGGCCACTTAGGCTCCTAGGAAATTCACCCGCCACCATCCTCAGGGACCTCTTCTTTGAAAAAAAGGGACTTTCTCAGAACATTCTGACAACACGAGTTGTGAATCCCTGGGGCTGTATGGAGAAATGGCCCACGACCTTTTTCCATCTCTTCCCCCATCACTGCCCAGCTCTGAGATTGAGCCCCTGGGAAGAGGGCCCGGATCTTTGCCAGAGGCTGCTGGGCATACCTGAGCACACGTGCCATGGGCTGCTTGTGACGGGCTGGAACACCTAGCCCAGGTGTCCCAGAAGCCACCACAGACATCAGCCTATTCCTCCCCTGGTGTTGGTCTTTGAAAAGTGAGTCTGGACACCGCAAAACTGGAATCCAGGTTTCCTACTTTCGAGGGGAGGTAGCACCCCATGGCGCAGCTGTGATTCTCAGCCCTCCTCTGGGCCGTGCCCCAGCCGGGATCTGAACATCCACCCTCGGCCCCAGGTGCTGTTGCCCCCACACTGAGCCCTCGTACCCCATGCTCCCTGGCCCTCCTGCCAGGGCACCCTTTTCACAAAGTGGAGTGGATGAAAAGAACAGGAAAGAGCACCAACCCTGCTGCTGTCCCCATATGACAGAGGCTGCTGTGGGGGCATCTGTTGTACTTGGGTGAGCAGGCCCCTTGGCCTCGAGCTCTACCATGCAGGGGTGCTGCAGACAGAGCCAGGTGATAGGAAAGAGCATGTCTGGGAACCCACCTGATGACAGCCTCAGCTCAGGATGAGGCAGGAGGCCTCTGGCTAGGCTTAGGGGAGATGGCTGGAGGAACCTCCTCAGGGTGCCAGTGGACTGGGTAAAGCCAGCAGGGGGCTTGGAGGTCAGGGAAGCTGTGATTTATCAAGCACTGTGGGCATTGCAATATTTTCTCTGTTCGGTTCAGTCCAATGGGACATCAGTTCTATACATATCTTCCTCTTCCTCTAGCCCTGCTCAGTCCTGGGTGGAGAAGCTACCAGAACCACATCTCCTGTCTGTCCCACCATAAGTCTCTGCTTCATTCACGCTTTCATGTGTCGTGCATCAAGCAAGCATTTGCCTGTAGGCTTGGGGAGCTCTGAGAGGGGTTGAGAGTGAACAAAATTAATCAAATCGTATAACAGAAGAGGAAGTCCCATCCTGCCGAGGATCCTGGATGTGAGAACCTGCTGCTGGCCTGGTGGGATCGTGGTGCCCCAGGAGCATGAACTGCTCAGGAGCAGACCCTGACCAGATCCCCTGCAGGCCTGGAACAGCCTGATCAGCAGCCTCCTAAGCCCCATGGCTGCCACAGTGGGCCTCATTGTCCTTCCCTATCACCTAGCCGGGGTGTTCCCAGCTGCCAGACAGTGCCAACTGGTGGTGCCTGCCCATCAGTGCCCCAAGACAGCCACTACTTTTCGAAGAATGAGACCACCAGCTGCTTTGTGGCCAGCTCCAGCTTACTGGTGAGTATTTTTAGGTAGAATCTTCCAGACTAGTGAAGTCTTTGAGATTTTCTGCTTCTTGTTCACTGCTTCCTTCTGATGTGGACCATGCGGAAAGAGGCAGAACACAGGAACCCACACATGGGAGAATAGCAGGCATTTGACTGGACTGTGCCAAAAGAGTTGTTCAAGTACAATATCAAGCAAGACTGTAGTTGCAAAAAGACATAACCAACAACTTGGTTTCAATTTGAGCAACTTAATAAACAAACTGATTTAACTGTCATAGTCTCAAGGGATGGGTTTTTCCAAGCAAGAACTCTAGGGTCAGGGTAGCGAATTGCTCAAGAAAGGCCAAGAGCTCAGGGAGACATAGGAACCTCATAAACAGGGTGGCCACAGGCTGGCAGTGCCCAGGTTCAGCCAGGCAAGAGCCACAGGTCAAGGGAGGCTGCAAGAGGCTAAATCCTAATTCCATCACATGCACAAAAATGGATGGGATGGCCAAAAATGACCCCAAAAAATCAGGAAACAAATACGGAATGGGCTTTTTAATTGTTGTTTGCAATCAGAACTTTATGAAAATGACAGAATGTGGTTTCGCATTCTCTGTTGCATTAGAGCCAGTCTGAGCATCAGTATTTGCTCTAAAATGTGTTTAGTCAATAAAGTCAAGAGAACATGTGTGTGGAACACTGAGAAAAGAAGGCAGAGGAAGTTTGCATTCCTGCAGCCATAGAGGGGGATATTCTAGGGGTGGAGAGGCAGCAGGCAGGGGGAATGTGTGCACAGCCTGGCCGTTGTCCCATCCCCTCATCGCTGGCTTCAGGCCATCCTCCCATAGATGGAGCAGCTATAATGGGAGTGGAGGGTTGAGGGGCAGGGGAGGCATCTGCTGAGCGGCTGGATGGGGTTTGTGTAGTGGGTTAGGATGAGCTCCTCAGAAACCAGCCTGAGCTCTCTGGCTCAGGAGCTTCTCAGGAAGAGCTGAGAAGCGGCAACCCCTGCCTGAGGGGTCCTTGTGTTCATTTCCCATGGCCACAATAACAGAGGACCACAAACTGGTGACTGAAAACAACAGAAGTGAATTCCTTCACAGTTCTGAAAGCAAAGTCCAAGATCGAGGAGTCGGCAGGGCCGCTCTTTCTCTGAAGGCTCTAGGAAAAAACTCTTTCTTGTCTCTTCCAGCTTTGGGGAACTCCAGGCATTCTTTGGCTTCTGGACACGTCTTTCTAACCTCTGTCTCCATCCTCATGAGGGCTTCCCCTCTGTTTGTCTCTGTGTCCTGTTCTCTTCTTATAAGAACACCAGTTATTGCATTTAGGGTCCACCCTAAATCCAGGATGATTTCACCTTGAGATCCTTAACTAATTGCACCTACACAGACCATATTTCCAGATAAGGTCATATTCTCAGGTTCTATGTAGACATGAATTTGAGGGGGGACACTAACCCACTATAGTCACAGTCTGTACAAATAAATTCTAGATTCTGCCCACCTGTGGCCTTACCTGTTCTACTTGGAAGTCATTGTTCCATGGAAGGTGACCCAGGGAAGCAGAATTGTTCTCCTCCTCAGGCAGATAGCTCCTGGGGACTGGCGTGAGAATTAGCAACTGTGCCAGCACATCACTTTGATTGGTCAAGGTGCCCCTTGCTGCCTCCCAGCCAAGCCAAGCAGGCCCACCCCAGGGAGCATAGGTGGGTAGCAGGTGCTGGCGCTCAGTTTACAAAGGAAGGCCTTCTGCCTCACCACCTCTGTGGACCTGCAAACCGCCCTAAGGGGTGAGTGGGAAGTCCCCATCTTACAGAAGATGAAATTGAAACCCAGACAGGCGGAGACTCTCCCTGGAGGCCAGATGAATGAAGAGTCAGGAGGCTCAGCTCAACCTTGGGTGTCACCTGCCACCTGTACTGCTGTCCCTGGAGTGGCCCAGGATACTAGGATATGACACTGTCTCCCAGATCATGAGCAGGTTGAGTCAGGTACGAGGGAAGAGGAGCCAGCAGATGACACTGTCTAAACCCATCTGGTCATCTCAGGAAGGCAGAAGGGTTGGCCAGTCCAGCACAGACCTCGTGCATCCTGCATTTCAGAGGATCCTGTCTGTGATGCTCCTCTTCACGGCATTGGAGCTCAGTGTCGCTATCCTTTCTTCTGTCCTCTTGTGAAAAAAGACCTGTTCAGATGTCCTCAGGGTGAACCTGCTGTGCCCTGGGCTCTGGGGCCTGGGTGGTGGCACAGGGCATGGTCCTGGGGCCAATGGCAGGTGGTACTAAGGTCGACCCATGAATCTTGACCTTAGTCGAAGTCGACAGGTTTTGTTGAGTGAGGCAGCAGCCGGCAGAACAGGATGAGAGCAAGTGCCCAGGGTGGAGGAATCACAATAGGAAGCGATGGGACCAAAGAGAGCACATCACACATCTGCTCATTTAGCAAAGCAGGAAACAGGCTAAGGTGCAGAAGCCCTCTGGTCCCTGGAACCCTCAAGTTTTTATATTTGTGTATCCCTTGTCTTTTGTTTCAAGATATTTTTTAATTTCTCTGGTTTGATTTTTTGGAGATAAAAGGCCTTCCACTCAGCGTACAAGGCCTGTTCACTTGCTTTGTCCTCTCCAGAATGTGTTTCCTGACCCAAAGTGACACAGTGATCACCAGCATGCCCCAGGCAGCATTTGCTGACACCGTCCTGGAGATGAACAAGGAGTGCACCCTTAGTGTGGGGGCAGAGAGAGAGAGAGCACATTGTCTGCAGGAGTCAGCTGAATGATCTCACAGACCCCACCTGCTGGGCTCTTCCATTTTATCACAATTATTCCGCCTGTTCACGTGCAGAGAGAACACTTGGGGCAGATTTTAAGACCTTAGAGAGTAACTTGTTTACAAATAAAATATCTCTTTGATGATGTATTTGGATTCCATGTCATTTTGCCACATTTCTCTTAATTTACTGGACACCAACAATGATATAAAAGTTAAGATTTTAGGAAATGTAGAAAATTTCTAAATAAAAATCAAAAAAGAAAATAAAACAACAAAATGAAGAGCTGCCTGGGAGAGATGAACCCATGGTCCCCGTCTTCACGCTAAGATGCAAAAGAGCAGAGCTTCCAGCTTCCAACTGGAGCTCCCACACAAAATACTGGGGAAATCTTCCTCCTTCCAACAATGGTCTTCCTATTGATCCTGAGACCTTGCTGGCAACCAGCCGTGTCTCTGCCCCTCTTTCTGTGCTCTCGTGACTCATCCCAGCTTCTCTCTCTGTGCCCCTTTCTTGTTCCCCTCTGCCCATTTCTCTTTTTATCTGAATCCCCAGATGCCCCTGCACAATCTGAGTGTGCAGAGTGGCCCAGCCCTCCCTAGGAAGGGAAAGCACTGGCCCCTTGCTTGGAGAGAAGGCAGAGACTGCTCTCCCACAAGACTGTAGTGCCCTAAAACCCCCTGATCAGCTCACACCTTGTTTCCTGGTGGCCAGGCCAATGATGAGGTTCACCACAGCCTACCTCAGCCAGGGACCTTATGACTTAATAGGGGAAGAGCCACAGAATATAGCCACATATATGGGCAGAAGTCCTGAGATATCCATGGGGCTGGATACTAAAGGGTCTCCATTTCCAAGTAGAACCTAAGGTTAGATGAGAGAGGTTTATTATCAATGCAGGAGGATCCTCACAGGATACAGGATTTAACAGCCTAACAGGGATTCCAGAAGATAGTTCAAATCAGATTCAAGGTAAGCTCCTGTAAGTATGGAAAAAGTGACAACTCCCCACGAAAGACAGAGGTGAGAAGGCTCAGAGAAGTGGATATGCTGGGGTGGATACACTCTGTAAATCCAGAAAAATCTACCTGCTGCCTATTTTTCAATTGTTCAATTTGCCTGTTAAATCATCTGGGCCTGGTCATGCTAAATTTTTTTAACTACCAATTTTGATTTACTTAATGATTGTAAATCTGGTTTATCCATTTCTTCTGTTTTTTAATTCACTCTGCATTGATATTTATACTACAACTCTCCAAACACTATTTCACAAATCAAGCTTCTATAGCAAAAGTAGGAAAACGTTTTAAGAAATTTTATTTTACTTTGTCAATGACCAAAAACACACAAGACTGGCATCCTCACCCAATTTCTCTAGACTTTGTTTCTGGGATCATCAGCTATCACATGTTGTATTAGTCCGTTCTCACGCTGCTATAAGACAGCCTAAGACTGGGTAATTTATAAAGGAAAGAGGTTTAATTGACTCCCAGGTCTGCAGGGCTGGAGTGGCCCCAGAAAACTTACAATGCCAGCAGAAGGGGAAGCAAACACCTTCTTCTTTACATGGTGTCAGCAAGGAGAAGGGCAGAGTGAAAGGGGACAGGGGGAAGCCCCTTTTAAAAAACCATCAGATCTGATAACAATTCACTATCACAAGAACAGCATGGAGGCAACCTCCCCCATGGTTCAATTACTTCCCACCAGGTCCCTCCCACAACATGTGGGGATTATGGGAACAACAATTCAGGATGAGATTTGGGTGGGACACAGCCAAACCATATCACATGTCTTCAATTTCTGCCTCCTAAAAATGACATCTTTGCCAGGTGTGGTGGCGCACACCTGTAATCTCAGCAGTTTAGAAGGCTGAGGCAGGTGAATCACTTGAGGTCAGGAGTTTGAGACCAGCCTGACCAACATGGTGAAACCCCATCTCTACTAAAAACACAAAAAACTTAGCCTGGTATGGTGGTGTGCACCTGTAGTCCCAGCTACTCAGGAGGCTGAGGCAGGAGAATTGCTTGAACCCAGGAGGTAGAGGTTGCAGTGAGCTGATATCACATCACTGCACTCCAGCCTGGGTGACACAGCGAGACTCCATCTCAAAAAACAAAACAAAACAAAAAAATGACATGCTCAACCTTGGTCTTTCCTCAACTGTCAACTCTGAGTGCTAAGAACCTAAAAGATATCTCTGCTTTACTGCACAGCAAGGTCTTTGTTGTGAGTTGGGTTGTGTCCTCTCAAAATTTGTATATTGAAGTTCTAACCCCCAGTATCTCAGAATGTGACTTTCTTTGGAAATAGTGTCTTTATAGAATTAAAATGAGATCATTAGGGTGGGCCCTAAGAGGATATTAGGGCACGGACACTCACAGAGGGACAACTGTGTGAAGACACAGGGAGAAGACAGTTATCTACAAACCAACAAGAGAGGCCTCAGAAGAAATCAACACTGCGGACACCTTAATGTCAGAATTTTGGCCTCCAGGACTATGAGAAAATAAATTTTTCTTGTTGAAGCTTCCCAGTCTGTGATACTTCGCTATTGCAGCTCTAGCAGACTAATACACCCTTCAAATTCACCAGGGCCAAATTGAACCCACCATTCTCCTCTAAAAATTTCTTTTGCTTTCACCATTTTGTTTAAGGTCCTCACTCTTCCCATCACTCAAACTCTGAAAGTTCTTTTCCCATAGTGAAAAGGCCTAATGAAGGTGTTTCCCCATGGATTCTTTCCTTTTAGTTCTGTCTTGTGGACTGCAGCTGACTCAGCCCTGAGGGTGCCCTTGATGTCCCCGCTCAATTAGCATCTCTACCATTTCACCATTGCTTGCATGAGACAGTCGAAGGGTCATGAAAGCTTCTGTGATCTGGAAGACGTATTCTATAACAGTAGCGTTTCACAGCAGAAGCCAGACTTGCAACATTGCAAAGATCATGGGATTTGGAAGCAGAAAACCTGAGTTTCTATTTGGACTCTGCCACTTACCAAGTGTAGAACTTTTGGAAAAACCTTGGAAAGTCTTCCTATCTCCATTATGGATCAAGAGTGTGACCTTGGTTCACCCTCTCACCATTCTTTCCTTAATTTTTTTTTCTTATAAATAATAGCTTCCACCTTCCACCCTGCAGAGCAATTGTAAACTTCATAACACATGCGAAGCGCTTGACTCAAAAAACAGGAAGCACTAAGGACTGTTAATTTAACTGGCATCTCATTACTTTTATAAGAAAGCCTAGCATAAAGAAAAGGTGTGTCCACTGTTATGGGTTGAATTGTGCCCTCCCAAGAAAGATACATTGAAGCTCTACTCCCCAAACCTCAGAATGTGCCCTTATTTGGAAATAGCAGCATTGCAGATGTCATTAGTTAAGACAAAGTTATACTAGAGTAGAGCAGGCCCTAATCCAATACGGCAGGTGTCTTTACGAAAAGATAGCATGTGAAGACACAAACATACAAAGAGAAGGCAACCATGTGGTGACAAGAGGAGAGACTGGAGTGATGCTCCTGCAAGCCAAGATTGCTGGCAAACCACCAGAAGTTAGGAAGAGGCAAGGTAGGATTCCCTTACAGGTTTCAGAGGGAGGGTAGCCAGCTGACACTTTAGACTGCTAACCTCCAGAGTTATGAGACAATAAGTTCCTGTTGTTTGAAGCCGCCCAGTTTGTGGTACATTGTTGCAGCAGCCCTAGGAAACTGATACATCTACACAATGCAATGTCCTTCAGCCATAAAAAGGAATGAAACACTGACATTGGCTATCATGTGGATGAAATGTGAAAACAGCATGTTCAGTGAAAGAAGCCAGGCACAGAAGACCACATATTATATAATTCCATGTATGTAAAGTGTCCAGAATAGGTGAATCCATACAGACTAAACACAGATTAATGGTTGCCAGGGGCTGCAGGAGGGGAGAATAGGAACTGACGGCTAATGAGTATAAGCTTTCTCTTAAGGGTGATATAAGTGATCTGGAATTAGATAGCAATGATAGTTCCAAATCTTGTGAATATATTTAAAATTAAATTGTGTAACTTAAAATGGTGAATTTTATGTGGAATAATAGCAATAAAATTCAATAGAATAAAACAAAATGAACGACATGAAGCCCAACACCTCACTGGAACATGCAAAACCCTTCCTTTATTCTCTGGTGGATCCCATTTCTCGCCATTGTTCAGTGCTCTCTATGCCCCACCATGCTGTCCTACTCTCTTCATCCTCTGCCTTCTTCCATGCTGTCTGCCTACCTATAGTCCCTCTTTCCCCACGCCCTGTTTTGTTCCTGTGCTGCCCCTTTCTCACCCTGTACTCTTTCACTTTGAAGTCACTGCCCCAGAACCTTCTCTTTCACTCCACGATTGGGTTGTGTTGACCCACTTGCACATCATATGTTTCTGAGGGCAGAAATGTTGGCCCATAATTACAGTTGTCTGGTTATGTCTCTGTCTCCCTCACTAACATGCAAGCCCTACAGAAGCAGGAGCTGTGTCCAGCATGTTCACCAGGGTATCTTCCAAGTGTATCACATGATACTAGGTGCTCCGTAGACACCTGCTCAATGTCATATAGGTTCTTGGTCTTCTCTTCCAAATAAGGTAGAATAGTTATTTTTCATTTTACAGGTGAGAACATTCAAGTTGAAAGAAATGAAGAGAATATTTGATGTCCCGCAATACAGGGGAAAGCCGTTACTGCATCCCAGGAATGTTTGACCATAAAGCCCTTCCTTGCCCACTAGGCCAGGTATGTCCCATCATAGAGCCCCTCACCCCACTTGCAGGTTACCCTTCCAAAGTGCTGTTCCAAAAGAGCTCACCGAGACAAGGTGATATTGGAGAAGTGATAGACACATAGATCTATGGAAGACATTGGGAAGCTTGGGAATAAACCCACACAATTATAGCTAATTATTGACAAAGGAACAGCAGCAATTCAACAGAGAAAGGAAGGTCTTTTCAACAGTGTTAAAACAATTGGACAGTCTTTTTTTATTTTTTAGTTTTTGGTTTTGTTTTTGTTTTTAAGACGGAGTCTTGCTCTGTCATCCAGGCTGGAGTGCAGTGGCAATCTCGGTTCACTGCAACCTCCGCCTCCTGGGTTCAAGCAATTCTCTGCCTCAGCGTCCCAAGTAGCTGGGATTACAGGCGCCTGCCACCAGGCCCGGCTAATTTTTTGGATTTTTAGTAGAGATGGGGTTTCACCATCTTGGCCAGTCTGGTCTTGAACTCCTGACCTCGTGATCCACCAGCCTCGGCCTCCCAAAGTGCTGGGATTACAGGCGTGAGCCACGGCACCCAGTCAACAATTGGACAGTCTTATCCAGAATAATGAATCTTGATCTAAACCTCCTAATTTACATGTAACAAATTGCATTAGTTACAATATTAACTCAAAATGGATCGTAGATCTAAGCATAAAATATAAAAATATATAATGCTTAGACTAAAACATAGGAGAAAAAATTTTTCCAATCTAGTTAGGCAAAGAGTTCATAGATGTGACACTGAAAGCAAAGTATAGCAAAAGGCAAAAATAAATTCAATAAGTTGTACTTCATCAAAATTATAACTTTTGTTCTGTAAAATACATTGTTAAGTGAATGAAAAGATGAGCTGTAGATTTGGAGAAAATATTTTAAAAAAGCACACGTCTGACAAGGACTCATATTCAGAACACTTAAGAATGCTCAAGCCAACCCAATTAAAACAATCAATTCAATTCAAAAACAAGAAAACAAAACCAGTTTCAGAAATGAGACAAAGACTCAGACATAAACTTCAGCAACGAGGGCACGCAGCAGGCAGAGCAGCCCAGACAAGGTACTCAATACTATGACTCACTAGGGGACTACAAATCAAAACCACAGTGAGATCCTGTTACACACCCATTAGAATGTCTAAAATAAAAACCACAGACACTAGTAGTGCCGGCGAGGATGTGGAGCAACAGGACTAACACATCGCTGCCAGGAAAGCAAAATGGCACAGCTGCACTGGAAAGCAATTTGTTTCTTGTAAGGTTACACATATACTTACCACGGGAACCAGCAATCTCAGCCCTGGTATTTCTCCTAAAGACATAAAAGCTTATGTCCACACAGACACCCGTACACAAACTGTTATAAAAGCTCCAGTCATAATAGGCAAAACCCAGAAGCAAACTAAATGTCCTTTAACAGGTGAACATGTAAACAAACTATGGTGCATCCATACAATGGAGTACTGTTCAGCAAAAAAAAAAAAAATACTACACTGTATACACACACAGGTACACACACATATATCTCCTAATGTTAGCAGAATTTTTTTAATGTGTAATACAGCATTGTTTACTATAGGTAGGATGTTATGCATCGAATCTCTAGAATTTAATCATCTTCCATACCCGAAATTTTACACAAGCTGAAAAGCAACTCCTCATGTCCCTCTTCTCACCTCCCAGTAACCCCCATTCTACATTCTGCTTCTATGAGTTTAACTATTTTAGGTACTTTATCTCAGTGGAATTATACAGTATATGTCTTTTTGTGACTGGCTTGTCTCACTTAGCACAGCGTCTTCCAGGTTCATCCATGTTGCAAATGGCAGGATTTCCTTCTTTTGCATGGCTGGATAATATTCCATTGTGAGGATAGCCTCCATTTCCTTTCATCTCTCAATGGACATGAGGTTGTTTCCACATGGCTGTGTGGGAGCAAGGGGGTTTCTTAGCCACTGGAGCGTCCCATTGGGATGGGGCACTGGTGGTGACCCCTAAGCAGGGATGTGCCCTAATGGACTTGCATCTGATAGGGTCTCCAGGCCACTATGGCCCCATGCCTGGGTGAGGTTAAGAGTTAAAGAGTAGAAAACAGGAGGCCAGTGAGGGGGCATTTTTGGGCCCATGGGAAGGTTTCTGAGGAGATGGAAGGGCTGCAGGTATAGGTTCCCAATATGTCCCCACCCCAGTTCAATTTCAATGACCAAGGGAGATAGCAGAGGTAAAGAAAACAGATAAGAGGGGGTCACCTGACACCTGGTGGACAGAAGCTGACATCCAAGAGGTGATTCCACCCACCTCCCTCCTGAGCTTCCTCCTTCCTCAGGTCCAGTTAGGCAGGGGACCTGGTCAGTGGTGCCTAGTCACCTGCCACTGTGTGACCTCAGACAGGAGATTTGTCCTGGGAGCCTCCTTCCCTTCATCTATAAAAGGGGAATGGACACAGCAGCCCAGAAGGCTTCGAGGAGGAGGAGGACGTGAGAAGGTGTGCTGAATCCTGCCCTGCTGAGCATGTAGGCCTAAAATTTTACACACAAACTGAGTCCCTATGAGGAAAGGGCAAGCCCTCTGCCCTCTGCCCTTCCTATGTCTGCATATCCAGAACTGCCTCAGGTGGAGAGGGCAGAGACTAGGGAGCACCCATAGATGCTCTGATGCTGGCCACAGCCCTTGGGGGTGACAGTGATGAGGACCTGGGTGCACATGTGGTGGAGCAGCCAAGACCAGCCAGAGAAGAGACACACTCATGCACACACGTGTTCACAACATACACATTCACACTCACACACAAACACATTGAATGCATGCGTGTTGACAGTTCAAGGAGTAGAGGACACTGGACCTGGGCCCTGCTGACCCAGGCAGGGCCCCACTCTGATGGGTGCTGTAACCCCAGACGTCACTGTTGCTGAACATCTGCCTGCCTCTGAGTTGTGGAGCAGCTGGAGACACACAGTGGTGTCTGTGAGTGTCTCTGTGTGCAGGACCCTTTTCTAAGTGAGAGGCACATCTCAGCACAGCTGACTGATCATTCTCGGGTAAGTGTGACCTGCTGTCTCCCCTTCCTGCTGACATGGGGGCAGATGCTACCAGATGGCATCACTGGCCTCCGGGGCGCTGTGGAGGGTAATGTCGCTGAGCTCCCACCAGGTGCTTTCTCTTCACTGACCATGTATTGCAGCCGTCTCATTCACCCTCACACTGACTTCGTGGAATGGGTGCTAATGTACCCATTTGAAGATGAGATGCCTGAGGTCAGAGCGGAGGCAACTGACCCAGGGACCCAGATGTGACTCTGGACTGTGATCTCAGCCCTGCCTTGTGCTGTCCTGCACTCAACTCCTGACCTCTGCAGCCTTCCTGCCTTAGATACAAAATCTGCTGAGGATTCTGGACCCCAGTGGGGGTAGAACCTGGCTCTGGAAGAGCCACAGGAATGGGGGGCCCTGTGGGTGGGGTTAGAGGCATCCCTCAGTCCAAGTCTGTGCAAGAAAAAGTTCCCCAGAGGCAGGGATCTTATCCATTCAGACTTTAAGTGTGGGCTCTGATGGTTACTGTGGGACCCACCAGGCACTGGAGTTTTCCAGTTTGGGAGCAGAGCTGGGAGCCCTCTGCCCTCGAATAGTTGTGGAAAATGAAGAAACCCTGGAGGTCTGGCCGAAAGGTGACAGTCATTCCTCCTGTTCTCTGAGGCCTGGGGACAGGGGTTTAACCTGCAAGGCCCTCTCTCTGACCTGTCCTCCAGACGTATCACCTTCCCTTTGTCTCAGGTATTCCCAGGAGAGATGGCCCCTCTGGGTGTTCTCCAGAACCTGTCCCCAAGAGTTCACTTGTTCTTTGGTGACCTGGGAAAACAAAGCCTCTTCCTGTATCAACTGCTCAGGACTGTGGAATCTGCCCTCCCTCCACCAAAGGGAGGCTGCTTTGGAGACAATAGATCAAGCCTTCTCCGAACCAAACATCCTCCTTCTTGACTGGTGTTATTCTTCAAATGGATTCACTGGCCACAGTGAGTAAAGATTTGAGTGGAACAGAACACTCATGAGATTTCTTCTTTCCTATAGAAAACTGGGCATCTTCATGGTGTCTGAACAATAGCAGGAGGCTGATCATATAGAGATTTCTGGTTCCTGGCCCTAGTCTGCCTCCAGGTGTCCATTATAGTCATCATGGCCCTTCACCCTGAGCAGGTAGATGCCGTTCATCCTGCTGTGGAGTGTGTGCCCATTTCAGGACATTTAGGGACAACAAGTCTTGTTGTCTAGGTCTCCTTGTTTTAAAGTCCTCAGGAAAGGGCCCACCTCTGGTCAGGCCCAGGGACTCCAGAAATCCTGGCAGAGGTGGGGCCATTTGGCTTGGTCCCATTGTCCTGGGGGTGTTGGTGAAATGAAGTTCACCCGGCTGGCATCTGGGAGCAGATGTATGGGGTGTTCTCTAAAGCTCTCAGGTGCCATGTAATTTTGGGAGTATTTTGTCTTATAGGGTGGATATGGACAAAGACATGGATATCCTGCTCGCCCAGGAGTAAAGGGACATCATTGCCAAGTATAAGCAGACACAGGTCAGGCTGCTCCCTCCAGGGAGGCGGGTCTCACCTCTCCCTCTGTTCCCTGGTCTGATGGTCCTGGACTCCTTCGGGATGCAGGGCAAGGATGAGCTGCCCACACGCCCATACCCAACAACTTTTATTTTGGCCTCCCTCACCCTCTCTCCCTCTGCCTTGCAGGTTGCTGATCCAGGGCACCAGTGGACACAGGAGATGAAGATGTTTACATCTACAAGGTCATCAGTCAGCTTGAGATTCCACAGTGAGTCAGTCTTCTGTCCTCCCAACCAATTGCCAAGACCAGCTCGGTCGTGGAGACCCTAACCCAGTGGCGCTAGAGGAATTAAAGACACAGACACAGAAATAGAGTGTAGAGTGGGAATCAGGGGCTGATAGCCTTCAGAGCTGAGAGCCATGAATGGAGTTAGACCCACATATTAATTGACAGTAAGCCAGTGATAAGCATTGCTTCTATAGATTATATATTAGCTAAAAGCATTCCTTATGGGAAACAAAGCATTCTTAGCGAGGAGCAGAGAAACAGGCCCTGGCTGATATCTGCAGCAAAAGCATGTTGTTAAGGCAAAAAAGCATGTTGTTAAGGAATCCCCCTGCAGATGTGGAGTCAGGCATGGTCACTCCTGCTGGACGTTAAGAAGGTGAAGGCTGAAAACCCAAGTAAGTACCAGGTATGGTCCTTCCACACTCAGCCACAGCGGAAGAAACAGGCCAGGCCATGTCAGGAGCCCAGGTCTCTAGCTAGAGGAAAAGTCAAGCCTGAGTGATGGTCAGTCCCATATCCTAGGCACAGACGATGGCATGGGAACCACAAGTGAACTGGGCTCTGGTGACCCTCAGTGGCTTTGGAAATAAGATAGAGAAGGATATTTCTGCAAAAAAAAAAAAAAAAATCGTCTTTCCTTCCAGAAGTGCTGAATGATTGCTGTTTGTGGTAGTGAGCCTTTTGTCTGTTATAAGGCTGGTTCCTTCCTGAGGAACCAGCCCTTTAGCCCTGCCCTAAAGAAAATAAAGGAGCAGGGCTCCTATACAGGGCTCTCACTGTAAAGCAACTGCGGGAGAGTGAGCCCCAGGGAAGGACCAGCCCCATCCTCATCCACCACAGGTTATCAGTCCAGGTGGCCACTTAGGGAAGGGAAGAGGGTCTTTCTATGGGCTCACACTCAGGAGGGCCTAGGATTTGGGAGCAGAGGGAGCAGAAAATAAAGCAGCAGGGCAAGATGTCCTCAGCGAAAATAAACCAGATTGACCTGGACATGAAGTGCACCTTCAGACACCATGTCATGTTTTGGGAGCACTACAGAGTCAGGTAAGGCCTATGGGGGATGGAGGGTCCCAGGGGAGACGGAGGAATTCAGAGGAATAGGGGCATCCCATGCAGGAGTCCAAGATAGGACGTGACAGAGCCCCCCAAGGGCTCTCTTGGCCAGGGAGCAGCCAGCATCACAGAGCATCTACTGAGCTCCAAACCATGGGCCGAGCTGGGGCATGTGGGTCCAGAACCCAAGTGGCTACTGAGGAAACAAGCAGTAGCAAACACAATCATGCTGCATGGTGAAAAGTTCTCTCTATGACCCACAAGTACCTGAGGTAGAGACCCACAAGAGGGGCTCAGACTTCACAGGCAACACTGACAACACCAAACACCATAGAGGATGTGGAGCCACAAGAACTCTGTGCATTGCTGCTGCAAAATGCTGCTGCTGCTGAATGCAAAATGGTACAGCCGCCTTGGAAGACAGTTGGGAATTGCTCACAAAGCTAAATGTACTTGTACCACGTGACCACAAGTGTCATAGACGTTGACCTAGCTGACTTGAAAATGTATGTACACCTAAAACCTACATGTCACATTCACTGCCTTATTCATTATCACTAAAACCTAGAAGCTACTGAGATGACCTTCAACACAGGTCCCAGGGGAGATGGAGGAATTCAGGGGAATGGGCGCATCCCATGAAATGAGGTTATACCTGTTTGGTATAATAAAATTACAGGTTAAATCTATAAATATAAATTATAATTATAGATTATTAGGTTACATTTATTTGGTATAATAAAATTATACAGTAGGTATTGTCAAATATGAAATTAATATCTAATGATTGTATTATACCAAATAAGGCAAATATGTGTCTTTTGGACTTAAGGGGACCTAATATCAAAAAAATTAATGAGTCAAAAGGACTGAATTTAGAATTTAATTTTGAAAAAATCAAATATCAAAACTTTAAAACACCTGCTATCACAAAATAGGATCATTGGTCATTGGTCATTGTAAAATAAGTCATTCATTTAACCAAAGTGATAACTCAAAGATTTCAAAAAAAAAAAAGTCAAAAGACAAAACCATTACTCTTTGAGAGAGGAGACTTAATTTTCCAAACAATAAGCCCTAATAAAGATAGCATGAGGCCAATGAAATCTGTTTCTCAAATCTTATAAACAAATCTATTAAATTTTAATGATCTTCACCATACTATATAATTTCCAAAAACCTTTTTGTAACATTTTATAATTTTTTAAATGAAAAAGTGGGTTAATACTCCAAGAAAACCTTGTTAATCTGACACAGGAGCTCAGAGGTTAGTCTTGCATCAGTGAGCCTTTGATACTAATCTTTACAGAGAAACTGTAACCAAGATAAAACCAATTTTATCTTTCAAAATAGGCTCTTACAATCGCATGTACCCACATCTTCCACAATAGCCCCTGGACTTTGAGGGGTAAGATAGTTTCAATTTCTGGCCCTGTGTTTCATGAGTGCAGTTTCTTTTGATTATCATCTTCTCCTGGTTCTGAAGATACGGTTTTAGAAGCTTTCAGTGTTTAAGATTTAGCAGGACTTGGTGTCCTTTTTAGATACAGGAGTCAAAGCCCTGTAACTCAACAGAACAAGGACTTTAAAAGCAATACAGAACATTGTATGGATGTTAATAACTTTAATTTTTTAAATCTCAGTTTTCCTAGGCAAATAAAAAACTTAATGACATAGGAATTGTTTCAATAAAATATAAAATCTGTTTGTTAGGCCAGTTACCAAAAGGCAAAAAATAAATAAAAGACCTGCAGCAATTGCTTTTCCCTAGACTTCAAGTCAAAACTAATGAAAATGGTACTTGAATTAGTTAGATATAGGAAGGGTGTGTCTTGCATCATAAGTGAAAATTTTCAGTTTCATAGAAAAACTTCAAACCAAGAGCACAGAATGTTATATTGGAAGAAAATATTTCCTTTAGACCTTTAAGATAAAACACTTTTAGCATCATGTCACAGTAGCAGTTAGAACCTGAGGAAAAAAAATTATAGAAACTGACAAGAAAGTTGGAGAGAGCGATTATCTCAGGACTTATGAAGGGGAGAGAAAGGTGAAAACAGTGAGATTCAATAAAAGTTGAAATCTGGGGTAAAAAAATTAAAATATCTTGTAATTTGTTAAGAGTAAATTAATATCTTAAGAAAATTTTGTTCTTCTAGCCCATTCTTGAGTGGATTAGCATATTTTTAATATACACTAAGTGCAAAAGCACAGTCTCTAGAAAGACTAATTTCCTTTTAATTATAGCCAACTTGATCAAATAAATTCTTTTCTCATAAAGTCTCTTTTTACAAACCTTACTATGACTTACACAAGCCACTTATGACATGCCTAGACTTCCTGTTTTATCCTAAACAGCTTCTTTCCTAAATAACCAATCATTTTATCTTCTTTTTCTTTTTTTTAAGATTTCTTTGTTGTTGCTGCTGTTGTTGCTGCTGTTGTTTCCTTGAGACAAGGTCTCTCTCTCTGTGTCACCCAGGCTGGGGTGTAGTGGCATGATCACAGCTCACTGCAGCCTTGACCCACCCAGGCTCAAGCAATCCTCCCATTTCAACCTCCCAGGTAGCTGGGACTATAGATGTGCACCAGCATACTCAGTTAATTTTCTGTGTTTTTTGTATAGACAGGGTTTTACCATGTTGCCCAGGCTGGTCTGGAACTCCCAGGCTCAAGCAATCTGCTCACCTCAGCCTTACAAAGTGCTAGGATTACATGCATGAGCTATTTGCATCCAGCCATTTTATTTTAGAACAAACATTTACCATGCAAGATTTTTTTCTCATATAAAATTTTCCTTTTAACCTTTCTTACCAAAAATATCTCTTTATATTTTTAACTGTCTTTATATCGCTCTTATTTAGTGGTTCCTTTTATCTTGTTTCATAACCTTTAAATAACCTTTGAATTCAACAAAAATTATTTTCCTTTAAATAAGAACATATTCTTAGCAAAATGTTTTTCTGTAATTTTTTTAATTGTGAATGACCCAGACATTTAATAAATGCCTGTTATGTAATATAACTTTAGATTCTAAATTATATTATGCTTATTTACAAGCATTCCTTCCATTACATTTACCTAACTTATTTTTAATAGTTTACCTAGATTACTTATGAAAACTGTGATAATCAACATTTAAAGGTATTTTCCTGTTAATCATTTATATAGCCTGTGAATTTCAGGTGTTTACCTAAGTAAGAAGCTTAAGGTTAAACAAATGAGTTTTTCGCCAATAACTCAGGATAAATGACTTATTTATCAAAAAAAATTACACAAGGATAATTATCTTTTGAGTTACATTTATAATTTTATAACCGTCATGCCAAATTTTGACACCTTATGTATATTAGCATTTAATCAAGCTGACTTTTAACCACTGAGCTTTAAAAATCCTTTAAAATCTCATTGCTGTAACCGAGTACACCCATTTTCCTGAGACATCAATTATTATTTTTTTTCTTTCCTTTTCTTGTTCCTTCAGTTCCCCACTCCCTACTTAGGCTTTTAGGAATGCAAATATAGCCTTTTACCTCCCCATTACCGGACTCTCCCTACAGTGCAAGTTCATCTAACTACACGCTCAAACTGGAAAGTCAACTTGAGAATTAACAGTTGATTTATAAACCAATCATGCCCACTGTGGAACTCTCACTCTTTAGGAGGTTGTCTCAAGAGATAACAGCCTGCCCATGAAGGTGCCAGCAGTCACAAGCTGATTGCCCCGTAGATAAGGCACAAGAGCTAGCATGGACCCCCCGCCACCACCCTTGCTCACTTCCTCCCCTGCTTTTTAAAAGTGAAGCCATATGGAGGACACCTGCATTTCTTCCCCTAAGCTAGTTTTGGAAATAAATTACTTTCTTTATACCAGACTTCACTTTTGTTAATTGGACTCTGCAAGCAACAAGCGACTAACCTGCATTTTGGTTACATTACCATGTTTTAGGTGGGACAAACTTCTAATATTTCAAATGTAACACAAATATCAAACCAGTAAAGACTTTATTTAGGAACCAAACCCAGGCTGCCATGGTGGAAAAAGGGCAGAACCTTAGCTACTGAACTACAGCATGGGGCAACCACTATTGCTATTTCAGTTTGGCTTGGCTAGCAAAGGGTTGTTTTGTTATGTAAATAAAGCCCTTCAGGTAATTGAAATCTTTCTTGCTTCGATGGCTGATTTTTCTTTTTTTTCTCTTTGTTTTTCCAGCTTCAGGAATTTAGCCAGTTCAGAGGTCTTGTTCCCCATAATTTAGAACTTTCCTTCAGGTTTGACCAAGTCAACTAGAGTGGTCAAACCCAATGGAAAAAAGACTAAAACAACAAAAACAGAACCAAACAAATAAACAACAACAAAAAAGTAAAGCAAAACAAATGATTGCACAATTTATAAGATTACTGAGCACTCTAATGGTAAGGAGGAATCAAGACCAGCTGGTAGTTAATCTTAACTTTCAGAGAATTTCCAAGACAAACCCCATTTCAGCTACTTATGTAGGAATAAGGCCCAGGTTGAAGATTGCTCTCTATCATCCTAGAAGCAGGAAAAAAACTCAAAACTCATCTTCCCTGTTGGAAGCAAGCTGAAACTCTGGAAAGGAGTTGCCTGCTTTCCATTATCATGGATTCAGAAAAACTCATCTTTTTGGATGCAAGTAAAACTCTAGAAAAGGAGTTGAACAGCAAAATAAACCTTAGATCTCAACAACATTTTGAGAAATCAGGGATTCTCTGGAGATGATACCTCCCAGGCCTCAGCAAATCGTCCTGTTGGTTTTGTTACTGGCAGCAAATCCATATGGGTCTGCAGCAATCTCAATTCTTGCCTTCTCAGAAGAAAGAATTCGACTGAGGGGCATACGGCAGAGTGAAAGATTGAGGCAAGTTTTAGAGCCAAGAGTGAAAATTTATTAAAAAGCTTTAGAGCAGAAACTGAAGAAAGTAAAGTCCACTTGAAAGAGGGCCGAGTGGGTGACTTGAGAGATCAAGTTCATGGTTTGATCTTTGACTTGGGGTTTCATACATTGGCATGCCTCTTGGGGCGGGGGAGTGGTTTGCATCTCTTCTCCCTTGATTTTTCCCTTGGGGTGGGCTGTCCACGTGCACAGTGGCCTGCCAGCACTTGGAAGGGGCAACATACACAATGTGTTTACCAAAATTGTACACATGCTCACTTAAGGCATTCTTCCCTTACCAGCCGAGTGTTCCTGGAGAAAGGTTATATACTGGTTCAACTCTGCCATTTTGCCTGTTAGTGCACATGCTTAAGTCCACTAGCCCACCTCCTGAGATCTTATTGGGAAGCTGCTGATTACCAACTTGAGGTGTTTCTATTGGGAGGCTGCCTTTCCCTGGCACCGGCTGCAGCCAATTATTATTTTCAAGAGGCAGTTTAACAACCTCCTGACCACCATCTGATGGTTGCCTGACATTCCTGGGCGAGGGTCCCTCTCCTGACCTATTCATGTCTGACTAATTACCTATTGTAACAGTTTGAACAATAAAGATAGCTCAAGGCCAGACATGGTGGTTCATGCCTGTAATCCCCGCTCTTTGGGAGGCCTTGCAAGACCAGAGGATTTCTTGAGCCCAGGAGTTCAAGACCAGCCTGGGCAACAAGGCAAAACCCTGTCTCTATGAAAATTACAAAAATTAGCCCGGTGTGGTGGCACAAGCCTGTAGTCCCAGCTACTCAGGAGGCTGAGGTGGAAGGATCACCTGAGCCCGGGAGGTGGAGGCTACAGTGAGCAGGGATCGTGCCACTGCACTTCAACCTGGGTGACAGAGTGAAACACTGTCTCAAAATTAAAACAGATAAAATAAAAATATAGCTCATACTGGTACCATGCACAAGTAGATTTGTCAAAGGTCAGGGCCACCTTCACTCAGAGTCTCTTCCGTTGGTTGCCAACTTGTAAACGAAAAAGTATGTCAGATAGGTCTCAATCAGTTTAGAATTTTCATTTTGCCAAGGTTAAGGACGCACCCAGGAAACAGGTATATGTACCTTTCTCAAAGATGATTGTGAGGGCTTCAATATTTAAAGGTGAGAAGTGTGCTAGATGGGAAAGAGGGTGTGGTTATCCACATGTTGCAAGAGAAAAGGAGTAGGCAGGAAAACAGTCAATTATGGATTCATCTCACACTCAGTAATAGGCCCTTTACATAAGGTGAACATAAGACTAGCTACTTGAGGAGCTATTTAACCTTCTATCTGTAGCTATCTGCTGAGGAACAAAAGGAAAGACAGTTTTTTGCATGACTCAGCTTTCAGCTTAATTTTTTCCATTTGGCATAGTGAATTGGAGTCCTGAGTTTTATTTTCCTTTCCCACCTCAAACCCCACAAGCTTTGCGTTGTTGCAGATTGTCCCTCTCAGAATATTTTACAAGATGGTGAAGTGCCTAATGAACATTTCTTTTGTCATAAAGTGAGTTTGGATCCTGAAGAAGCCATCATCTTAATCAGGCTTTGGGATCAAAGTTCCCCTTCACCCGAACCCTGAACAGCACAGCAGACAGGGAAGGACTTACTGAGATGGCTGCTCCCACTCTCCAGCCCCCACTTTCCTGACCATTCCTGGCAGGAAGAGCTGCTGAGCAGACTCCATGGGCTGCCCACACAGGGTCTGGACCTAGCTGTCTTCCTGTGCCCAGCAGCCTGTGAGCCATCCCAGTCCCCTATGTGCAGTGGTCAGCACCCACAAGCCAGCCTTCATAGGGATTCAGTTCATGGGTGTTGCCCTGAGCCTGGCACAGTGGCCTCCCCAGCTTAGCATCTGCAGTTCGGGTCAGGGTGTTCTTAACGGCCCTCACCTATGCCTTTTCTGGCCACACATGAGTTTGGATGAAGCAGGAGTCTCTTCCATAGCTCCTTTTCATCTGAGATGTCCATGACTGGCTCAAGTGAACCACAGTGTCAGGAGAGGGGCACGGAAGCTGCACCCTAAATTCCCCGGGACCTGTGGCAGGCCTTCCTGGTGACCTCTGCCTTCTCAGGTGACTTCTGCCCTCCTGGGTGACATTAGTTCTCCCCTCTCAAGTGATCTGTGCCCTCCTAGGTTACCTCAGCTCTCCCAGGTGACCTCTGCCTTTCCAGATGACTTCAGTCTTTTCAGGTGACCTCAGCCCTCCTAAGTGACATTAGTCCTCCCTGGTTATCTCTGCCCTCCCTGGTGAACTCAGGTCTTCCAGGGGACCTCTGCTTTCCCAGATGATCTCTGCCTTCTCAGGTGACATTAGTTCTCCTAGGGGATATTAACTCTCCCAAGTGACCTCTTCCCTTCCAAGTGACCTGTTTCCTCAGGTGACCTCAGCTCTGCCAGGGGACTTCTGCCTTTCCAGGTAACCTCTGCCCTCTTGGTGACATAGTGTGCTCAGGTGACATTAGCCCTCTCAGGTGACCTCAACCCTCCAAGGTGACGTCAGCCTTGGTGAAGTCTTTCCATGATGACTTTGGCTTTTGCCAGAGGTAGGCTACTGCGGGGGCATAAGCCATATCATGCCATGAGCCACTATCCTGCTCATGTTCCAGAATGAGGAGACATCTGGGTGCTGGCCCAGCTGCTGGCCAATGAGAGGCTTGCCAAGCATGGTACTCTCCAAGGTGACCTCTGCCCTCTCAGGTGACACAGTCCTCCCATGTGACATTAGCTCACAGTGGACAGCTACCCACGAGGCATCACACAGCCAGGACAGGGGACGGCCACACTGGCTGGGTAATTGTGACTTACAGACAAGGCACCTTCTGTCCCCTGCTCATTTTGAGCCTCCAGGGTATCCCCTGCTGAGAGTCCCACAGGAGCCTGTGACTGGCCAGGGACCCGACACCCCAAGTCAGATGCCTCTTGTCCCCATCAGCAAATGGGATCACAGCTGCCCTGTGACCACCTTCTGCATCCTGGTGTCACAACCTTC
This sequence comes from Homo sapiens, assembly GCF_000001405.40. Classification (NCBI taxonomy): domain Eukaryota; kingdom Metazoa; phylum Chordata; class Mammalia; order Primates; family Hominidae; genus Homo; species Homo sapiens. The sequence goes on from NT_167248.2 coordinate 794,451, forward strand.
TGGCCCTGACCTTATGCAGGGGACTCTTACAACCCTGCTGGTCCTTCCACCTCCCAGCTGGCCACCCTCCCAACCACCCTCCCTGCCCATGGCTAGACCAAGCCCAGATGACAGCTTCTCTCTGTCCTGTGTCCCCTGCCCTGACCCCACATCCAGGAGAAGGCCACACACCCTCCAGCACCCCTGGTCACCCCACCAGCTCCCACCTGTCCTCACTGCTTCAAAGGCAGGCCTGCCCTTCTGGAGCCATGGCCCTGGAAGCCACTAAGCAGTGCCTCCAGCCAGGCCCCAGGGGCATTCCCACCCCTCCTCTCCTGGCCGAGACCACATGATGGGGTCACTGGATGGGACAGTGAAAGGCCTTGGGGTCTGGAAGCAACCACCACTGCCCAACTGCCACTGCCCAACCGCTGCTGCCCAACTGCCACTGCCCAACTGCCACTGCCCAGCCTGATGGCTCCACATCTCAGGAGTAGGCTCTGATTCCTTGGGGCCCCAGGAGCCTCTCAGGAGTCTACATCCCAAGATGTTCTAACTTCCAGAGTCTCCAAGCCCATCAAGAGCAAGTTTTGCTAAAAGTGTTCTGAGAGCTTATGAAGCACATGGTGAGTGGTCAGTCCCTCAGCTCTTCCCCAGAGGCCCTGGGTCCCATGGGGTTAGCAGGGACAGGGGAAGCCTGGGGCTGGTGAGAGGCCAACTTCCAGCCAGGGCTTGATCTGGTTTTCAATGGATTCAAAGTTTGGCCTCCTTTTCCTTACCTGGAGGGGACAGAGGCACTGGGACCAGGCCAAGCTCTGGCTGAGCCAGGGCTAGGGGAAGTACATCCACTGGGGGCCCATGCCATGGGGAGGTGTTGGGGCACAGCCACCACTGTTCTACCTCTTGGGGAAGGGTCTGCAGTGGGGTCTGGAATACAGAGGTTTTCACGGAAGCCCAGGGGACCCTGAACACTTCTATTCCTTCTATCAGGACAAGGAAGGGTTGTGCATCCGGCTTTCCACCTTAAACTGGTTTCTATGGTGCTTCATCGATGAGATAAGGATGCATAGGAGACCCCAGGCCAGGTACCTCCTTTCCCCACAGTGCTCAGCTCCCCCAGCCCAGGGGTCTGGCTTCCCCAGGAGGACCCAGCTCACCCCCACCCCACAGGAGGCACAGGCAGGTCTCTGCAGGGCACACAAGCCAGGACCTGTATGATGGGAGCTTTACACACCAGACACCAGGGAATTCTGGGCAGACTGGGCCAAGACCCATCTTGGAAGAGCCAAAGGAGCCAGGGAAGCCACAAGCCCTCAGGAAGCCCCTTATTCTGGGAACCACATTTCTGCTGAGATGAGTCCATCCCCATGAAGAGCTGCCGGACCTTGTCTGACCCAGCCTTATGGAAGATTGGGTGGGTCTCTTCCCAAGCAGAGGGAGCCTCAGGAAGTCCAGACTGAGGCTACAGTGGGCCCTGCTCAAGCCACCAGCCCCGAGGTTGGAAAGGCCAGGTCCTCCCACACCTGCTGTTCCCACAGACTTCCTTCATGCTCATCCTGTGGCTCTGGGATGTCTACCTACTGGGAGGTGAGTGTGTGGTGACAACTATGGTATACATGGCCTTCACAGCCACAGAATTAAGTCCCTGGGTGGCCAATGGTGCCCAGAAGGAGCATGCAGGACAGACCCTGGGACCTATAGCCAGGACAGATTCCTGGCTTCTGGTGTGTGATGACCTGAGAGCAGCATCCACACTGTCCAGATGGCTCTCTGCTCCAGCCTGGAGGTAGGGCCAGACCAGGCCTGGTGGGCTGGGCAGGGAGTGGACCCAGGTACCAAACCCACTCCTGACACAACCCAGATGAAAGGCAAGAGTGTGTTGAGCACTTCCCTGCCCAGGCCTTCCTCCAGCTGTGGTTTTCTGTGAACATCTGGACCCCTGGGGCAGCCACAGTAGGATCCAGCACCGCCCAGTGGTGGGTGCCTGGGGCAGGAACAAGGTGCAGACACTGACTCTCCCACAGACCCCTCCCAGCCTCATAGTCACCCTGTCCCTAGAACACCCCCTGAAGCTGTTCCTGTTTGGCTTGCAGGAGTTCCTTCAGGACACACTGTCCTAGGCCTGGGCCCTGGAGGAGGACATGGTGATGAGGCACCCTGAGGCCTCCATGGGGGAACTGAGAAGCATGCACTGTGACCTGCACACCCAGGTGGGCTTCAGCACCAAGTCTCCTCCTGTGTCACCCTGCGGGGCAGTAAATAGTGGGAAGTGCCCAGACCTCACCAGCCCTGCTCCCTGGGCCTTCCTCCAGCCCCTCCTCTCCCTCCTCCTCTAAGAAGCTTCTGAAACCAGGCTGCCTGAGCCTAGGGCAAAAGCTGACCTTGGGTTTACTGGACATGCCTCAGAGACAATGAGACGTGAGCAAGACTCTTCCAAGCCCCTCCCCTGTACCCTCCTGCTCTCACTCCTGAAAGCCCCAGAAGGACACTGGAGGGGTCAGATCCATCTGTGCAAGCCCACAACCACACCTGTGAGTACCAGCAGCCCTGGAGAGCAGCAGGGGGCCTTCACTCCTGAGCACCCCTCCAAGGGCCTAAAATCAGTGTCAGAGACCCTAAGAGAATCTAGGGAGAGGGCATAGGTGAAACCCTGGCCCAGAGCCAGAATTGATTGCTCAGCTGAGTGTGGGAACAGTCCAGCCCTGGCATGGAGATCCCCCAGAGGAGTGGAGGGTGTCTCATCCACTGTGGAGATAAGCCCCCATATTGCGTGGCAAAGGGGCTAGGTAACAGTTAAGGCCTCATCCATCTGAGCTCTGAATCAAGGCTAAAGCCCAGGCTAAGCAGCCCTGGGGCAAGAGTGTGAGGCAGGAAGACTGAGTCAGCCTGAACCCTGGGGGCTGTCCCTGGAGTGACTTGAGCTTCCCTGACAGCTTCCCCACTCTAGGCTGCACACACACCTCGCTCTGGGAGTAGCAGCCTGCAGGAGTGTCCTCAGCATTAGACCAGGGGGACCACACGGGGACCCTGAGGACTGCAGGGACCCAGGTCTGTGGGGTCCAGCCTGGCAAAAGCAAGATGTTCTCAATGGAAAAGCTGACCAAATCTGCTTTCCTTTCAGCCAAACCTGAGCAAGCACCCCCACCACCCAGGCCTCTGCAGATATCCCCCAGCATTGAGACCCTCCCCAAGGGGATGGGCTGCTTCTCCCTGGCCCACAGCCCAGCTCCAGCAGCCCATGGGTATAGCCCTCCTGAAACAGGAGCCTCATCCTCCCTCACCCTCACCTGGCTATGCTGTACCCAAGGCCAAAGCCCAGAGGCATAAGGGAGCTTCTGCAGAGCCCAGGACAGCAGGCTGCTCTCTGGGGGCCCTGGGGACTCAGAGTGTGGCCAGCCCATCCCCAGCTCAGGATAGACCACAGAGTGCTTGGTGATTCCTGCATTGGAACTCCCTCTCTAAGCTCCCCATGGACCTGGACCTCAGAGGTCTGTGGTTTTCACAGTAGAGCTTGGAGCAGAGATGCTAGGCCCCTATCACTTCCATATGTGTCCTGGACACCTCTAAGATCATAGGACTGGCCTAGCCCCCAATACCAGACACTGCCCAGCCCCCTGATAGCCCAGAGGTAGGGCCAGAGACAACTCTCCTGCATGTGATGCCTACAGCTGATCACTCTTGGCAGACAGTGAACATCACGGCCCAGAAGGAGCCAGGGCAGCACTTGGCAAGCTGCCCCAAAGCCCCAGAGAGCTCCTTAGACATGGAAAGTCAATACTGATGGGGAAGCTGGACACTTGGAGGCCACTGGAGGGAGGGGTGAGCATGGTGTCCCCACAGCCCAGGCCACCCAGCAGCATGCCCTGCATCCATGGTCCCAACCTGTAGGGCAGAACCCCCCTCTCAATGCACAATTCCTAGACCCAGAGGGCCCTAGCCCAGACTCAACCTGAGCCCTGAAAGGGAAGGGGCACCAGGGGTGCCTTGGGGCCTCCAGCAGCAGCCAAGATACACAGGAGATGGAGCCCCCTGTGGCCCTGGCCAGAACTAGTATTTGGCTTAAGGCGGAGCAAGCCCCCTTGGAGCACTGCGTACATACCCGGGGCCTATGTGTGCCTGGCAAGGCCAAGCTGATGATGTTACCAAGCTCAAACTACCACTGGCCACCTTGGTGAGGGTGGGGCAGAAACACGTGGACCAGCCACCAACCTCATCCATTCAAGGAAGCAGAAATGGTCAGGCTCCTGCAGGATAAGTGGCCACCACCAGACCACCAATGGGGCAGAGTTCTGAGGCCCAAGCAGATGGCACTGGGGCCCTGCTTCCAGGGTCCACAATCTGCTCCAGGACACAAGACTGAAGAAAACTAAGCAAATGAGAGTCCAGGAGGCTGGATCCCTCATCTGCCATTCTTGGCAGTTGCATTTTGTGGTCAGAAAAAGTCAGGAAACTTGGCTCTACTCACTGCAGGAGGCTCCAAGGTGGGACCAGAGCTTCCAGCATAGATTCAACAATGCCTAAGAATGCCTCTTCTTGGGGAAAAGGACCCCTTCCTTGGCCTCAAAGCCCCCACTTATTTTGATTAAAGCACAATAAAGTCTTTGTTGTTATGTCCTGCCTGTTTTTGAGTTGCCCAGAGCTCTCTGCAGGAAGCCCTGGACATACTGGGGTGGATGGGAAATGAAGATGGCACAGCCCAGACCCTGACCAGCCTCTCACAGCCTCCCCATCCCAAAGGCCGCAGCAGGGCCAAGCACCAGAAAGGCCAAGGTTCCCACCCAACTGTGAGCCACACTGCACTGCAGCCTCCCACTCTCAGGCAGATGCCAGGGTTAAGACCCTCCAGTAATTTCCTGTAATTCAAACTGCACCTGATAGGGACCCCCAGAGGGCTGGGAAGGGAGCAAAAGTTGGAGTTCCAGTGACATTGCTCATTCATGACAGTCTGTACAAAGCATCCCTGAGAGGGTCTGCTGTCACCTGTGTCTACTGTCCCTGGGTGGCTGGTCTCCGGCAGCCCTCCCTTCCTTTCTTCCCTCCTTCCCTCCCCACATCCCTCCCTCCCTCTCTTCCTTCTTCTCTTGCTTCCCTCATCCTTTCCATCTCATCTCCTCTCAGCATCTGGCAATCCCAGGTCCTGAGCCTGTGCCAAGGCGGGACACAAAGGACACCACTGACAACAAGCCAGGTGACTAGCGGGGTCGGGGAGCCTTGTGGAATCAGAGTGGATGGGGAGGGGCTCATCTGTGCAGCCCAGGACTGCTGCCCCGGGAACAGTCTAGAACAGTGCAGAAGTGTGTGTCCCTGTGTGTGCACATGTGCACGTGTATGTGTATGTGTGTGCGTGCCTGTGCACACCTGTTTACTCAGTTCTGCTCTAAGTCCATGTCCACGACCCCAGAAGATCCCAGGTATGTCCTCACTGACGTCTGCTGAAATCAAGCATGGCCCCTGCTGGTAGTTATTGCACTGTGTAATGCCATCGTCGGGACCTCAGAGCAATAGAAACCAGTGGACCCCTTTAGGCTTTTCTTTCCAATGGGACATAAAGAAGTTATATGGACAGAAGTTATATCCTGTTTTCTTTCCATTGATTCTTTTACCACCTTTCTCCTCTTACTGATTTTGAATGAAGGGGGTTTTTCATGAGGGTAAGGTAACTGGCAAGAAATGAAATAACAGCCAGATGCAGTGGCTCACGCCTGTAATCCCAAGATTTTCGGAGGCCAAGGAGGGTGGGTTGCCTGAGTCCAGAAGTTCAAGACCAGCCTAGACAACATGGTGAAAGCCCATTTCTACCAAAACAAAAAAATTAGCCAGGTGTGGTGGCACGCGCCTGTAGTTCCAGCTACTGGTGGGGCTGAGGTGGGAGAATGGCTTAAGCCTGGAAGTCAGAGAGTGGAGATTGCAGTGAGCTGAGATCACGCCATTGCACTGCAGCCTGGGCAGCAGAGCAAGAACCTGTCTCAAAAAAAGAAAAAAAGAAAAGGAAAGAAATGAGATACCGAGAAACTAGCAAAGCTTCACCTGGCTGTCTGGAGACAGCCCTTGTGTGGTCCCCAGCCCACCTCACAGGTTCTAGGCTGGCCACCCTGTGGCCTCTGTACTGTGTATCTGGACCCAGGCTCTGTGGGAAGGGTACCTGGTCTGACAAACATTCCTCCATTTTTCTGGCTGCAGCTTGGAATAGGCCCAGACAGCATGTCCAGGAGATGCCAGACAACCTCACTATATCCTGTGAGACAGGCCCAGTGGGCCTTGAAGGAAGGGGTGAGCATGAAGCTGGGCACCCAGAGCCTGAGACCAACTGTCCCTCCCTGTGCCCTGGAGGAGGGGCCTGGCCTGTCAGTGTAGATGTGGGGAGAGAAGGGTCTGTGGACCCAGGAAGGGACATTGGTAGGGGACTTTGAGCACCACTGCTCAGGGGACATGAATGACAGGGTGGGAGGCATCTCCCATTTCTGCCCTGAGCACAGCACCCCTTTGACTCCTGAGGGCCACGAGGAGTCCACTCCCCAGAGCTTTTTGTAGAACCTGCATATGAGTCCATCAGAGGTGAGATTTGCAAATACTTCCTCCAGCCTGGGACTTGTCTTTTCATTCTCCTCACAGGGTCTTTCAGAGTGCACACATCATTTTGATGAAGTCCAATTGATCATTTTTTTTTCCTTTTATGCATCATGCTTTTGGTGCTTATCTAACAAATATTTCTCTAATCCAAAGTCACACTAATATCTACCTTTTTCCTTATGCAAATTTTAAAGTTTTAGGCCTTACATTTTGGTTTATGATACATTTTGAATAATGGTGCCATGTATGGACTGAAGTTTTTAATATGCATATCTAATTGTTCTAATAGTATTTGTTGCTAAGATTGTCTTTTCTCCACTGAATTTGCTGTACAACTTTTGAAAAACAATTGAACACATATGTGATGGTCTATTCTGGACTCTGTATTCTGTTCTATTGATCCATTTGTCTAGCCTCTTACCAATACCATACCGTCTGAATTTCTGAACCTTTACGATAGGTCTTGAAGTTAGGTATTGTTAGCCATCTTACTTAATTCTTCTTTTTTAGAGGGTTTTTTATTTCTAATCTAGGTCCACTGCATTGCCACACACAGAAACCCGTGCCCTTGAGCATACATACATATGCAACACAAGTATAAATATATGCACAGAACGACAAAGTGAAATTTATCCCAAGAATGCAAGGCTGCTTCAACGTTAAAAATGGGCCAGTATAACTCACCATATTAACAGATGAAAAGACAACAGCACATCATTATTTCAGTATATTTGGAAAAAGCATTAGACAAAATCCATCAACCTTATAAAAACTTCCAGTCTATTTCTATTCCTAAAAACTAGGAATAGAAGTGAATTTTCTTAAACTGATAAAAGGCACCTACAAAAACCCTGTAGTTGATGTTTACTGGACGTTATTCTTAATGATGAAAGACTGGATGGTTTCACCCCAGAGGAAGAACTAGGTGAGGATGTCAGCTCTCACTACTTGTATTCAGCATCCTATGGAGAGTCTAGCAGTGCAAAGGGCTCCTTCCTTTAGTAGACTCAGATTTCCATCTGGAGTCATTATTCTCCTGCTAGATGGATGTCCTTTACCATTTCTCAATCTGTACATCTCCTGGTGATGATTTCTTTCATCTTTTGTCAATCTGAAAACCTCTTTATTCTGCCTTTTTATTGGAAAACAAAATTTTGACTGTGTAAAGAATTCTAGGTTGGCATTTTTTTCTTTAAAAAAAATACTTCCATACAACTTGCAATTTTCCAACAAGAAATCTGCTTTGTATCTTTGATTCTCTGTACATATATGTCTTTTTCTTCTCTATCTAGCTGCTTGTAGGAGGACTCAGCTTCTCGCAGATAGACATGTATGATAAAGATGCAGTAACTACATCAAGTGTGGTATTGTCCATGGATGGATAAATAGACTGATGGAATAGAGCAGAGGGCCCACAGACAGACCCACAAGAGTCCAACTGTGATTGATCACCAAGGAGGAGCGTGATGGTGAAGGACTGTGCTTGTTATAATGTGCTGGGGCCTTTGGATAACCACTGACTAAGTGGGCCAAGTGGCCTTTTGGCTTAGGCTGAAGCAGGATAATAATAACGTTATCTATTCATAGAATTGTTAAAATTACCTGGTTTTATATTTGCAAAGTAATTAGAGCAGTATTGAGACAAAGGGAATCTTCAGTGAACATTTCCTCTAGTCATAGTTTTTTCCACCACTTGACTTCCTGCCCTATTCAGAGTCTTATGTTTGCCAGGACTCAAGCACCTCCTTATGGGGCAGACTCCACAGGGCATGATATGGTTTGGATCTATGTTCCCCACCCAAATCTCATGTCCATTTGTAATTTCCAGTATTGGAGGTTGGGCCTGGTGGGAGGTGATTGAATCATGGAGGCAGATTTTCCCCTCTGTGCTGCTCTCATTATAGTGAGTGAGTGCTCACCAGATCTGATTGTTTCAAAGTGTATAGCACCTCTCCCATTGCTCTATTCCTGCTGTTCCTGCCATGTGAAGACGTACCTGCTTCCCCTTCACCTTCTGCCATGATTGTAAGTTTCCTGAGGCCTCCCCAGCCATGCTTCCTGTACAGCCTGTCAAACTGTCAGCCAATTAATCCTCTTTTCTTTATAAATTACCCAGTCTCAGATATTTCTTTATAGCAGTGTGAGAATGGACCAATACAGGGCATCATGGTCAGTCCTGGGGAACAGCTTCCTGGAGTGGGAGGAGCTCAGTCCTGGTAACCTGCTGTTCCCTTGCCTGAAACCCCTTGTTTCCTCCACCTTCCATCTCATTCAACAAAGCTCTTGGGAGAACAACTTTAAGGACTCCCTATGCCTCTTCCTTCAAAGGTAGCCAGCCAAGAAGTAGATGGCTGGTTGAGCCATACTGACTACCATGGACAGCAGCAACAGAAGGTCAAAGGCAAAGGTCAGGTATTCTTTTCCTGGCAGGTACACAAGGACAACTAAGGGCAGGCCCCAAACGAGGAAGCTGATGGCCACAAAGCGGACAATGTGGTAGATCCGGATGGGTGAACAGTTCTTCAGGCAGTACAGGCTCCTGATGATCAAAGTCAGGCTGGAAATGCCCACCACAAGACAAATAAGCATGTGAAATATTATAAAGCCTGCCTGAAATTGGTCACATGCCAGGCCCTTCTCCCATTACTCACAAACCTGGCTAACCACATGCAAAGAAAGGGCCAGGGCCCAGCTCAGGATGCTCATCACAGCAGAGGTGTGCTTTGGGCGGTGGCAGCACCAGGTGGGACAGAGGACACACAGAAAGCTCTCAATATTCATGGCCACCAGGAGACAGAGACTCACTGTGTCAGAGAAATAGGACACAGGCTCCAGAAACATGGCCACCTGCAATGTCACCTGGTGATACAGCATGAGGATTTTCTCCAACAGGATCACAGTTACACAGGAGAGGTTGACCATATCAGCAGCGGCCAGGTTAAGGACATAGGTCATGTAGGGGCTGCTCCTGACCTGGAAGCAGAAAAGCCAGCACACCACACCATTGCCCACCAGCCCACAGAAGGCCACCAGCACTGTCAGGATGAAAACCACCTGTTTGCCCACCAACCACTCGCCTCCCGTATGACTCATGTTCACTTGTCCTGGGGTCTCTGTCCTGTTGTCCCAATCCAGCTTCCCAGAGAACACTGAGAGAAACTGGGCCATGGTGGGCTGCCTTGGCTGCCTGGGCACACCCTGCAAAGACAAAGGTTGGTAACTTACCAGGCCTAGGAAGGAGAGTCAGGGTTGCCTTCTGACCTGCTGGGCTTCCCAAGAGGGTCCTGCTGGGCCTCCCAAGATTGGTGGGAATCTCACAGAGCAAAGTCAAGGAGAGGAATGAGTCTCCTGCAAGTGATCCATCCATCCCATATCCTCCACTGCAGGGTACCCTCTCCTGCTTGCCCCCATCCCTCTCTCCACCTCGTTCAGGTATTCTTGATGCTGTGCCCAACACCAGGTGTGTATCCATGCACCTAGGTGCCCATAAAGGAAAGAGGTGCATTTCTTTACCTTTGTTCTCCAACTCTCTCATTGACACAGACAGTTTTCATGGCATGGTTTTGGTGGAGGCACCAGGCAATTCCTCTGCCCTAAGGTTCTGAGATATTCTGAGTCCCACATGGGGCAGTTGCTTTTCAGTGCTCTAGGGAAGGTCTACCCAACCTCTCTCCTGCTCACCTCCCCTCAACTCCTCACTTTCAGCACGAGGGCCTCCTGGTAGGACCTTTATGTTGTTCTGCTGCCTGGAAGGGCCTCTGCACATCTGTAAGCTTTGTATCCTCTTTCCAATCTTTGCCCCAGTATCAACTTCCAGAGAAGCTTCTGCTTCCTATTAACATTGCATTCATCACATGCTGAGTGTCTATGCAACTTACTTACTTCTGCAGAAATCCCTCTGTGGGAATGGAAGATTTATCAGGTTTTTTATTCTCTTCACAATGTTGTTCAATAACTTCTCCAGCTCCTGGAACAGGGTTTGACATAGAGGACTCACTTGGGTACGGCACCTATGGAGAGCTTTATGCAGCTCAGTTACACTTGGGGAAGTGCTGGTGACCTCTTCATAAAAGCAAACTTTGCTTCTGAATCACAGAAGCTTCTGGAACAAAGCTTGTTCCGCAAACTGATTTAAAAAAAAAGGCTTCTTGGACTCCTGAGGGAGACTCACACCTGAACCCTGGGCTACGTCCACAACAGGAGCAGGCACTCTCCTCCACATTGCCAATCACAGGTCTTTCTTTGTAGAATCATGAGGGGAGGGTGACCAACTTATCCTGCTTTGCCTAGGACTTTCCCAGTTTAAGCTCTGAACATCTCTTGTCCTGAAAATCCTCATAGCCCTAGGAAAACCAAGGTGGTTTGTTGCCCAACTTGAAAGTTAAACAGGAGAAGGTCAGTACCCCTTCTGGAATCCCACAGCTTGGTTAAACCCAGTGATCTGAGGAGTTCATGCTGAGACTGTGAGAGCTGACCTCTTGGGGGCAAATCCCAGCTCTTTTTCATAGTAGCTGACTCTTTCTTTGCCTCAGCATCCCCATCTAAGTAAGGGCTGCTGCTATGGGATGAATTGTATTCTTCTAAATTCATATGTTGAACTATCCCAGTACCTCAGAATGTGACTGAATTTGGAGACAGGGACATTAAAGGGGTAATTATGTTTAGATGGGTCATTAGGGTAGGCCCTAATCCAATAGGGGTAGTGTCTTCATAAGTAAAGGAGATTAGGACACAGACACCCACAGGGGGATGACCATGAGAAGACACAGGGAGAAGGCAGCCATCTACAAGCTAAGGAGAGAGGCTTTGGAAAGAAATGATCCCGGCAATCTTTGGATCTCAGACTTTCAGCCTCCTAAAACTGAGAGAATGAACTTCTGCTGTTTAAGCCACTCAGTCTGTGATCTCTGTCATGGGAGCCTGAACTGATGATCACATTTATGATGAAAAGTTTACAGACGGAATTATGGAAAGTCTCAGAACAGTGAGATCTACCTGGTTCTACAACCCTGAGCTGCTGAAGCTTTGCTTCTGAATCACAGAAGCTTCTAGAACAGAGCTTGTTCCACAAACTAACTGATAAATGCCTGCGATATGCCTGGAAATATTCCACAGGTGACCTTGTGGCCTGCAGTCACATATTGGTGCATCAGCAGGGTTTAGGAGAATGCTAGGGACCAGCTCCAAGTGAGCCCAGTGTTTGAATCTTCCCTCCTTGCTGGGATGATGGAGTCCCCTTCAGTTGGCAGCTCTCTTGAAATGGAAGGGTCCAGCCCCAGCCCCTCCCCTCCCTGCACTTGTTACCTAGACACTCTTACCTGAGGCCAGGGAGGACCGCAGATCTGGCTCAGATCTAATCTGGTCATAGGATGAGTCTTGGGGCTTGGTAACATTGGTGCCCATGGAAACATCAGGGTGACCTGCAGTTCTGTGCCTGGGCCAGGGTGTCAGAACTCGTGATGATGACAGAAGAGAAGCTGCAAACAGACCTCCGTGGCCCACCCCAGGCCACCAAGGCACCAAGCAGGAGCAGTTGGGCTCTGGTCCCCAACAAAGAAAGGAGATTTATAGATAAAAGAGTTTCAAGGGGAGAGGTGACTTACCCTTCAACAAAGAGAAAATGCCCATTTTGGAGGCAGCATGTGGCTTCAGGGACAGAGCCAGGCTTCCCATCCCTGGGCTCACTGAGACCTAGCTCATGCCCAGAGACCACTACTGAGGCCAGTGACTAAGCAGCACATTCTTCCTCATCACACAAGAGGAGGACACAGCCCTCCTGGGGTGGGAAGGCTTCAGTGCCTGGTGCAGCCCCAGCACTGGGCACAGAGAGATCCTAGCACCTGGAAATGTCATTTCCAAGTCGGGTCATGAGCCAAGCTCCCCAAGGAGCATAAACAACAAACAGGTTGGATCCTGGGATTCAGGGAGCCAGCTCTGATGGAAGTGCTCAGGTTGATGCAGCCAAAATAGCCAAGTAACCTTTGCATTGGGATTGAAGTACTTGCTCTGGTTCTGAGTTGAGAGCCCACCCTCCCCACTTAATCTTTATTTGAGGTGAAATTTACATAACACAAATTAACTAATTTAAAGGGCACAGTTCTGCCTCACTTAGCACCTTCACAATGTTGTGCAACCACCACCTCTATCTGGTTCCAAAATATTTACATACCCCCATAAGAAAGCCTTTTACCTGTTAGCAGTTACTCCCCTTGTCTTCCTCCTCCCAGCTCTTGGCAACCCCATCTACCTTCCATTTCTGCACATTCACCTATTCTGGACATGTCCTATTAGTGGAATCAGACCCTCTGTGATTTTTTTGTCTGTTTCTTTCACTCAGCCTCTTGTTTTCATGGCTTCTTCACAGGGTAGCATGCATAAGAACTTCATTCCTTGCGTTAGATACAAACTAAATATGAATATAGAAGCTGTGAAATCAGAAGACCCAAAAGGATTTTCCTAGAAGTCATAGACTACACCTCAGTAATACAGTGGCTCAAATCCTACCTTTAACAGAATAACACACCCTCTGCCCATCTACACAGCTGGGGCATTTGTGAACCAGGGGCCAGGGCACAGTTGTGGCTCACCTGCTGGGACTACCCTGGAACCCCGAATCCTGCTTTCTCCAGGAACCTGGTTTCTGTCCTGTCCCCATTTTCCTGAGAAATGCACCTTCCCCAGTAAAAAATCATGAGGTTTCAAATTCCAGGAAAATATGTCTCTGAGTTAAAATGGTTTGAAAATGAAAGAAGGAAGAGAGATCTTTTCTCATACCTGGGAAGTCTTGGATAGAATTGGTACCACAGAGGCCAATGTCCTGAGAGATGAAAGTTCTGCCCACAGGTCAGGAAGCAATCTAACGATGTCTGATTTGAACTGGGTCCTGACAAGAGGTTGTCAATTTCTCTGTGTCTGTTGGGTCTTCCTGTACTGGGGCAAATTGCATATCAGGGCCCAGGCCTTTATCTGAAACATTGTATCTCAGCATCTCCTGATATCCCCCATCCCACTGACACTTTTGATTACTCCATCCTGAACAATAACTTCCCTCAAAAAAGAAGGATCTTTAAGACAAGTTGTCACCTGCCTCCCTGTGTGAATCTCCTAGAATGACATCCAGCCCAGCCCAGCCCATCTGAGACAGGCAGGAGAGGGAACTCTGGTGGGCATTTTGTCAATAAACTTGAGCATGCCAGGAACTCAAATGTGCTCCTTTCATTTTGCTGTCAATTGAATTGCATTTTTTTTTTTTTGCAAAAGATGTGGAAGTTCTTGTAAATCTGTGTCAGAAACTTACATTGGATTCACCAAGCCTAGGGAGATTTGGCTGTGCTTTGTTGGAGCCAATATTTTTCACCCTGGTTTACCCCACCACTGACTTGCTTTCTTTTTTTTTTTTTTGAGACGGAGTTTCACTCTTGTTGCCTAGGCTGCAGTGCAATGGTGCAATCTCGGCTCGCTGCAACCTCAGCCTCCTGGGTTCAAACGATTCTCCTGCCTCAGCCTCCTGAGTAGCTGGGATTACAGGCATGCACCACAACACCTGGCTAATTTTGTGTTTTTAATAGAGACAGGGTTTCTCCATGTTGGTCAGACCGGTCTCAAACTCCCAACCTCAGGTGATCCGCCCACCTTGGCCTCCCAAAGTGCTGGGATTACAGGGGTGAGCCACTGTACCCGGCCTTGACTTGCTTTTATGAGGCAAGAAAAGACATGTCTCCTTGTTGCACTAATTTCGATCAATCAATAAGTCAATTAGTTCATTTTCATTACATCTCTCTGAATCAATTGAGAGATAAATTGAGAAGTCAAAACAATGCCCAACAACATAGCATCTTTATTCCTCCCTCCCCTAATGACCTGGGAAGCAGTTTGTGACCCCAAAGCACTTGCTTATATGTTATTCTCTCCAGGAATTGAATTTACTCCTCAAAGTAATAGGCACAGGCACCCATGGTCAACACCTGTCTCCTGAAGCTTATCACTTAATGGAGGGAACCCAGGAGTATGATTCCTCCATGCAGACAGTCAGATTCTAAGGAGAAAGGAGGAAAAGTCCTTCAAATGCCACATTCAGCCCCTTCTTCTGGATGCCCCACTCAGCAAAGTCACTTGTGGCTGATGCTGGTCAGAGAAGCCCTTCCAAATGGGAACATGGGTGTAGGAAATATGTGCTTCTCACACTCCCAAAGGATCACAAATGGGGCCCTGTGTCTCTTAACTTCCTTATGTACAAAAGTACATACTCACTAGAATATGATTTTACAACATTTCCATCATTCCTATACAATGTGTTGGGAAGTGATCCTTTCTGATCTATATTTTGGAAGAGTTTGTATAGAATTGTATTATTTTTTTCTTTAAATGTTTGGTAGAATTCACCAGTAGAGACATCTGGGCCTGGGCCTTTTTTGTGGGAAGATATGCAATGACAGTTTTAATGTCTTTACTTCTTGTAGGCTTATACAGATTTTCTATTTCCTCTTGAGTCAATTTTGGTAATTAGTTTTTCTAGAAATTTATCCATTTCATCGAAGGTGTCTAGTATGTTAGGATAAAGTTGTTCATAGGATTTCTTTATAATCCTTTAAATTTCTATAAAGTTGGTAATGATGTGCCCAATTTCATTTCTGATTTTAGGAATTTGAGGCCATTTTTTTTTCTTGGTAAGTCTAGCTAAAGGTTTGTCAATTGTGTTGTTATTTTCCATGATTCAACTTTTGGTTTCATTACTTTTCTCTATAGTGTTTTATTTTCTATTCCATCTACTCTTGCTCTCTTCTTTATTATTTCCTTTCTTCTGCTTGCTTTGGGGTTAGTTTTCTCTTCTTTTCCTTGCTTCTTACCATAGAAAGTTGAATTACTGATTAGAGGTATTTTTCTTTTCCAATGTAGGCATTTACAGCTACAGATTTTCCTCTAAGCACTGGTTTATCTCCATCTCATAAATGTTGACATGTTATGGTTTCATTTCATTTCATGCATATTCTTTTTAATTTCCCCTGTGTTTTTTTTTCTTTCACCTGTTATTTGTGGATTCCTGAAGTTTCCAACTGTTGGTGATTACTCATTCAATTCCATTGTGGTTGGAATACATATATTGTATTAGTTCAATTTTTTTTTAATTTATAGATAATTTGTGCCCTCCCATCTAGTCTATCCTGGAGAATGTTCCATGTGTGTTTCAAAAGCGTGTATAATTCATTTGTTGTTGTCAAGTAGGTCAAGTTGGTTGATAATGTTTCAGGCTCTGTATCCTTGCTGATTTTCTATCTAGTTGTTCCATCAATGATTGATAATGGAGTGTTGAAATCTTCAACTATTTTTAATGATTTGTTTATTTATCCCCTCAATTCTGTCATTTTCATGTTTTATGTATTTGGGGGATGTGTTGCTAATTGTGTGTATGTTTATAATCCTCATATCCTCCTGATAAATTGAAATTTTATCATTATAGAATATGCCTCTTTATTTCTAGTAACGCTATTTTTCTCAAGGTCTACTTTGTCCAATATTAGTAGAGCTGTCTCAGCTCTTTCATCATAGTTTTCTACATGGTATACTTTTTTCCACCCTCTTTTTTTAACCTATTCATTTTAAAATCAAAACTGCCTCTGGTAGACTGCATATACCAGACATTGGACATACTAGGTGAACATATTAGACGAACAATTTTAAACACGTTCAAAGAACTAAAGGAAACCATGTCAAAAGAACTAAAGGAATGCATGAGAATGATATCTCACCAAATACAAAACATCAATAATGAGATGGAATGTTAAAAAAGAAACAAGGCCGGGCGCGGTGGCTCACGCCTGTAATCCCAGCACTTTGGGAGGCCGAGGCGGGCGGATCACGAGCTCAGGAGATCGAGACCATCCCAGCTAAAACGGTGAAACCCCGTGTCTACTAAAAATACAAAAAATTAGCCGGGCGTAGTGGCGGGCGCCTGTAGTCCCAGCTACTTGGGAGGCTGAGGCAGGAGAATGGCGTGAACCCGGGAGGCGGAGCTTGCAGTGAGCCGAGATCCCGCCACTGCACTCCAGCCTGGGCGACAGAGCGAGACTCTGTCTCAAAAAAAAAAAAAAAAAAAAAAGAAAAGAAACAAATAAAATTCAGTAATTGATAAATAAAATCGTAGAAATAAAAACTTCACTAGATAGCCTCAATAACAGATTTGAGAAGGCAGAAGAAAGAATCAGTAAATTTAAAGATAGGTGGGGAAATTATCCAGTATGAGGAACATGAATTAAAAAGAAGAAGAATGAACAGAGTTTCAGAGACCTGTGGGACACAATCCAGTGTACCAAAACACATAAACGAGAATTTTCAGGAGAGGATAGAATAAAAGGAACAGAAGGAATATTTAAAGAAATACTAGCTGAAAAACTCCAAATTCAATGAAAAAATGTTAATCTACACTTTCACAAAGCTCAACAAACTTAGATAAAATAAATTCAAAGAGATTCACACATAGAAACATTATAATCAAACTGCCAAGAAACAAAGAAAGAATCTTGAGGGCAAAAAGAGGGAAGCAACTTATCATGTACAAGAGATTCTCAGTAAGAATAAGAACTAATTTCTCATGAAAAATTACAGAGTCAGGAGGCAATGGGATGACATATTCAAAGTAGCAAAAGTAAAATACTGTCAATGAACAATTCTAAAGCCAGCAAAACTATTCTTCATAAATGAACTAGAAATTAAACATTCTCAGATTTTGAAAACTGAGAGAAGCTGTAATTACCAGACCTGTCTTATGGGAAATTATAAAAGCAGTCTTGCAGGTTGACATGAAAGGACACTACATAGCAACTCGAATCCACATGAAGAAATGAAGAACTCCAGTAAAGATAACTACATGGGTAAATATAAAAGACAGTATAAATGCAATTTGTTTGCGATTTCCTCTCTCATATGATTCAAAAGACAAATACATAATGAAATAATTATAAATCTGTATTGATAAGCCTACAATGTATAAAGATGTAATTTGTACGGCAATAAAAACACAAAGAAGCAGAAGAGAATGGAGCTGTATGGAAGCAAAGGTTTTGTGTGCTATTGAAATTAAATTGCTATTAATCTGACTAAATTGTTATAAATTATTAATTGCAAGATCCAGGGCAATATTTAAAAAATACCTCAAAAAGTATAGTAAAAGAAACAACAAGGAGAATTAAGTAAAACACTAACAAAATTTATTTAACATACAAAGGCAGTAATAATGGAATAGAGCAATAAAAAACACGATATAAAGAAAATAAGTAGCAAAATGACAGGTCAAAATCCTATACTATCAGTAATTACATTAAATGTAAATATATTAAACACCCCCTTTAAATGGCAGAGACATGAAAAAAAAAAAAGAAATCCTGTCATTCATGGCAACATGGATGAACCTGGAAGACACCATGTTAACTGAAATAAGCAGGCACAGAAAGATAAAGACTGTGTGTTCTCACTCACATATGGAAGCTAAAAAATGTTGAGCTCATTAGAAATAGAGAGTGGAATTTTGATTATTAGAGCACAGGAAGGATCGAAGGGAGGAGAGAGGGAAGGATAGGAAGAGATTGGTTCATGGATACAAAATTACAGCTAGATACCAGGGGAGGAGGCTGGCAAGATGGTGGAATAGGAATAGCTCTGGTCTGCACCTCCCAGCAAGATTGACCCAGAAGGTGGATGATTTCTGCATTTCCAACTGAGGTACCCAGTTCATCTTATTGGGACTGGTTGGACAGCGGGTGCAGCCCATGGAGGGTGTGCCAAAGCAGGGTGGGGCATCGCCTCACCCGGGGAGCACAAGAGGTCAAGGAACTCCCTCTCCTAGCCAAGGGAAGCCGAAGCCTTGAGGGACTGTGTGGGGAGGAACGGTGCACTCTGGCACAGATACTGCGCTTTCCTCACGTCTTCGAAACCTATAGACCAGGAGATTCCCTCTGGTGCCTATGCCACCAGGGCCCTGGGTTTCAAGCACAAAACTAGGAGGCTGTTTAGGCAGACACCAAGCTAGCTGCAGGAGGTTTATTTTTTCTGATTAAGTCAAGCAGCAGTTCTCACCGTGGCTAATTAGGCCTCCCACTGGGACATTTGGCAATGTCTGGAGCTGGTTTTGATTGTCACAATTAGAGAGGATGCACTACTATCACCTAGTGGGTAGAGCCCCGAGATGGTGCTAAACATCCTACAATGCACAGGACAGCACCCCCAACAAAGGATGATCCAGTCAAAATCGTCAGTAGTACTGAGGTGGAGGGCACTGATCTTTAGATCTTGTGACTAGGCTTTTTCTTTCTGAGTAACATGGAAACTGCTGAAAGATTTTGAGATAAGAAGTGGTATGATCTGAGTTGTTATAAATGGGTTACTCTGGCTTCCATGTTGAGAATATACTAAAGGTTAAGGGAAGAACCAGAGGATTATTTCAATCATCCAAGCAAGAGATGTTGACAAGGACAGACCAGAGTGGTGGTCCTAACAGTGATAACGACTTGTCAGTTTCACAACATATTTTTGCAGGTAGAGCCAATAGAATTTGTGGGTAGATTATATGTGAGTGAGATGAAGAAGAGTCAGTATCACAAGATTTTTGTCTGAGAAACTAGAAGAATGGATTTTCATTACGGGAGATGAGAAAGGCTACAGAAGAAGCACATTGTGGGGGAGAGGGTGGGTAGTAAGGAGCTCAGTTTATGGCATGTTAAATCTGAGATGTGTATTAGATACCAAAAGCTGCTGGTGGGTAGACAATTGGACATAGGAATCTGGAGGTTAGGAGAAAAATCCAGCCTGGAAATATAAATTTAGGAGTCATCAGCATATAGATGGTGTACAATGTCATAAGACTGGATGACGGAAGTGCACGTAAAAAAGGAAAGAGGACTGAACCCTAGGCACAGCAGGGAGAGGAGGAGAAACCAATAAAGGAGATTCAGAAGGAGCAGCTGGGAGACTTTGGTGATTTGAAGCTGTCAGTCAGCTCAGACTGCCATAACAAAATACCATAAACTGGGTGGCTTCAACAACAGAAGTTGATTTCTCACAGTTCTGGAGGCTGGGAAGTTCAAGATCAAGATGCTGGCTGATTTTGTTCCTGGTGATGGCTCTCCTCCTGGCTTGCAGACAACTCCCTACTTGCTGCCTCCTCACGTGGCCTTTCCTCTTTTATAAGGAAACTAATCCTATTTGGCCCTCACCTTTGTGACCTCATTTAACTATAATTACCTCCTAAAATGCCCATTTCAAATACCATCACATTGAGGATTAGATTTTCAACATATGAATTTTGGGGGGGGACACAATTCAGTCCATAGCAGAAGTGAAAGGCATGTTCCAAAAAGGAAAGCTAAGTCCACTCTATTGAAAAGCTTCTAACAGGTCAAGTAACATGAGGACTGAAAACTACTATATCAATGTGGAGGTCAGTTTGTGACCTTCGATGAAAGGTTTCCAGTGCAGAAACCTTGTTGGAGCCAACCCGAAAGAGAATTCAAGGACTTGGATGGTAGCTAGGGGGAAGTGAAGTCAAGAGAAGATTATTTTCTGATGAGTGAAATCAAAGTATGTTTATGTATTGATGGGGATGGTCCACTGGAAGGACAAATTATATTACAGGAAAGAGGGGAAAGATTAGAGTAATGTCCCTGAATAAGTGGAAAGGGATGGAATATAGTGGGCAAGTGGGGGTACTGGCATCAGACAGATGCAAAATAGTATATTCCTAGCAGTATCAGAAGAAAAGGTGGAGTCCCATATGTGAGCACAGATGCAAGTAGGTGAACAGATGGGTTAGTAAGAACTTCTCTTTTTATTGCTTTACATTTTTTCAGTAAAAAATGAAGTAAAATTTTTATCTGAGAAAGATGATATTATTTGAGAGAGAGGAGTACTGGGGATTTGAGGGGAGACCAGAAAGTATGCATGAGTTACGTAGGAGAGGGGAAAGTGAGTGGACTAGGAAAATATGATTATCAATGACATTAGCCCCTTCCTCTTAAAGTAGTGGTCATGAATGTAAAGTGAAACCTCTCAGTGTGGCTATTGGCTTTCCTTCGGCCACAGTCAGCTGAACAAATATAGGGAGAGAGTAGGACTATAGTTGGATTTAAATAGGAAAGCAATTTAGCTGAAAGAGTGTAACAAGTGAAAAGGGCAGGAACATTGATGTATGCAAAGGAGTAATAGTGATTGACGAGACAGTCTAAGCTTGATAGAGAACTGAAGATACAAGGGGCGTGAGGGGCCACGATGAATTTGCGGACCTCTCACTGAGGAAGAAACTGAGAGGAAAGTATAGAAAGATAATCTATGAGGATACTGAATTCACCAAGAATCATCACAGTACTGGAGAGAGTGAGAGGGGATCAGGGACAAAAATCTTCAAGGACGAAGGAGGAGCAAAGGGAAAGAGAATGATGAGAGCCACAAGTGGGGAGGTGGACTTTGGAGCAAAGCTGATGACATAACAGTCAAAGCTACATTCAAAACTAATAATGACTTCAACAAATCTACAAAATTCCTGACAGAAAGGGTTATTTTCCTTGTTTTACAGATGATGACATTGAGAGTCACTGAAGTTAAACAATTAGCTTAAGGTCACTCCATCAGAGAATGAAATTCTAAACCAGTTCCAATTGAATAGTAGAAATATTAATGAGAGGGAATTACACTGCCTTTGGCCTTCATACACTGCCAGAGGCACACTACCCTAAAGGGACTTTCCCTCCAGAATTTCCTCTTCCCCACTCTTGGGGACTCCTCTCCGGACACCTTCATGCAAAGTACTAATGATAGGAGTGGGACATCTATTCCCCAGAGCTCCATCCTCTCTTCTAAATAACAGGGAACGTTGAGTCCCCTGTTTTTTCTCTAGTGAGAGCACTCATCAGCATGCTTCCTCCTCTCTAACTGTGTCCTTTAGATCCAGGAGGGATATTTGCTACCACCACCAGCTAATGCTGATTTGCTACCAGCACAAGGCCCAGGTCCTTGTCTGGTCTGTACCCCATTACAAGGTTCTCCAGGAACAGACATCACCACCTCTGCCTAGATCCTGAAATTTCACAAATGTAGGTTCTTTCTTACCCGTTCTTTTTATTCCTCTATTTACAAGCACAATGACACCCACCCCTCGTCTTCTTCCTGAAATACCTGGCTCTGATCCCAGGCATCCATTCCAGAAATCAACACAGCTATGCAATTGCATCTTTTATTAAATACTCCCAACTCCATTTCAAATCCAGAGAATCCAGAGCAGGAGCAAGAGACCAACCTATCATCTGGAAACTCAAGGTGTAAACATTAGTGCCAAAGATTAGTCATGAAGGTAAGTTGGGTATTACAGTGCCCTACAACAAAATGGTCTTGTGCCGAGAGCCACATTCTGAAATACCAAGTGAAGTTTGATGACACATTATATTATATATTTCACAACAGATTTGTCTTCTAGATGTGTGAGGGAGATGATGGGTTTATGTGTACAGGTGCACACATGCCTATGTTTTGGGGAATTTGTGCATACATGTAACAAGAATGTTATCTGTGCAGTTTTATTATTGTGTGCCTGTTTTCATGGTGTGGCATATTTGAAGAGGAATGGTTTAGAGCTTGCCAGGCTGAACAGTTATGTGTCCGTGTAATCACCGCATTAAAGAATTTGACCTTTTGTAACTCAACATCTCTAGCCACCATTGGTCTGTAAGCCTGAATGTCACCTCTCCTACTTTATTCATCTCTGATATGACCCCAAATTATAAAATGATCTATAAATATAGGTAAGACTTTGCATGTCCTTTCATACTCCACAGTCTCTAGCACAGTGGATCCTGGTTGATCAAACAGGAAGGACCTCGAAGTTAGTCAAATATAAGTGGAAAACCTATTAAGCATTTACAAATAATGTGGCCTTGGGCAAGTAATTTAACTTCAGTTACTCTCCTAACATACTCTATAAAATAAGGCTATTGCCTAATATTCAAGTGAGTTAAGATTAGAGTTAATAAATGAAAAGAGATGTAAATGTTCATAGCAGTTGTATCACTGCCTAGCATAAGAACCCCTTAAAAACCTGTTTCTTAATTTGGGAAACAGATATGACGATAGTTAGCATTTATTAAAGGATGACAGTTAACAACTGCTATGTGCCAGGCCTTGTTCTAACAGCTTTTCATATTTAGCCCACTTAACATATTTCTATTTTCATATGAGGAAACTGAGGCAGAGAGAGGCTAAGTAACATACCCAAGGTTTTCCAGCTAGAAAATGGCAGAGCCAGGACTCAAACCCAGGCAGTCTGGCTGCTGAGCCCTGGTTCTTAATTATGACATTAATGCTTATTCTGCCCAGTGAGGATAAAATGAGTGAAACATAAAATCAAACAGGATGTTTTGGTAGGGAGCAGTGTTTTTTCCCTCTGAAAAATGAAAAATTAGGTTATTGTGATTTTGTAATTTACAGCAGTGAATATGATGTGAAAAATAAGTTATCCATATAATAATTTATGTCAGGAGTCATGCAGCAGAAAGATTTCTGTCCATCACATAAACTTTCATCCATTACATAACCCATATGTTTCTGTACCATTAAGACACTTGGTTCAACAAGACCCTTGGAGAATGAGGTTCCTTTTGTTCCCTGGGGTTCTCTTTTTATTTTATTTTTGGATTAATATTTGATAGTAAAGCCAAGGATTTGGGACAGGAAACTTAGATGACATCTAGTTCAAACTCCTTGATTTACATATGAAAAAATTGAGACAGAGGGAAATGAAGATTTCCCCATATCATATAACTGGCTAAAGGGAGCTATGTAGGTAAAACCAAGATGTCCTGATATTCTAGTCTACCAGAAAGTGTTCTTTTTTTCTACCCAACTTATTCCTGATTTAAAGGCTAGTATACGTGTGCTGATCTCCCCTCAGTGGGAGGGGCATGGACGTTGGGAGTAGTCTCTATTCACAACAAATTAAAAATCAGTAATCAGCCGTATAATGGGTTGTGTTAGAAAGTAAACTAAGGCCCAATAAAATATTTAAGAGTTTATTTGAGCAGTGATCCATGAATTGGGCAGCTCCAAGCCAGAAGTGGCTAGGGAGCTCCCCAGAGAGAACATGAGGAGGAGGCTTTTTAGGACAAATAGATAAAAGCAAAGATAATATTTCATTGGTTACAGTTATACAGTTACACAGTTATACAGTTGCCTTATTTGGTCTATCCCATGAGGAAGTCCTAGTTACTAATTACGTTTTTGTTGGCTGCTTCTGATTGGTTGAGCTTAAGTTCTGTGTTTCTTTAACATAGGCATTTACAAGAAATACCACAAATAAAGTTTCAGACATGCTTGCAAATCAAGCAAGGTTAAGGTCACTTAGGAGGCCCAACTGGCTCTGTCTGCTCAAGGATTCTTCTGGCCTCGTCTCCATTTTACATGAACTGTTGCATAAATAAACACAGAGTACCTGAAACAACGGAGGTGATCATTCTGCCTACCGAGTGTTGGCCACGCCAAGCTTGGAGTGTTGCTCTTATTCTTAGGGAGTTTATTTTTAAGTAATCTCATCTGTAAATGGGATTACAATCCACAAACTGACCTTGTATATGATTCCATTCCTTCTCCCAGCCCAGCCCCACACTCCAAGGTTTTCCCTTTGCTTATAAGGGGTAGTCACCCTTTTTTATTTCGACCTTCCAAACATTCTGGGAGTTTTCCTCCTTTAGGCCAACTACAGCGCAGAGGAGCGCTTTCTCCTGCTGGGTTTCTCCGACTGGCCTTCCCTGCAGCCGGTCCTCTTCGCCCTTGTCCTCCTGTGCTACCTCCTGACCTTGACGGGCAACTCGGCGCTGGTGCTGCTGGCGGTGCGCGACCCGCGCCTGCACACGCCCATGTACTACTTCCTCTGCCACCTGGCCTTGGTAGACGCGGGCTTCACTACTAGCGTGGTGCCGCCGCTGCTGGCCAACCTGCGCGGACCAGCGCTCTGGCTGCCGCGCAGCCACTGCACGGCCCAGCTGTGCGCATCGCTGGCTCTGGGTTCGGCCGAATGCGTCCTCCTGGCGGTGATGGCTCTGGACCGCGCGGCCGCAGTGTGCCGCCCGCTGCGCTATGCGGGGCTCGTCTCCCCGCGCCTATGTCGCACGCTGGCCAGCGCCTCCTGGCTAAGCGGCCTCACCAACTCGGTTGCGCAAACCGCGCTCCTGGCTGAGCGGCCGCTGTGCGCGCCCCGCCTGCTGGACCACTTCATCTGTGAGCTGCCGGCGTTGCTCAAGCTGGCCTGCGGAGGCGACGGAGACACTACCGAGAACCAGATGTTCGCCGCCCGCGTGGTCATCCTGCTGCTGCCGTTTGCCGTCATCCTGGCCTCCTACGGTGCCGTGGCCCGAGCTGTCTGTTGCATGCGGTTCAGCGGAGGCCGGAGGAGGGCGGTGGGCACGTGTGGGTCCCACCTGACAGCCGTCTGCCTGTTCTACGGCTCGGCCATCTACACCTACCTGCAGCCCGCGCAGCGCTACAACCAGGCACGGGGCAAGTTCGTATCGCTCTTCTACACCGTGGTCACACCTGCTCTCAACCCGCTCATCTACACCCTCAGGAATAAGAAAGTGAAGGGGGCAGCGAGGAGGCTGCTGCGGAGTCTGGGGAGAGGCCAGGCTGGGCAGTGAGTAGTTGGGGAGGGGAGAAAGTATTAAGCCAGAACCCAAGGATGGAAATACCCCTTAGTGAGTCAGTTTAGACTTCAGGCTGTTCATTTTTGTATGATAATCTGCAAGATTTGTCCTAAGGAGTCCAATGGGGGATATGTTTTCCTCCCGTGAGGAAATGTTTAGTTCTTGAGGGAAAAATCCCTAAATCCTCTATATACTCAGGTTTAGGGAAGGAAAACCTACCCCTCACAACTCCACGCGCAGGGAAAATGATGGACGTGACGCTCGCCTTTAGCTTCCTCCCTATCTGATGGAAGACCATGGAAGACCTCTTGGTCTCTGCAATCAGAAGTCTCAAGTTGACAAGAAAATCATAGTCCCTACCCTGCAGGAGAGGGTACATCCAGAAAAAGCGACCATGGACTCTATTCTCAGAAATCAGTCCAACTTAGTGCAGACCTGGCCAGATGACCAGTGCCCTCCCCGGGGCATTTCACCCATAAATGTGATGAGGAAAGCCCATAAATGGTGGTGAATTTTGCTGAGTGGGGTTAAGACTGGAAACCCCCCTGCAGGAGTTGGTTCTTGAGCAAGTTTTAAAGAAACAAGGAACTAGGATGAGTGTGGAAGAAGGCGGGCACGTCTCAGCCCGTGAAAAAAACTCACAGGTGATCAGTAGTGAGTCATGAGAGAGAGAGCAAGAGAGAGAGTCAGAGAGAGGAGTAAATGGAGGGAGGAAGATGGAGGAAGGGACTCAAGTTCTCAAGACAGGAACAGGGATCTCCTCGTGAAAAAAAGAAGAGAGGAAAATGCTCAATCAGCAGAACCTGAGCAGAATATTGAGGTCAACCCAGAAGCCAGCTCCTCACCCACCCTCACCCAGACTGGCGCCCTCATCCTGGAGAAGACCTGCTAGACCCTAAGGCAGGTAGGAGAGAGGGTGGTCCACAGTCCCCCAGCTTTAGAAAGTTTGTTCGCTCCCAATGTCCATCTACCCCTAGGAATCCCCACTAGTTAAACAGAATTGCTAGATCCCTGTGGAAAATACCTTTCCTTGCCCACCATCATCCCCAGAAATAATAACTATTTTAGTTGGGTGTGAGACATAGAGAATAAAAGGGGGCATGGTGCCAGACTTCATTTCATACAAATAGCTTTAAAGGAGAAGAGGGGGGAAGGAGTTTAATTTAGTTTCTAAAATGTTTAGTAATTTGATTGTGATCATGTCAGAGCAACTAATTCATTTTATAAAATATCATTTCACTATGCTCTATAAGTAGAAATTCAATTTGGTTCAACCATTATTGAGTGATATAAATAAAGCACTGGACTTAACAAAGACAGAAATACAGAAATCAGTAGAACATGGATCCCAACCTAAAACTTACTCTCTTGTCATAAAGGAAAGGAGATAGGAGTTTTTGCATAAATAACAAGGTATCAAGACAGAATTAAATTCCAAGCTGGCTTTGAATGCTCTATTTTGCCTTAAAAATTTATTTACTAGTCTCAGTAATACATTAGTAAAAATCATGTCACTTAATTAATTGTGTTAGAATCAAAGAAACATAGAGTTGGGCAATATACTTCATCCTACCCATCCCACCCAAATCTTACTCTACTCATCTCATTCTCATTAATTTTGGGAAATCATCAGAAGATGTGTTCGTTGAGTAAGAGATTAAAAGAAATAAGCTTTTTGACCCCTGCCAACACCCCATCCCCAGGGTGGTCACCCTCCAATACAATAAGATGCCAGGAAGAGTAAGTTGCCCTTTCTGATGCCGTAATCTGCCATCATCTTCCCATCTTCCAGTCTCTTTCCATTGCAAGTCACAATCTGGGTCTCAGGGATTATACCCGTCTTAGTCTCGATCATTGCTTTCACTTGTGCCACTGAGCTGGACCTTCGCACCTGGAGGAGGTGCCTCTTTGCCTCATCACCTGACTCCACAAGAAACAAGGGCAGCTCCTCATCACTGGGCTTCACCACTTTCAGGGTAAGGTGGATGGTCTTCTCTTTGTCAGTGCCATAAGATGAGAGGCTTCTCCGTGGCTTTAAGATCTTGGAGCCCAGCAAAAGAACCTGGTCCTGCACAGGAACCTTGGTCTTAGACCGGACATGTTCTTTGATTTTTTTCACGCTGTCATATGGGTTGGCATCAAAGGTCATTAAATCCCATTCCTCGGAACGGACATGCACCTGGGAAGTGAAAGCCACAAGACAGTTACCTAGGATGCCTTCCTCCTTTACACTTCTACTCCCCACCACAATGGCTCCCCCTCTTCCACTATCTATCTGGTCCTCTAGCTCCTATTCAGTAGCCAGTGTCCCTCTCTTTCTTGGAACTTCTTTTTTGGAATTACCAAGTTACAACACAAATAAGATAATTTGTCCCATTCCTTTATAATCACACCTTTTTTTCGATCTTGAGAATGGAAAATAAAATCCTGAGCCCCCAACCAACTGAACGGACGCTCTTTTGCTCAGGGGGACCCTAGAGAAACTTTAAAAACTTAGTCATTGGGCCAAGGGTGGTGGCTTACACCTGTAATCCCAGAACTTTGGGAAGCTGAGGCAGGCTGATCAATTGATGCTGGGAGTTCGAGACCAGCCTGGTGAACTTGGTGAAACTCTGTCTCTACTAAAAATACAAAAATTAGCCAGGCGTGGTGGCAAGTCCCTGTAATCCCAGCTACTCAGGAGGCTGAGGCAGGAGAATCATTTGAATCCAGGAGGCAGAGGTTGCAGTGAGTGGAGATGGCACTACTGCACTCCAGCCAGGGCAACAGAGTGAGACTCTGTCTCAAAAATATAAATAAATAAAACATTCAGTCATGATGGAACAGGAGGTTGGATATGCCTCATTGTATCTTCTCCCTTTTGCAGTTTAGACACAACTGACCAGCAAAGTTAGAGATTATAAGACTGAGAGAATGGATTCTTTGTGGCAATAAGATAGCAAATTATAAACAAGACCGAGGGCTATAACAGGCAAAAGTTAAGTCATGCATCCCTTACACTTAAAGAATAAACTATGTTCTGCCACAAAGTTTTTTCTTTTTTCTCTAGCAGCTAAACAAGCACTGGCCTTGACAGGAACAATATTAAAACAATTACAGCTCACCCTGTGTTGGGGAACACAGGCTAACTGACCCCGTGTTCCACAAGCCATAACTACAGTTTTAATTGGACAAAAGACTGATTTCAGTAATTTTCTCCTGATAAGAGACCACTGACCATGGACTGGTTCTGGCTAGTTTACAGAAGCTGTGCATTTGAATGCCTTTGTGTCCCTGCTTCACCTTTTCATGTATAAGGCCTAACTGTAATGCAATTAAATGTTAAGTCTCCACTTCAGAGTGACCATGGGTGGTATGTAACATGCAAGCTTATTCAATATGCATGCATTAGGACCCCCTCCATGAATATTCATTGCCTCTGCTATAACCTATTGGATATGTATACTTAGCAAACCCCTTCAGCATAAATTCCTGTGTCACCTTTCCTCCTGCAAAGTGCTTGCTTTTGGTTTTCAATCAGAAGCAAAACTTCCCAGCCTGTCAGAATGGCTACCTTGCAGACTATAACCTTTCATAAGAAATAAACTCCCCTTCTAAATTTATGAATTGTGTGATTTTTTTTTAGTTGACAATCTTTACATTTCGTTTTTCTGTGCATTTCAATGGATGTAAAAAACATACCTTTATCCATCTCAAAATGTAATTAGTGATTTTCCACCTTATTTACCTGCCTCTCCTATCCAGATAAAGTTTGTCAAATGTCAACAAGTAAATACGAGGCTTCAAAAGATGTACATCAGACTCTAAAAACAACTCTCAAAGAGAATTTCCAAAATATGACAGCCTCATGAAGATACTCATAGCCATAGGATACCCTCTGTCAATACTTCAGAAGGAAATCCTGGGTAGGACACATAATCACTGAACTGTTAGTTTCTTTTCAAATATCCCACTGCTTTATAATAATAACTCACATACTACCGTGACACTATGTTCAGTGTTTCTTGTTAATTTATATTTCTTGTGTTTTTATTTCTATCTAATGAGAGACAGGACTAGCTGGATTTCCTAGGCCGACTAAGAATCCCTAAGCCTAGCTGGGGAGGTGACTGCATCCACCTTTAAACACGGGGCTTGCAACTTAGCTCACACCTGACCAATCAGGTAGTAAAGAGAGCTCACTAAAATGCTAATTAGGCAAAAACAGGAGGTAAAGATATAGCCAATCATCTATTGCCTGAGATCACAGCGGGAGGGACAATGATCGGGATATAAACACAGGCATTCGAGCCAGCAACGCTACCCTCTTTGGGTCCCCTCCCTTTGTATGGGAGCTCTGTCTTCACTCTACTAAATCTTGCAACTGCACTCTTCTGGTCTATGTTTCTTACGGCTCGAGGTGAGCTTTCGCTTGCCATCCACCACTGCCGTTTGCCACCGTCGCAGACCCGCGGCTGACTTCCATCCCTCGGATCTGGCAGGGTGTCCGCTGTGCTTCTGAACCAGTGAGGCGCCCATTGCCGCTCCTGATTGGGCTAAAGGCGTACCATTGTTCTGCACGGCTAAGTGCCCAGGTTCTTCCTAATCGAGCTGAACACTAGTCACTGGGTCCACGGTTCTCTTCCGTGACCCATGGCTTCTAATAGAGCTGTAACAACCACCACATGACCCAAGATTCCATTCCTTGGAATCCATGAGGCCAAGAACCCCAGGTCAGAGAACACGAGGCTTGCCACCATCTTGGAAGCGGCCTGCGGCCATTTTGGAAGCAGCCCACCACCATCTTGAGAGCTCTGGGAGCAAAGACCCCCTGGTAACACTAATATAGAATGTGATCTCCTTTGATAAGACTAGGGCCTCACTCACAGAAGGTAGGGACTATATCTAAGTCTTACTTCAATAGCTGGAAAATCCTAAAAGATGGGAAAACTCACCCCTAATGGCCACTTGAAAGCCTGAGAAGACCTCCCTCATACTCCATTCAGAAATATTCTCCCAATCTAGATATTGCAGACATTTCTTCACTGGAAGATCTGTGTTAAGCATTGCCTTAATTCCAGGTTCTCTCCATAGTGCATATTTTCTTATATAATGTAATGTGTTAGATCATTAACAACTTCAGATGAATGAGTTTTGTGAAGCTCTCCTTTGAGAGGAGAGGGAAGATTAAGTTTAAGAACCTTAAAAAATGTTACCATAATTTCAAATCTCACCAGCCCTGTGGAACACAAAGCTCACCCCCACTTTTTCTTCTACCATTTATCCCTAAGAGTAGCTAGTCCAATGTTTTATTTAAAAAAGAACACAGAAGCCAGATAACCAGCTTCTCTTCAGACAATCCCTCTTCCCATTCTGCAAATGTCAATGCCAGCCTCTTCTCCTGAAGGATGCCTGCCCAGCCCCCCAGAGCCCTGAGTACTGCCCAGCCCCCGTTTCTAAGATCTCTCCCCAACTCTTGAAAGTGCTTTTCCTTTCCCCATCCCCTTTATCAAATCCCAACTTACACAGAGGCAGGAAGCATTGGGAGCCATCTCTGCAGACAAGGGGCCAGAAACCAGAGACAGAAAAAGGACTTTGCATGCAGCTTATATACCAGAGTTGAGTTGGAAATCCCCTGCCTGGATTGCTGTGTTTGTCCAGCTTTGCTGTGCTCTTTGTTCTTGCATGCTCCCATGAATTTTCTTTCACTTTTGCTGGGCAGGAGTTAATAGACAAAGAATGCTTTCTGATCACATACTTCTCTCCTCAAGCAATCTATTTGCAAACCTCATTCCAAACATGGGATGGTCTTTCTGTGTTGAAAACTTTTCCCTTTTCTCAGGAAAGATCTTTGTCTGTTGAAGCCACCTGGATCTATACCCACAGCCCAAACCTAAGCTGCAGATCTCTATGTCTAGCTGTGTCTGTGTCTATGGGAATTCTCGTTCCTTGAATTCCCGGCATATCCTTGAACACCCCAATCTCTCTGCCATCTCCACGCCACTGAGCATGCCTTTTCCTCCAACTCTATCCCCACCACCATGAATTTATAAGAACACACGGTGTAAACAGTATCTTCGTCAAAAAGCCTTCCCTAACTCTTTTCCTCCCCATCCTGGGTTATGTGTCCATCTTCTATCCTCTACACTTCCTTCAAATGCCTCTCAGAGCATGTTTCTTCAACAATAGCATCGTCTGCTTGTCTGTAATCTTTAGAAAAGAGTAGGAATCTTGGGGGTCGTGATTGTGTCTTAATTAACTTGTATCTTTAGCACTGTTCCAGCATGCTGTCAGGCACAGGAAATAATTTATAAATGTTTACTAAATGCACAAATGAATTAATAAATGAATGAAAAGTAAGTAAATAACAAAAAAAGGAAAAGTAATATTTAGTGAGTACTTAAATTTCAAGAACTGCACAACATATTATTAAATGTTACCTTATTTACTGTTTCAGCATTTTAATGAAGTAAGTACAGGTGCTCCTTCACTTATGATGGGGTTACATCCCTGTAAACCCATTGTACACTGAAAATATCCAAAATCAGAAATGCATTTAATACACCTAACCCACCAAACATCATAGCTTAACCTAACCTGCCTTAAACATGCTCAGAACACTTACATTAGCATACAGTTGGACAAAATTATCTAACAAAAAGTGTATTTACTACTGAAGTGTGAAATATCTCATTTAAGTTATTAAATACTGTACTGAAAGTGAAAAGCAGATGATTTTATGGGAACTTGAAGTAGGTTTCTACTGAGTATGTATTGCTTTGGTATCACTATTAAATAAAAAATCATAAATGGAATCATTGTAAGGAACCACCTCTATTAGTATCCCCGTTAATAAGTAAGAAGCTACCTCATCCACAATCATATTAGTAGTAGCTGGTAAGCAAGGGTTCAAACACTAATCTGTATTTCTATAGTCCTTGTATTCTTCCTATATTATTATGTTATTTCAGTGGGAAAAGGCAGGG
Source organism: Homo sapiens (assembly GCF_000001405.40). NCBI lineage: Eukaryota > Metazoa > Chordata > Mammalia > Primates > Hominidae > Homo > Homo sapiens. The sequence goes on from NT_167248.2 coordinate 826,636, forward strand.
AGAAAAGTGCTACTGGAGTTGGGTATTTCCAGCATGGGGTTACTGTGAGGGCAAATCTAATATACTCTCAGAAAAAACTAATTCAGGGGATTCCCTACCCAGAGATGACCTGGATTCTGGGAAATAGTGCCCTTTCAAGAAAACATATGAACAACAAACCTGGACTCTGACCTCTCTCTCTCTCTTTACTCTTCCCTTCCTATGGGAAATTCCCTCCCTGCCCAAAGCCAGGGCCAGGACTGTCCCAGACACCTTGGTGCCCCTTTGCTGACCACAGGCAGGACTTCATCTTGGGACCTGACCTCCTTGCTTCTTACCCAGTGTCAATCTGACTTTTTTCTGTCTCTCTCTATGTCACAATAAGTTCTTTCAGAGACAGATCTCTTTTCATTTGCTGTTTTAGTCTCTTTTGCATACTATAAAGGAATACTTGAGGCTGGGTAATTTATAAGGAAAAAAAGTTTAATTGATTCATAGTTCCTCCAACTATACAAGAAGTATGGCACCAGCATCTGCTTCTGGTGAGGCCTCAAGAAGCTTTTACTCATGGTGGAAGGTGAAGGAGAGCAGGCGTGTCACATGGCAAGAGAGGGAGGTAAGAGACAGTGGGAAAAATGCCAGGCTCTTTTAAACAACCAGCTCTCTTGTGAGCTAATGGAGTGAGAACTCATTTATTACAATGATGACAGCCCCAGGCCATTCATGAGGGATCTGCCACCACAACCCAAACATCTCCCAGTGGGCCCATTTCCAACACTGGGGGTCACATTTCAACATGAGATCTGGAGAGTACAAACATCCAAACTACATCATTTACCCCTCTGACAAATTCAGAAAACCAGCTAAAGTGTCAGAGGTGTTTGAACCAGAGCAACTCCATCTTGAATAGGGGCTGGATAAAATAAGGCTGACATCTACTAGGCTGCATTCCCAGGAAGTTAGGCATTCTAAGTCACAGGATGAGAGAGGAGATCAGCACAAAGTACAGGTTATAAAGACCTTGCAAATAAAAGGAAGCAGTAAAGAAGCCAGCCAAAACCCACCAAAACCAAGATGGCAACGAAAGTGACTTCTGGTCATTCTCACTGCTCATTATATGCTAAATAAAACATTAACATGCTAAAAAATATTCCCACCAGGGCCATGGCAGTTTACAGATGCCATGGCAATGTCCAGAAGTTACTCTATATGGTCTAAAAAGAGGAGGAACCCTCAGTTCCAGGAATTTCCCACTTCTTTCCTGGAAAACTTGTGAATAAGCCACCCCTTGTTTAGTATATAATCAAGAAATAACCATAAAAATAGTCAACCAGCAGCCCTCAGGGCTGCTCTGCCTATAAAGTAGCCATTCTTTTTTTCCTTTACTTTCTTAATACGCTTGCTTTCAGTTTACTCTATGGATTCACCCTGAATTCTTTCTTGTGCAAGATCCAATAACGCTCTCTTGGGGGCTGGATCAGGATCCCTTTCCAGTAACAAAAGTAAAAAGATGATGGTATGAAGATCTTGCCAAGTTATAAAACAATTGTGGCGGTTATCTACGAGTGTCCCAATGTGGCCCTGGCTGACGGGATGCTCTTGGGCCTGTCACTGCCCCCATTGAAGCCTACTTGAAGCCTACTTGGAACAGATGTCTCTTTCTAGTCTCTTTAATAACGTCCATGAAAGAGTTTCTAAACTGCTTTGAGATCTAGAATATTGCTTCAAAAATGCCAGCCAAACTCAGTCAGAAAGCTAGTGTGAATTCTCATTTATTGGTGATTGGGAAAAAAGTCTACACTCAAAGAAGAACAGTTTGAAAATACCTACCAAAATTTAACATGGACATACCAAACCAAGACAACCAAATGCCTATCAGTATTAGGGAAATAGGTAACCAAATTGTAGAATATCATAAGCAGCATAAATAGAAGGATCATACCTGCAAACAACGATACAGATGAATGTGCTAGAACCTATTGAGTGAAAAAAGTGTTAGAAACAAATGCTTATTCCACGGTGCCGCAAAGAAATAGCACTCAGACATAAATTCAATTTTCTCAGCAAGGAATTTTTACTTCTATAGAAGGGTGTGACTCGCGGATGGAGTAATGGCAAGAGCATACCTGGACAAGGGAGGGGAAGGAGTTCTTATTCCTGAGGCAGGTAGCCCCTACTGCTGTGTCGTTCCCCTATTGGCTAGGTTTGGACCACACAATCTAAGCTAATTCCGATTGGCTATTTTAAAGAGAGCAGGGGTATGAGCCAGAGCGGCAGGGTGGGTAGTTTGGTGGGAAGGGTGGTTACAGAACAGGTGACTCAGGATGATTCAAATCAAAGCAGGTGGCCGAGGGTGACTCCGGATGGAGCAGGTGACCAGGGGAACAGATATGAACCACTGATTAGAACTGACAGGAAAGTTGTTTACTGAAACTAGAGGCAAGAGGGTGAAGAGAACCCGGAAGCTCAACTTTCAAATGGAGAATCAAAGAATAAGAGAGATGAATATGCTGACATACTGATTCTTTGAAGAGAATCTTGGAGTTCACTATATCTAACAAAAGCAAGATGAGTAAGACTACATAAAGTATGATACTCTCCATAAATCTCAAAAGCAAGCAAAACTACATAGTGAGACAGAGAAAAAGAGGAACTACTTGAAATTCAGGATATGTCTGCTTTTTAACAAAAATGAAGCCCAATCTAAATTTTGATATAAGCTACTTGAAGGAGATTTTCAACAGGAAGTAAGAGGGCATTAGAAGCCCTGATATTATTTCATCTTGCCATATTCAGAATCTGAAGTTTAACCAAGAGAACTTAATGTTTGTTAAAGCAATTTATTACTTGAGAGACATACCGTATATTCACTTTATTAAAGGTAAAGTAATAATATCTAAAACAAATGTTCCAAAGAAAACTAAACATAAGCAAAACTGAATATAGTATCTAGAACTACATATGTAAGCAATAAGGCTCTTATAAAAATGTAAAAACCATGAGTGTTCATTATGCTACTATTATGTTTTATAGTGTTACATTATATTATTCTATATGGGTTACATTTATTTATCTGTAGTATCAAAGATTATAATAAAAATATAATTTAAAATTTTTCATGTTCATATCCTCTAGCTCAGCAATTCTGCTTCTAGGAACTTATCCTATTAGTACTCTTTTGGTTTTTTTTTAAGGAGTATCACTCTTGCCTCCCAGCCTGGAATGCAATGGCGCGATCTCGGCTCACTGCAACCTCCGCCTCCTGGGTTCAAGCGATTCTCCTCCCTCAGCCTTCTGAGCAGCTGGGATTGCAGTCATGTGCCACCATGCCTGGCTATTATTTATTTATTTATTTATTTATTTATTATTTTTATTTTTAGTAGAGATGGGGTTTCAGCATGCTGGCCAGGCTGGTCTCGAACTCCTGACCTCAGGTGATCCACCTGCCTCCGCCTCCCAAAGTGCTGGCATTACAGGTATGAGCCACCATGCCTGGCCCTATTAGTACACTTATATATGTGTGAAATAAGCCATGTACAAGAATATTCATGTGAAATAATTATTTGCAACTGAAATAAATGGGAACAACACTTATCAATAGACAACTAAATAAGTGCTGGTGTATACAGTTGAATTAAATTTAAAAGCCAAGTTGCAAAATATATGTATAATATTTTGTTATTTAGAAAGGAAGAAAATATACACATATGCTAAAATGTGCATACAACATCTCTGTGAGGAGACACTGACTCTGCAAGTTGCCTGAGGAGCAGGAATGAGAGGTGGACTATTCATTATATGTCTTATCTTATTATTGTTGCTATTTTTTAGTTTTGCAACTGTGCATGTTTTACACATTCAGATAGGCAGATAGTATGGGAAGGGATAGTATATTTTTTATGTAGTCATCAGCTCAGAATGGAGCTGGCTATAAGCTATGCACCAATGGGAACCAGTTTCAGTGCTCATCACTAGTTGACAGGCAAAGGGCCATGAAAAGTTGGTGGCTATAGTAGGTTAACTATTGTGATTCTGTGCCTTCCCTACTCCCCAAAATTTATTTTCCACTAATCTTTTACATACTGCAAAATTTAGAAACATTGATAATATAGCCCATAATATATCTGAAAGCAAAGAAATTTATAATTAGCTAAAATCAGAGACCAAACCTAATGAAAAAAAAAAAGTAATTCTGAGACAATTGCTGAGCCTGGTACATGGGACTGATGTCAATGTGCAAAAATTGTCCAACCTGACAAAGCAACTGGAATAACTAATGCAGTCATAAGTGCAGGATGATGTGTTGACCAATGGCGCATTTCCACTTTGTAGCAGTCAGGCCATCTTGGAGTGAATCCAGGCTCTGCCTCCTACTTCTCATGCAAGTTATTTGGTACTTTCTTTTGTCAGCTGGGGATTTCGGATTTCACTTAGGATTAGGCTCTGCTACCATTAACAGACATCTGAAAATAATGTGCCTTTAACTAAAACCCCAAAAGGACCAGATCTTAGAAGTCAAAATGACAACCAAGGCTTAAGGAGTTCACCCTAGAACCAAGAAAAAACTGCAATGATCCATTCCAGCAAAATGTAAAGCCAGTTTTTCAGAAGTTCAAAGTGATAAGTGGGTAATATATCTGCTTATTAAACAAGATTCAATACGCTTCAGAGAAAGATAATAGAATACAAAATAGATAAAGGTAATAGAATACGGAATCTCTGTAACATATTACTCACATCATCAAGTGTAAAACAGGAAATCACCAATCATGTGAAGAAACAGAAATATTAGACAAACAGTTTTAAATCCTCAATAAAAACAAACCCAAACGCCACCGAAATGTTAGAATTATCAGATGGAGACTTTAAAATCACTATAGTATTTTAAAGAATCCACAGGGAAAGATTTATACAATGGGTAAAGAAATGATGAATTTTAGGAGACAGATGTAGAAACTGCCATTTTAAAAAGCCAAACAGAAATGCTGGAACTGAAAAATACAATATCGTTGACCCTTGAACAACAAGGGTTTGAACTGCATGGGTCCATTGAATGTAGATTTTTTTCAGTAAATATACTGGAAAATTTTGTACCTTTGTGACAATTTGAAAAAACTCGCAAACTTCATAGCTTAGAAACATCAAAATAATTAAGAAACAATTAGACATATCATAAATGCATAAAACATACGTAGATACTAGCATACTTTATCATTTACTATAAAATATACACAAATCTATTATAAAAAGTTAAAATTTATTAAAACTCACACACAAATACTTATAAACAATCATAAAATACAGTATTAAATCATAACTGCGTAAAATTAGTCATAGTACATTCTGTCTTACTATAATAATTATGTAGCCACCTCCTGTTACTATTGGGTGAGCTCAAGTGTTGGGAGTATGGGATTAAAATGTCATGTAATACTAATCATTCCCACGTAAGCAGTTCGTCTTCTCTTTAGGAAAAAGTGATGTCTCACGGTTCTTGCGGTTGTCCTGTTTTTGTTTTGTTTGTTTGTTTATTACAGAGTTTTGCTCTGTCGTCCAGGCTGGAGTGCAGTGGCACGATCTCAGCTCACTGCAACCTCTGCCTCCCGGGTTCAAGTGATTATCCTGCCTCAGCCTCCCAAGTAGCTGGGATTAGAGGCATGCACCACCACGCCTGGCTAATTTTTGTATTTTTAGTAGAAACGTTCTTTGGTTCAAGACGGCCAGGCTGGTCTTGAACTCCTGACCTCAAGTGATCCACCCCCCTCGGCCTCCCAAAGTGCTGGGATTACAGGTGTGCCACCGCGCCCAGGATCTTGTGTATTTTTAATTGTGTTTAGTGCAATTCCATAAAGCCTGAATAACACCACGAGACCCATATAGTGATGCTGGAAGTTTTCCCTGGAGACAGAGAAAAGCCATAACATTACAGGAAAAAGTTGAATTGCTTGATATGTGCTATAGATTGAGGTCTGCTGCTGCAGTTTCCTGCCATTTCTGACTGATGTTTCATCTCTTAACAGATGACACAAACTTACATAATTGATAAATACGGTATTGTACTGTCAGTGTATTTTCTCTTCCTTATAATTTTCTTAATAACATTTTCTTTTCTCTGGCTCATGTTATTGTAAGAATACAGTATATAATACATACAACATACAAAATATGTGTCAGTCAACTGTATATATGATCAGTAAGGCTTCTGGTTAACAGTAGTTTATTAGTAGTTAAGGTTTAGGGGAGTCAAAAGTTATTCATGGATTTCCAAATGTATGAGGGGGTCAGCACCTCTAACCCACGCATTGTTCAAGGGTCAGCTGTATACGACTTTCTGGTAAAAAGAACCAGGAGTCCTTGGAGAGATGGTTGATCCCAGACAGAGGAAAGAGAACATACAAGATAACCCTGGAATACTGTATGATGCCAGAAACTAAAGAAGTCATTAAAAAAAAAAATGAGGACACATCAAAAAACTCACAGTAATCACGTTAAAGGATTTCCCCATAGCCAAGTCTGGGAAAATGTAAACAGCAAAGTAAATAATGAGAATAATGAAGAAAGAATAAAATAAACATCCAGGAGTCATTACTGGATATGAATAAAGAAAATAAACAGTAAACGAATAGGAGGAGAGGGACAGCTCTTACAAAATTCAAAATAACAAACATAGGAGAAATGATGAAAGTTATCATTAGGCAAACAGCCCAATAGTAATTGTTACAGTCAAAACTCATTTGTGGATGCTAAAATTAGTAGGCAAAACTATAATGAGAAAAAGATACTTGCATAATCTCAAAGTATTACCATAAATACTTATTATGTTACTTATATTATTATAAGATATGACTACAGTTTTAATAAGACAACACAGTTAAAAAAATGAAAAATAATTTGAATAAAAGACACGTAAGGACCAATAAAGCACATGATAAGATGTTTAACACCATTAACCATCACAGAGCAAATTGAAACGACTTGAGGGAGCACTTCACAGCCGATAGAATGCCTAAAACCAAGAGACTGACAATTCCAAGTATTACCAAGGATGTGGAACATCTGGAACTCTCATCGCTGTAGGGAGTGTAAATGGCACAATCACTCTGGAAAGCAGTTTAGCAGTTTCTTATAAAGATAAACAGACAGCAAATGACTCAGAAATTCCAATTCTAGGTATTTACCCAAAATAAAGAACACATGTGTTCACACAAAGAACGAAGAACCATATACAACACAACTAACTGTTCTCTCCTTCTTCTTCTTCTTCTTCTTCTTCCTCTTCCTCTTCCTCTTCCTCTTCCTCTTCTTCTTCTTCTTCTTCTTCTTCTTCTTCTTCTTCTTCTTCTTCTTCTTCTTCTTCTTCTTCTTCTTCTTTTTTTCGGACCCAGGCTGTTGTGCAGTGGCATGATCATGGCTCACTGCAGCCTCAACTTCCTGGGCTCAAGTGATCCTCCCACCTCAGCCCCCCAAGTAGCTGAGACTACAGGATGCACCACGATGCCCGGCCAATATTTTGTATTATTTTGTAGAGACAGGGTTATATCATGTTTCCCAGGCTGGTCTCAAACTCCTGGGCTCAAGTATCCTCCCACCTTGGCCTCCCAAAGTTCTGGGATTACAGGTGTGAGCCACCATACCCAACAATTGTGGCTTCTTTCATAGCAGCCCAAAACTAGAAACAACCCAAATGCCCATCAATGCATGAATGGATAAACTGTGGTATATTTATACAGTGAAATACTATTAGCAATAAAAAGGAGCAAATTACTAATATATGAAACACTATGAATGAATTTCCATAACAAGCCAGATAACAGAAGCCAGAAATAAGGCATGAAGCTAGGCATGGTGGCTCATGCCTGTAATTCTAGCATTTTGGGAGTCCAAGGTGGGTGAATCACTTGAGCCCAAGAATTCGAGACCAGTCTGGGCAACACAGCGAGACCCTGTCTCTACAAAAAGTACAAAACTTAGCCGCGTGTGGTGGCCTGCACCTGTAATCCCAGCTACTTGGGGGGTTGAGTCCAGGAGGTTGAGGCTGCAGTGAACTGTGATCACACCACTGCACTCTAGCCTGGGTGACAAAGTAACACCTTGTCTCAAAAAACATAAAAAAAGTAAATTTCATTGAAGTACAAATTACGGGTAATAAAATGCACACATTTTAAGTATATTGTTCAATAAGTTTTGACAAGTGCATACACTTGGATAACCAATACCCCATTCAAGATATAGAGCATGCATTTTCATTATTCTAGAAAGTTATCCTATGCCCTGTCCCAGACAACCAATCATCTGATTTCTATCTTGCTAGATTTGCTTTTCCTGTTGTAGGAAAGTTATGTCAATGAAATCAGGTGGTATGAATGTATGAATGCTTGCTTGCTTGCTTTTTTTTTTTTTTTTTTTTTGAGACAGGGTCTCACTCTGTCACCCAGGCTGGAGTGCAGTAGTGCAGTGGTGCAATCACGGCTCCCTACAGCCTTGACCTCCTAAGTATATTGAACAATATACTTAAAATGTGTGCATTTTATTACATGTAAATTCTATCTTAAAGAAGTTTATTTTATTTTATGTTTTTTTGAGACAAGGTCTGACTCTGTCACCCAGGCTAGAGTGCAGTGGCATGATCACAGCTCACTGCAGCCTCAATCTCCTAGGCGCAGGTTATCTTCCCAGCTCAGCCCCCCAAGGAGCTGGGACTACAGATGAAGGCCACCACACCCGGCTAAGTTTTTGTACTTTTCGTAGAGACAAGGTCTTGCTATGTTGCCCAGACTGGTCTCGAACTCCTGGGCTCAGGTGATCCATTCCTCTTGGCCTCTTAAAGTGCTGGGATTACAGATGTGAGCCACCATGCCCAGACTGAAGTTGATTTTAAAAGCAGAAATGAGCTACTGATACTTGAAACAACATGAATAAATTGCAAAATAATTACTCCTAGTGAAATAATTCTTACTCAAAGGAGTATATATTATTCCATTTGTATGAAGTCCTAGAAGAGGCAAAACTAAGTATCAAGGAAAGAGGCAAGTGGAAGGTTTGTAGGATGATGGAAATCTTCTGTTTCTTCATTGAAGTCATCAAAATTCATCAAAGCGTATATTTCAAATCTGTGCATTTTATTGCATGTAAATTATATCCAAATGTCTACCAGTAGAGAAGAAACAAGAAATAACGAAGTCTTACATGGGTTCAAATGAGACTTGAGAGAAAAGAATGGGACACACTCAGGAGAGGTGGCAATGAGAAAACATGACCTTGTGCTCCTCAATGACACAGAGGAGCAGAAGTGACCTTTTTACTTACCACAGGGAGCACCAATGCTGGCACGTTTCCTCTGAATCATCTCCTTCTTTCTTAATCATCATTAGCACCAGTGGCTAATTAATTGTCTGTGAACTGTGACGCTCTGGAGTCTTGGGAGAATTAACAAGCCATTTCTCTCCATGGGATGGGAGTCCCGGGATCCCTCCCTCCATCACTTCACCACGTTTTCTTCTCTATCTCCACTACCATTAAAAGACAGGTTAACTTACTAGGTTGAAGAGGAGAGGTTGTGGGCAAAGAGCAACCTTCAGCCTTACAGGTCCAGAAGAAGGATGGTGGTGGGGTATAGTTTGTGCCTGACTCTAGAGCCAACCCACCTGGGTTCAAGTCTCAGCTCTGGCTATATAATTCTGAGCTAATTATTTAACCTATGTTTTAGTTTCTTCATCTGAAAATAAATATAGAATATAGAAATATTATCCAGGTCATACAGAGGTTGTGAAGTGCTTTGAAAGGTGTGGCAGCAGCATTAGAAGTCAACATTACTACCTGAGCCCTAATCCACCACCCTTTCAAAGGTGCCCAACACTCCTGACTTTGCTTGTAGATTTCATTGTGAGGATTAACTAGAGGCTCACTCAGTCTAGAAGCTCGTTGTCAGGGAGAAGCTCCGGCAGCAGGCAATGGGGAGATTGTGACATGATTGAGGAAAAGTTATAAGTTTATTCTTCTCCTACTGTCCATTAATGTCCACATATCGTCAATGGTAGAGCTACCCCAGGAGCACCAGATTTGGAATCAAACAGGACTCAGACTCCAGGCCTGGTCTTCATCGGCTATGTAACCTTGGGCAAGCTACTTAACCTCTCTGCGACCATTTCTTCTTCTGTAAAAGGAAGATGATATTAACTACCTCAAAGAGTTATGAGAACCAGGTATTCAGGAAATGTTTAGCATGGTGCCTGGTGTATAGGAAGCACACAACAGATGGTAGCTGCCAAAGTATTAACGTGGTTTTCACTAATGAATTGGAGAAAAGAATTGATATTTCATTCCCTTGTAGCACCTAGTACACAACTAGGTCTTTGGTGATTAATAAAGAAATAAATACATCCGTGAATATGAAATTAATAGGAAGAGAGTAAAGTTGTACTGGACTTTTGTGGGTGTCCAAGAAAAATTAAAAAGACCAGAAGAAAGAGAGTGAGAACAAATACACGTTGTGAAACACAGAACAAGAGAGAACAGAAAGAGAGTCAAAGAACTATGTAAATTGAAGAGACTGAAAAATGACATAGAGTGAAGCAATGAATTACCAAGAGTATAAGAGTGTAAGAGAGGGATGCAGAAAGTGTATTAGAATGATGGTTGACAGATAAATAAGGAGGAGTTGGCTATTTTTTACCAACACAAAGGGTGTAATGTTATAAGACAATATAGGAATGATTTTGTAAAAGTAATAATTGAAATAGTCATTGCGTCTTCAGGAGTAGGTAGTAGGTATGATTAGGGAAGGGCACGCAGAAGGCTTTTAAGATTTAAACAATCTTTTGTTAAAATATTCAACAATATTTTAAAGGAAAAATTTTTCTCAGAGTAAAAAGAATATAGGAGGAAGGAAACGAAAAAAGAGACAAATATAAACAGGTTGAACAAATAAAAAGATGAGATGGGGCTTTTAAACACACAAAAAAGAGACACTGCAATGGGTAGATGCTGCCAACCTATAGCCTCTCCAGCCACCTCCCCATCAACTTGCCCAGTTCCTGCCTCTCAACTGCCAGAGTGGCTGCCACCGTCCACCCATATCTGAGTTGGCCCTGTGTGCTGAAACTCTCTTCACCTTCTCAAAAACACAGTCCCCTCCTCCAGGAAGCATTCCCTGATTCACTCAACCACCCTACTCATTTTCTTTACAGATCTATCTCTCACCTCTAGCCCCCTACCCCAATATTTTTGCCTTATTTGCCTGCAATGTTTCAAGTTTTCTGCTGATGTTGAATGTACTACCCAGGGTTTTTCAAAGCCATGAGACTACTCTTTCTTCCAGCCCATAAGCTCCTCCGCCTTGAATGACCACATTGTTCAATAATTTGAAGTAGACTCCTTACTTCAGTGACTTAGGATAGGCTACTAAAGAGGATAAAGTCAGACCTGACATCTAAGTACAATATGTGACTCTCAACTGGATCCTACGTGGAAAAAAAAAAATCCTACAAAGAACATTATTGGGACATAGAGAAAATAAGAATATGGACTGTGTGTTACATAACAATACTGTATCAATTTTAAGTTTATTGAATTTAATTGCTGTACAGTGTTAATTAAGATCATCTTGTTGTAGAATATGAATACTAAGACAATAAGGAGAAAGAGGCATGATGTCCACAAGTTATTCCCAAGTGACTCAGAGTAAAAATGAAAATACATAAACATATTGAGTATAATGATAGTGAAAATGAGTAAAAATACTAAAAATTGATGAATTTGATAAAGGTTATATAGAAGTTCTTGGAACTACACTTGCAACTTTTCTGTAAGTTTCAACTTATTTCAAAATCAAAGGTTTTTAATTGCATGTGAATAAAATTAACCGAGCATTTTCAAAAGCAAAATTCTACTTACATGTCCCAAACTCAACATGGTATGTTTTTACTACTATATTTTATCTTACATGAAAAGGAGAGGATATTGAAATCTATTTCAGCTTTCTAACACCAAACATCAATTCTTCAGGATTTTTTTGCAGTTACAGAACCAGAAAATAATCTTTCTGACTGACATTATATTTTTTCTTATTTTTACATATTACACATAATGGAAAATTTAGGCAGGACATTTCATTTGCAGGAGAAATGTTTGTTCTTAGTTTAATAAGTCATAATTTTTTTTGAAAGACCTAAATCACCTGACTGATCTTTCTAGCAGTTGAGTCATTTCACATACAGAAGAAATCTCCACAGTCCACATTTCTATCACTGGTCAAATCTCTTGCAAAAGTGTAAAGTAGATAGAATGTGAATGATTTGAGAAAATTTATGCCCACCACTAGAAAACATGATGAATTCTCTAGTAATGTTTACAATTAGGAAACTCACTGAACACACATTTCTTTGTATTTCCTTCCACACATAACAAAGGGAAAATTCAGTAGTAGCATAGCGATCAGAACATAATAGGTACTTAATAAATTTTTGCAAAATTAATAAAAACTAACTAGTTAGCTGATCTATGCTTCACATCAGACGTTTTGCATTCAACCAGGAAGTCAGAGGCACCAGTGTGAGGCTCAATCCGTTGTTGAGCACATTAATGGTTTCCTCACTCCCACTAGACAATGTTTGATCAGAAGGAACAGGGGATGAGAAGGAGCTGCTTGATGGTGATGAGACTGGGAAAGGAACGCTGGGCGAGCAGAGACAAAAGAGAAACACTCACCTACTGGGACCTCACAAACACCCAGGCTGAGTTTTAATAAGACAGGTTGAATCACACTGGGGTGACAGCCTCATCCTTCCAGATACAGAGAGGAACAGGCCATGGTTAACCAAAGCTCCGCACCAGGCTTTCTCCTTCTGGGCTTCTCTGAACACCCAGCACTGGAAAGGACTCTCTTTGTAGTTGTCTTCACTTCCTACCTCCTAACCCCGGTGGACTCATCATCCTGCTGTCTGTGCTGGACCCCAGGCTCCACTCTCCAATGTACTTTTTCCTCTCCAACCTCTCCTTCTTGGACCTCTGTTTCACCATAAGTTGTGTCCCCGGGATGCTGGTCAACCTCTGGGAGCCAAAGAAGACCATCATCTTACTGGGCTGCTCTGTCCAGTTCTTCATCTTCCTGTCCCTGGGGACCACTGAGTGCATCCTCCTGACGGTGATGGCCTTTGACCGCTACATGGCTATCTTCAAGCCCCTGCGCCATGCCACCATCGTCCACCTCTGCCTGTGCTGGCAGCTGGCATCTGTGGCCTGGGTCATTGGGCTGGTAGAGTCAGTGGTCCAGACACCATCCACCCTGCGCCTGCCTTTCTGCCCCCATCAGCAGGTGGATGATTTTGTCTGTGAGGTCCCAGCTCTAATTCGACTCTCCTGTGAAGACACCTCCTACAATGAGATCCAGATGGCTGTTGCCAGTGTCTTCATCTTGGCTGTGCCTCAGCCTCATCCTTGTCTCTTATGGAGCCATTGCCTGGGCAGTGCTAAGGACTAACTGCAAAAGGGCAGAGGAAAGCTTTTGGGACCTGCTCCTCCCATCTCACTGTGGTCACCCTCTTCTACAGCTCAGTCATTGCTGTCTACCTCCAGCCCAAAAATCCCTATGCCCAAGAGAGGGGCAAGTTCTTTGGTCTCTTCTATGCAGTGGGCACTCCTTCACTTAACCCTCTCATATACACCCTGAGGAACAAGGAGGTAACCAGGGCATTCAGGAGATTGCTGGCGAAGGAAATGGGGCTCATACAAAGTTGAGGGAGAGCTGTTTAATGTGCTTTCTAAATTAAGAAGAAATTATTTATCCTTTTGTGAACAAGTTTGAGCTCCCAAGTATACTACCTTTCATACACCCATCACAGTGTTTACAATGGGTCACAGTATATGAGTGTGTGTGAGAGAGAGAAAGAGACAGAGAAAGACTAAGAGTCAGGTAAGAGGAGGTAGGTATCTTTAATTAACATCTAAAGCTCAAAAAGATTATCATACCTGCCCATTTTTAATATTTAATTTCTATATTTTTATTTTCTTTTCAATTTGGTTTTTAACTCTCTTCTCCCCTACAGGTTCTCCAAATGCACCATGCCTATTTCTGGTTATGTAACCCCTCTCCGATTGTTACATTATCATCATCATTTTACCATCACTTGTGATTCTTTTTTTTTTTTTTTTTTTTTTTTGAGATGGAGTCTCACTCTGTCGCCCAGGCTGGAGTGCAGTGGTGCGATCTTGGCTCCCTGCAACCTCCGCCTCCTGGGTTCAAGTGATTCTTCTGCCCCAGCTTCCTGAGTAGCTGGGACTACAGGCACATGCCACCATGCCCAGCTAATTTTTTATTTTTAGTAGAGACGGGGTTTCACCATGTTGGCCAGGCTGGTCTCGAACTCCTGACCTCAGGTGATCCACCCGCCTCGGCCTCCCAAAGTGCTGGGATTATAGGAGTGAGCCACATCACCCAGCCACTTCTGATTCTGACAATGTCTTCTTTCCTTTGTCATCAGGATGGTTCATCTCCACTTGCTTGAGGTGGACTGACAGGAAGCTGACACTCAGAGAATTTAGTAATTTCACCCAAGAACACACAGCAATTTGTTAGACCTAAATTGAGATGCATATCTGTTAACTTACCAAGTGCATGCTGTTGGTTTTACACCATTATAAATATACCAACATCATTAGGATTTATACCCAAATGGGTTATCAGGCAGAAAACTCTATTTTTCCAGTCCTAGTAAGTTTTCTGATCATCCAGCTTTCCAGGGATCACAACACTAATCTCCTGCCAAATCCTGAAAATGTGCTCCCATTCCTGGAGATGATTTTCCTTTACCTCTTCTCAACCTCTGCATGACAGTGACCATGAGGAGTTGTGAGTCTGCTCTTCAGTGGCTACACAGTGCTAACAGCTGTCCTGCATCCATTTTCTAGTGCAGTTCTGAAATTCTGACCAACCTCTACTAGCCAGGCACAAACATGAAATCCAATTGTAAGTAATAAAGTGCTGCAATGGAGCCTGGATGGAGCAAGGGCCTCAGAAAAAAGGGAGCAGCAGTGTAAGCCCCAACTTCTATGAAATCTTATTTCCTTTTTCAAGTTGATCTACATTCATTACATTCTCAAAGCCTCACATGAATGGAATGGAGAGTGTGATGGAAAAATCTGTTTAGAACTGAACCATTCTCTCCTCTTTCCTGTCAGGAAAGAGGTTATGCTGTGATAACAATACCAATCCTCAGTGACTTGAAACAGCATAGGTTTATTTCTTGCTGCTGCTGCATGCCCATTGTCATCCAACCAGAGGTTCTGCCTTGTCATCTTCACCCAAAGATGTGGACTGACAGAACACCCACCATCTCAAACACTCCTAGGTGCTGGGAAAGGAGGAAATAATAAGCATGACAAATGGCAAACTAGCACTTAGTTTCCAATCGGAAGTGGCATAACACTTTGACTCATTGGTCATTTGCCAAAGCAAATCTCATGGCTACATATAACTTCAAGGTGAGGGGAAATAAACCAATCATGTGGCAGGAAAGGGAACCAGAAATATTTGGTGGATGATATGAATGACTACTAACTGGCTCTTTGCCTCCAGTCTTGACCGATTGAAATTGATTATCCATGTTGAACCAGAGTAATCATTCCAAAATACAAATTTGAATATGTTACTCCCTTAGCCAAAAATAATATATAGAATCCCCCTGCAATAAAATGTGGAGCCCAAACTCCTAGATCGGGTTCCTGTTTTCCAGACTTTACCATCCCCACCTCCTAAGGCTCAACCACCTAGAATCCTGCAAGTTCACACAACTACCTGCAAGTGCAAGTGTATGAACCACACCAGGCTCTCTGCCACCTTTAGCCTTTGAACGTGCTCCTCCCTCTCTTTGGAAGACTCTCCCCTCCAGCTCCTCTCTACCACCAACAAAAAGCACTTCCCATGAAGTAACAGGATCTTTTTAATTGTCTGCCTCTCAAAGTACACAGTAAGGAAAGTGAGGGTCAGGGTTTTGGCTCACTTATCCTTATACTCTTAGTGCCTGGCATAGTATCTGGCACAGTAGGTATGTAATGAATATTTATTACAGTCACCCCTCAGTATCCCCAGGGAATTAGTTCCAGGACACCCCTCAGATACCAAAATCTGCAGATGCTGAAGTCCCAAAGTTGACCTTGCAGAACTCACAAATACAAAAAGTCGGTTCTCACATCCATGAGTTTAGCATCCTGAGAATATTGTATTTTCAATTCATGTTTGCTTGTGGATGCAGAACCTGTGGGAATGGAGGATAGACTATATTTACAGAAAGAAATCCTAGGGCCTGCGTCCTCACGAAAGCATTGGCCTCCAGCGTGGGCTAACAGCAGAGCAGGGCGGAGCTGGCCCATGGTTGCAGACCTCTGTGCCAGCCTCCCCTAGACAAGAGCGCCGTGTCGAGGAGAAGAAATCGGCTCAAGCTCTGGGCCCATGATGCCTGCTCCTTCCAAAGACTGTGGCAGATTACGCCAACTGGGATCCGGCGGTCGCAAGGTCTAGAGGAGTCAAGAAAGCCATCACCAACGTCGTTCAGCAGGAAGTAAAATCCCTTTGTGTCTTGGAAGCCTCCCAGGTTCCTGCAGAAGAAGCTGTTTCTGGAGCTAGTGAGCCCTATGACATCATCGACAGCAGTAACTTGAAGAAGAGCAGACATGGAAGAGAAATCTGCTTTTCACTTTATATTTTTGCCTGTCTTTTAAATGTTACAGCTGTGTGTGCTTTACATATTCAAAATAAATTGTGTGTATGTGTGTGTGTGTGTGTAAATTTTAAGCAGTTAATAGGTTCAAGGCAGAAGTGGCTACAAGTTTATGCCCCAGTAAGAATCAGTTCCAGTGCTCTTCATTAATTGCCAGGCAAAATAGCCATAGTAATGTAGTAACTAGAATAAAATTTAAATTAGGTTAGTTATAAACACCCTATCCATTATCGACTCCCAAAGCTGCTTCATCCATGAATATTTAATATGCCACAAAACTATCAGAGATTGCTAATATATCCCATAATATAATATGAAACCAAAAGATTTTTCAAAAAGCTAAACTTGGGAGAGACTCATAGCAAAATGACATGTAATTCTGAGGTCATCACTGAGTATGGTACTTGAGTCTATCGCCACATGTGAAA
Source organism: Homo sapiens (assembly GCF_000001405.40). Taxonomy (NCBI): domain Eukaryota; kingdom Metazoa; phylum Chordata; class Mammalia; order Primates; family Hominidae; genus Homo; species Homo sapiens. The sequence goes on from NT_167248.2 coordinate 843,755, forward strand.
AGCATCTGAATATAATCCAAAAAGCTATTGCAGTCATGGGCTGCAGAATAATGCGGTGGCCAAGAGGCTGTAATATTGTGATATAATAAGATATACATATTTGGCCTTTGATCCCAGTTCCTGGCACAGAGTTCCTAAGGCCCTTGTAATTCCCTGAGCAATAGGGGTGCTAGGAGAGTCTTTTGTTCTAATATTTGGTCTTTGACCAAATATGTCAGTTCCTAACATTGAGCTCTAATCCCTTGGAATTTCCTGGGTAACAGGAGCATCTTTTGTTCTAATGAGGTGACCCCTTGGGGGACCCCTGAATGGGGACTCTGACTAGAAGGACCAAGCCATGATTAGAAGTTTGAAACTTTCAGCTCTACCCTCATCTTCCAGAAAATCGAGAGTGGCTAGACATTGAGTTAATAATCAACTATATCTATTTGATGAAGCCTCCACAAAAATCCCTGAACTACAGAGCTCCGAGAACTTCCAGGCTGGTGCACACACAGAAATGCTGAGAGGGCAGCATGCCCCAGAAGCTCTGTAACCCTTCCCACACACCTTTTCCTGTACATCTCTTCTATTTTGTTGTTCATTTGTATCCTTTGGAATATCCTCTATAATAAACTGGTAAATTGAACTAAAGAGCTTTCATGTATTCTGTGAACTGCTCTAATAAATCATCAAACCCAAGGAGGGGATTGTGGGAACCCCCAGTAGGGTTCCCAGTAGGTCAGAAGTTCCAGAAGCTTGGACTTGTGATTGGCATCTGAAGTGGGGAGCAGCCTTATGGGATCCTTTAACCTGTGGGATCTCACTGTATCTCCAGGTGAATAATGTCAGAAGTGAATTGAATTGAATTATAGGACACCAAGTTGGTGTCCACTGAAGAATGTATTGGTCAGTCTGGAAGAAAAACCAACATGTTGGCCGGGCGTGGTGGCTCAGCCCTGTAATCCCAGCACTTTGGGAGGCTGAGGCGGGCGGATCACAAGGTCAGGAGATCAAGACCATCCTGGCTAACAAGGTGAAACCCCGTCTCTACTAAAAATACAAAAAATCAGCCAGGCATGGTGGCAGATGCCTGTAGTCCCAGCTACTCGGGAGGCTGAGGCAGGAGAATGGCATGAACCCAGGAGGCAGAGCTTGCAGTGAGCCGAGATCGCGCTACTGCACTCCAACCTGGGCAACAGAGCAAGACTTCCATCTCAAAAAATAATAAAATAAAACAAAACAAAATAAAATAAAATAAAAACGAACATGTTTTGGTGACTAGAAGTGTTGAATGTTGAGAATATAGTAGGAGAAAATGGTCAGTTTGGGGGTTTTCTACAAATACACAGAGCCCTTTCGCATTGCGCAGCATCCAATTTGAATCCTGGACCTGCAAACTCATGCCCAGGATATAGTGCCATATCAAGGGCAGCATTTGCATGTTTCTGGCAGGCCGGACGTTCAGTAGCTGCAGGAGTTAGATCAGTGTTGGTGAGTGAAAGCCATGCTGTTGAACACATACAGACCTGCATCCTGCCACCATAGTTACTGCCTTCATAAGTCCATTTTTACCAGCACTAGGGTGGCCTGTGGAGAAGACTGCTTAGTGTGAACTGGCCTATAGTCACTGTTTACTTGGTTTAGAAGAGGTTTAGAGCCTCTTCTATTGTGGATGCTTTCTAGTGGGCATTAGCATGTAACACAAAGATATTCACAATTTTCCCAATTTCATAAATAAAAAGATTTCCCATTTTCATAAACCTATCCAAGTGCCTCTTCCTCAAATTTCATTGTTCTTCATCTTCTAAACCTCCTCCTTCCAAGCACTTGACCAACCAACCAAGCCATTTGCCACTGCCCATGTATTCACAAATATTCTTCCATTAGGCCATTATTCTTTCTACACAAAATAGATAATCAGGTGCACTACTCAAAGCTTTGCCCATTGGGAAGATTTACAATTTCTACTGTCTTCCAGAACTACTCTTGAGTGTGGCTATAATGCAGCAGCAGTCCATTTTCAGCTCACACCAATGTGTTGAGCAGATACATCCATGAACCAAGGTCATCTTATTTTTCCTCCATTAGCCAATCATAAAGTACCCCTCCCCCCCCATGACAGATTAAAGATGGCTGCAAACTATCGGACAATCATCCCATCAGGAGGGCTATCTATTTCCCCTCCCCTTGAATCTGTGCTAGTCTATGACTGTTTTGACAAAAACAGCGTGGCAGAAGTGACACCATGCCAGCTCTGGGGCCAGCCTGTAAGAGAACTGGCTGTTCCTCCTTGCTATCCTGGAGTCCCGAATTTCCAAGTAAAAAGTCTATCATGCTGGGCAGACCATGTAGAAAGGCCCTGAGATAGCATGAAGACAGAGAAAATGAGCCCAAACTTACAGTGAACCCACCAAGGTGCCAGGCATGTGAGTGAAGCTGTCTCGGACCCTCTAGAGCAGTCCATCTGCCAGCTGAATACTTCCAAGGGATCCCAGCTGATGCAACATGGAATATAAGGAAACCCAGCCAATTTCGTTCCAAATTCTTGGCCCACAACATGTGAGATACAATAAGGTTTGTGTTCATTTAAGCCATTAAATTTGGGGAGACTTTGTTATGCAGCAATAAATAACTAGAACACTCCCATGAGCCACTGGTATGAGCAAGTTGGGAAGTACCAAGGCCACAGCGTGGAGGACATGGGAATCTGGGCCCCCCACTTCAGCACCTTGCATTTACCCTCCAGTTCTGCCCATGACTGATGCAGGATATACGACTTCTCTCTTACAACTGATGATGTTGCAACCACTAGACCTCATCACTTGATTGATTTGACAGGACCCAGCTCATGATGGACAGTTGTAGCCTAATAGCCATTTGATGTCTCATGATCAGGAGCTCTGTCTCTAGTAAGGCCCAAGAGCAAGCTAGGACTTGTTTCCTAATGGGGTTTACTTTCCTGCAGCAGACAGCATAGATTTGATGAAGAACCCCAGGGATCTATGTTGTGATTTTCCTTTCAAGGCTTGCCCAAAATGCCACACTGTATCTTTTCCCACCACTGATACCTTTAGTGCCCCAGAGTCTATTGAGTCACATGACCAAAGCACTACCACACGGCTGATATGACAGCTTAGAACAGCTGCGGACCCCAGGTCTGCTCTGGGCTTCAGTCAGTCGCTAGTAAACTGTTCCATGTGGTATTCCCATGAGTGTGGAATATGTTTCCTCTAGATCCTAAATAGGACAACCAAGCATTCTCTACCCTGGAGAAGAGGAAGGAGAAGACCAAGATTCACTGCTGGAAGAAGAAAACAGCCTATGAGGCTACAGAAACAGGCAGAAAAGAACGTGGAGAAGAAAACTGACAAATACACACAGTTCTCCTCAAGACCTATGGACTCCTGGTCTGAGCCTAATAAAGACTGTTTATTCCAAAAAACACCTCTGTATTATAAATTCTTCTGTGTAATAGTGTGTTACTGTGCATCTCTTTCCAATTCTGCATTACTGGTGTTAAGTGTGAAATGCAATAATGTGTTCTTACTTTAGAGGGATGTCCTGGCACAAAGTCTAAAAACTTCAAAGATGTGGAGGATGCTGAATCTTCACAGGGTGTATTTCCCACTCTCTGGAGTGCATTTGTCTTACCAGTGCCGCCAATATGCTTGCCCTCATGGCTCATTCTGTTTGGTTAATAAGATATTGTTGATACAGTGGAACGATGTCATGTTTTGTGGAATGTCCAGAAGGTCCACGTCCAGTGGTGTGCTGCATGCAGCTAGCTCATACTGCCTCATGGAGCCAACTGTTAAATTTTCAGAAATTGTGCAAACCAGTTGTTAAACATGACTATTATTTTAAAATAAGTTATTTTAAGGCATAGGTAACAAATCCCTAAGCTCTTCATTTTCTAGGTATTTAACTATCTTATCATATTTTCCATACTCTTCTGGTTATTTATATCTGTTATGTCTATATAATAAAGATACTAAATAATGTTGTCTGTATAATAAAAATATTCTGGATTGGTGATGAGCAACAATCACCATCTTTCGTTTGAGTCTCATGGCCATGAGACCAACCCCATGCACTGCTCTGAGACCTGCCAGCCACTCCCATTCCTGGGGTGCGGTCCTCCTGGTTCAGAAGTGATTTTCCATTAGGCTATCTTTTAATTTAAACATGAACTCTGCTGTGCCCATCACTGTCTGTGTGCAGTCACAGGTAGAGGGAGAGCCTTCAGATGGCACCCTCAGCACTTCCCAACCCTTTCCTTCCCTCTAGGCCAGAAGGTGGTGGTCGTACAATGCGAGAGCATCAACATTTCTGGCAAGTTCTACAGAAACAAGTTGAAGTACCTGGGCTTTCTCCGCAAGCGGATGAACACCTTCTGGAGGCCCTGCCATTTCTCGGCCCTAGCCGCATCTTCTGGTGGATGGTGCAAGGCCCACTGCCCCACAAGACTCACCAAGGCCAGGCCGCCCTCAACCACCTCAAGGTGTCTGACGGCATTCCACCGCCCCATGACAAGAAAAAGCTTTGGTGGTTCCTGCTGCCCTCAAGCTTGTGTGTCTGAAGCCTACAAGAAAATTTGTCCGCCTGGACACCGAGCTTATGAAGTTAGCTGGAAGTACCAGGCAGTGACAGCCACCCTGAAGAAGAGGAAGGAGAAGGCCAAGATCCACTACCAGAAGAAGAAACAGCTTATGAGGCTACAGAAATAGGTGGAAAAGAACATGAAAAAGAAAACTGACAAATACACACAGGTCTCCTCAAGATCCATGGACTTCTGGTCTGAGCCTAATAAAGACTGTTTGTTTATTCCTCAAAAACAAACAAACAAAAAAAAACCCTCTGTATTATAAATTATTCTGTGTAATGGTGTGTTACCATACATTTCTCTACAACTCTGCATTTTCAGTAATCTCACATTGACAGTTTAAAATTGGCCATGGTGAGAATATTTACACTGCAGAAATCAGCAAATGATGTAAATCAAGGCTTTTTTGCCTGGACTTGCAGCACATCCATGTCCCATTGGACCCTATTATGACGGGAGAGTTTTAACATGGTACTGAAGCAAAAATGTAAATGTAAATGTACACTTATATCCATACCTGTAAATTCAAACTGCCTTTGGTCTTTCTTCCTGATAGTATTTGAAAAGAACACATTCAGCCAGGCACGGTGGCTCACGTCTGTAATCCCAGCATTTTGGGAGGCTGAGGCAGGCAGATCACGAGGTCAGGAGTTAAAGACCAGTCTGATCAATATGGTGAAACCCTGTCTCTACTAAAAATACAAAAATTAGCCAGGCGTGGTGGCATTTGCCTGTAGTCCCAGCTACTCAGGAGGCTGAGGCAGGAGAATCGCTCGAACCCGGGAGGGGGAGGTTGCAGTGAGCCAAGATCATGCCATTGCACTCCAGCCTGGGCAACAGTGAGATTCCATCTCAAAAAGAAAAGAAAAGAACACATTATTCACCAGATTAATAGCCATATAACATGGACCTGAAACCGTGCTAATCAGGCACAACAGCTGTAATTACAGCTATTTCTTGGTTGAGTTTGTGCTAGTCTGGTCATCTTTCAAGTTGCATCTGATATTTGTAGTGACCAGACTGGTGAATTAAATGTGAAATATGATAGAAACAAACCCCCGCACCCTTTAAAGGTGGCCTCAATCAGCCATTTCCCTTGAATTGTGATATTGTTCTTGATTCACTGTCTTTGCGGTAAGAGGTGTAGATTCAGGGCTTCCACTTCAATCTGTAGCTCGTACTCCACAGACTAAAGAACTATGTGGGGATTCTGCCAATGGCCAAGCATGTGCATTCCAGTTACAGATTTAGAGACTGCAGAAATGACTACTGGGTAGATCCATGGACCTAGTACATGCCATTTATTAGCTGATCTCATAGGCTCCCTTTCTAATGGAAGAGAAGCATAACGATTCAGTTATATGAAGATTGGCTAAATGTTCTAAGTACTCTCCAAACCCAGAGCTTTATAATTCTCTGTTACTACAGTGTGCTCCATCTCAGAATAACTAAATAGAAAAGGAGGAAGCTGAGAACTTTAAAAACTGAGGTCCTGAATAGATGAATCATAAGCCTGAGAGGACTATCAGGATGCCCGGGACTCACTGGAGGTGGGAGTAGAGACACTGTCCTTTTTCTTCCTGTTGACAGAAAGAAGCAATGAGTGACCTCTTTTACCTACCACAGTGATGACTATTGTTGGCATATTTCCTATAGATATTCCCCTGCCCCTTTTACCATAATTTGTGGCTAATGAATTGTCTGTGGGCTATGGACCCTAGAGTCTCAGCAGAATTAATGAGCTCTTTCCCTCCGTGGGATCCCTCTACCACCATACCATGTCAACATTTCTACCTCCAATGCCACTAAAACAGAGGCACACCTCTGCCTAGACTGAGGGGGAAAATTGTTGGCAAAGAACTCAATGGCAAAGAACTCGATGGCAAAGAACTCGATGGCAAAGAACTCAATGGCAAAGTTCTGACCTTGGCTTCATCCTCCCTGCAGAGATTTGGTGGGCTTTGGTTGGTGCAAACCCTCTACAGTTAGCAGATTTGGGTTCAAACATCAGCTCTGGTGCTTACTAACTATACTGCCTTGGGAAAGTTATTTATATTTCTTTGTTTCAACTTCTTCATATTGGAAGGAAGAGAATAATATGTAGAGTTGTGAAGGATAATCAGCAGTGTAGAGTAAATGTTTAATAAACAACTTGGTTGGTGGCAGATGGGGAGAGCCCTAATTTGTAGTGTTTGCCAATTTTCATAGTGTAAATATTCCTGCCATGGCTGTCTCAAGCCACTGATGGTTTAATAACTGTCTCACAAAATTCCTAAAAATTTACTAATCAAGAGATAATCTGAGCCAGCTCCAGCTCATCACACACATGTGTGCTTAGAAAAGTGCCAGATGGTCAGCATTAGCAATCCCTATTGTGACCAGAGATGCAGTTGCCCATTCAAGGATGCCCATTCCTTTTTATTTTTTTGTTTCTTCCTGATGTACAAGTGGAGGCTGGGCACCAGTTAAGAGCTCTGTCATGGGGAATTGCTGGTACCAGAAGAGATTTTTATTTGATTGAAGGTAAGCAGAACCTTTGCTCTTTGGCTGTGAGATATCAGTTTCCGCCTATCCTCAACACTGGAGGACCAGATTTGGAGTTAAACTTACTCTAAAATCCTAGTCCTAGCACTTATTGACTAGGTAACCTTCTACAAGTCTCTTGTCCCGTCTGTGACTGTTCACTTTTTGGTAAAATTGGGATAATTTTATCTCTTTGTAGGGTCACTGTGAGAACCAGATGTTCAGGGAGTTGTTTATCACCATGCTTTGATGGTAGCTACTAACAGCAAGGGTAGCTCATGGTCACTAGACTATCATAAACCCCTTTCAAAGGACCTCCCAACTCCTTCCCCAGCTCCTAACACAATGCTGGCACTTTGGGGCTCAAGAAATGAATAAATGCGTAGACCAATGCATGAATATTTCAGAAGGAAAAGGAGTAGGAGAAAAATAATGAGAGTGGAAAAGACAGAGAACAAAGAGGGAAAGGGAAACAGTCACTAAGAAAGGTGTAATCTAAAGAGATTCAGCGATATAGCAGAGAAAGGAAAGGAATGAAATGCCAAGATAATGACAAAGTTAGAAATGTAGAAAATTAATTAGGATGACACATGATGGATAAATAAGAAACAATTGGCTATTGTTTAAGGTTACATGCAAAGAATTTTATATTACAAAGAAAACAAAGGAGGGGGCGGCAGCCAATGAGCATGAGGTTTCTTTTGGGAGTAATGAAATATTCTGGAAGTAAATGGTGTTGGTTGCACAACTTGTGAATATACTTTAAACCACTAAATTACACACTTCAAAAGGGCGAATTTTATGGTACGTTAAATACATCTCAAAAAATGAAAGCGAAGGCATAATTAAAAATTTAGAGGCCAGGCACAGTGACTCATGCCTGTAATCCCAGCACTTTGGGAGGCCGAGGCAGGCAGATCACCTGAGGTCAGGAGTCTGAGACCAGCCTGGCCAACATGGCGAAACCCCGTCTCTACTAAAAATACAAAAATTAGCTAGGCATGGTCTTGAGTGCCTGTAATCCCCGCTACTTGGGAGGCTGAGGCAGGAGAATAGCTTGAGCCCAGGAGGTGGAAGTTGCAGTGAGCAGAGATCGTGCCATTGCACTCCAGCCTGGGCTATAAAACGTGACTCTAAAAAAAAAAAAAAAAAAAAAAAATTAGAATGGTGGTGACATCTTGAGGGGTGACAAATTGAGAAAATTGAGAGATCAGGGAGGGGCACACAGAAGCTTCTAAGATACTTGAAACATTTGCTCAGTTCCTTAACCTAGTTGTTTAAATATGTAACAATATTTTGAAAATTAAAAATATATTTTAAGTGAGAAAAGAATAATGGGAAAAACAGGAAGAAGACAGAGACAATGGCAGAGAGTCCTGGCAAAAAGGGAGATGTGATAGAGCTTAATACAAGATGGGGACCCTGTAAGAGGAAGACATTCCTGCCATCCTCTGAGCTCCATGGCACGTTTGTGGTGTGGCCCACCATCTCATCTCCTCCCCTCATGGCCTTCCTAAGGTCCTGTAAGACCCTGAGTCCTTGTCTCTGACCTGCCAGAGTGGCTTCAGTCTCCCACCCCCAGCCCTCAACTGACCTTCTATGCCCCAATACATCTCTATTTTAAGGAAAAAGTCCAGTCACCTCCTCTAGGAAGCTTTCCCTGATATACCCAACCAAATTGGTCAGTCATCCTACAGAACCTTTACTCTCATTCACCCAGTACATTGGTGTTACTGGCCTTTAAATTTTGGACTCTCTTTTTGGTGGTGTCTGAAAGACTACAAGATTTAGGGAGAGTGATTCTTGGAGTCTTTCGATAATGTTCCTGTGAACCCTGGTGATTTTAACATGCTTGTGGCCACTCTTGCCTCCTACTTGTAAGCTACTCATGGCAAGGACGAAGCATGTGGACCAATTTCCACCCCTCCCTGAAAGTCAGTTGGTTCAGAAACTTAGGTTGCTAAAAAGGCCAGGGCAACCAACCTGATCTCTCTATAAGTAGGGATATCTTAAAACAAAACAAAATCTCTCTCATAGATAAAACACTGTCTCTGATAAGCTTACTTGCAAATGAAAAAATACAAAATAAATGGAATGTACAGAGTTCTATAAAATTCATTCAACCAATAGAGCAATAATTGAGCCTACAGAGACAACTTATCAGAAAATTCATTCAATATACCTTACGAGATCATCCAATAGATAAGAGACAACTCTAGAACAGCATTCAGAACATAGTGGCACTCAATAAATTTCCCCTGAATGAATGAATTAATGAATTAGTGCATATTTTAATCAGCCTCCTTTGCCCTCACCCAGGAAGTCAGAGGCACCAGTGTGAGTATCCATCTGCTGTCCAGTACATTCATGGATTCCTCACTCTCACTAGACAATGTTTGACCAGGAAGAACAGGGAATGAGAAGGAGCTGCTGGATGGTGATGAGCCTTGGAAAGGGAGGCTGGGCGAGCAGAGACAGAAGAGAAACACCTACCTGCTGTGACCTCACAAACACCCAGGCTGAGTTTTGATAAGACAGGTTGAATCACACTGGGGTGACAGCCTCATCCCTCCAGGTACAAACAAGAACAGGCCATGGTTAACCAAAGCTCCACACCGGGCTTCCTCCTTCTGGGCTTCTCTGAACACCCAGGGCTGGAAAGGACTCTCTTCGTGGTTGTCCTCACTTCCTACCTCCTAACCCTAGTGGGCAACACACTCATCATCCTGCTGTCTGCGCTGGACCCCAAGCTCCACTCTCCAATGTACTTTTTCCTCTCCAACCTCTCCTTCTTGGACCTCTGTTTCACCACGAGTTGTGTTCCCCAAATGCTGGTCAACCTCTGGGGCCCAAAGAAGACCATCAGCTTCCTGGACTGCTCTGTCCAGATCTTCATCTTCCTGTCCCTGGGGACAACTGAGTGCATCCTCTTGACAGTGATGGCTTTTGATCGCTACGTGGCTGTCTGCCAGCCCCTCCACTATGCCACCATCATCCACCCCCGCCTGTGCTGGCAGCTGGCATCTGTGGCCTGGGTCATTGGGCTAGTGGAGTCAGTGGTCCAGACACCATCCACCCTGCACCTGCCCTTCTGCCCCGATCGGCAGGTGGATGATTTTGTCTGTGAGGTCCCAGCTCTAATTCGACTCTCCTGTGAAGACACCTCCTACAATGAGATCCAGGTGGCTGTTGCCAGTGTCTTCATCTTGGTTGTGCCTCTCAGCCTCATCCTTGTCTCTTACGGAGCCATTACCTGGGCAGTGCTGAGGATTAACTCTGCAAAAGGGCGGAGGAAAGCTTTTGGGACCTGCTCCTCCCATCTCACTGTGGTCACCCTCTTCTACAGCTCAGTCATTGCTGTCTACCTCCAGCCCAAAAATCCCTATGCCCAAGAGAGGGGCAAGTTCTTTGGTCTCTTCTATGCAGTGGGCACTCCTTCACTTAACCCTCTCATATACACCCTGAGGAACAAGGAGGTAACCAGGGCATTCAGGAGATTGCTGGGGAAGGAAATGGGGCTCACACAAAGCTGAGGGAGAGCTGCTTAATGTGCTTTAAAAGAGAGGAGATTCTATGTGCTTTTATCAGAAAGTTTGAGTTCCCTGCCCCTCTGCCTTCTTCACACCCATTACATTGTGGGAATGGATGAAAGCCACATGTCTGTGTGTGTGCATGTATGTGTGCAAGAGACAGCGACTGAAATGTAGTAAAGGGAGGTATCTTTATGCGAAAAATTATAGGCATCAAGTATATTTTATATTTTTTTCTACTTTAAGTCTTCGCCTCCATAGTCATGTTCCTACCTTTATCACTTCCATTTTTAATTCCCCTCCCTTGCCATATCCCCACTATTCCTTCACCTCCAATTCTAATTCCTACCATATCTTCTTTGCTTCTCCCTCATGTTTTTCCCACTTCACTATATGTCTGTTTTGTATTCTCATTCTATTTTATTCCTCAAATAACAGCAAAAGAGAAGGGGAAGCTGAAGCCCAGCTAAGTTCGGAAACTCACCCAAGAACACACAGTGTCCACAGCATCAGAACTAAAATCCAGGCCCCATAATTTTCAGTCAGGCAACTCTCAAATACACACTGTTGCTTTCACACCATAATCAAATATCCCAGTATTTCAGGCTTGAGCCTTACAAAGGAAACTTAGCTTCTTCAGTCCTATTTCTTCTCTTACAATGCCCACAAATCGCAGGTAAAGGAGCAGCCAAAAAGACACAAAAATATCTTCATGTTTAGGCTGGCACATTGTGGACCTTGGTGTCATCTACCGGCCAAATATGGTATTGCATGTGACATCCCAGACTTCTGCTCCAGGGTCATCCGAACTGTACTTTGCTCAAAGACATAGATATGGTTATGATACTATAAGCATTTATGTAATTGTTATGTTAACCCAAGTAACACTTAAAGTACAGATGCTCCTTGACTTATAATGATGTTACCTCCCAAAAAACCTATCATATACTGAAAATATTGTAAGTTGAATATGCATTTCATACACCTAACCTACCAAACATCATAGCTTAGCCTAGCCTACCTTAAACATACTCAGAACACTTACATTAGCCTACAGTTCAGCAAAATCCTCAATACAAAGTCTATTTTATAATAAAGTTTTGAATATCTCATGTAATTTACTGAATACTGTACTAAAAGTGAAAAAACAGAATGGTTATATTGGTACTCAAAGTACGGTTTCTACTGAATGTATCTCTTTTGCATTATTATAAAGTCAAAAAATGGTCAAAGTCAGGAACCCCCTGCAATTTACACATATTGACTTATTTAACCCTTATAACAACACTATGAAGCAGATAATATTATTATCCTTTTTCAGAGGTAAAAACTAAAACACAGAATTTATGTTACCACTTGCAAATGTGCAAGACAGGATTTGAACCCAGGAAAACTGGCTCCAGACTCCTTGCTCTTAACCTTGCCTTTTGGTAAAAATAATGCCTCCCAGGCCCAGGTGAAAAGCTTCAACTTCTCAACAAGCTTTGAGGAAATCATTTCAATCTAAAACTATATCTAAATGATCCCCCAGCCGAAGGGGTTTCACTTCCTTAAAATAAGAGTTTTTCAAATACTTCAAAGCATAAGAAACAACAGAACAATAAAACTTTTGGAAAAAGTTGTGTTACAGTTCATTGTGTGTGTGTTTCTGGCTTAGTTCACCCACTAGATTTCAGGCTCTCAGAAGGCAAGGACCAGAATTTTGCATAAAATTGGCACCCAGTTTTATAAATGTATAAGTGAATGAATGAATGAATGAATGAATCTTACTCTCCAAAGAGAATATATAAAAGGTTCTGGGGTTCCAATCCCACATACGCTGTCTCCCAGCTTTTCCCTGGCAAGGGCAGCAATACCAAATTCCCTTTTGAGTACACGCCGATAAAATAAGAAAAAGGAAAATCTTAGTTTTATTTCTAGTTCCAACATAAAATGATTTTGATTCAACATTTATCCTGGCATCAGCACAGAACAGCAACATTAATTCTATTATAATCCTAATCTTTATCCTAGCCATCCTTGTGTTAATCTTATTGTCTCCTTGACCTCGTTATTAGAGCATATTCTAATCTTAATGTAGAGCCCCCATTTTATATTTAATAATCCTAATCAGTCAGGCGCAGTGGCTCACACCTATAATCCCAGCACTTTAGGAGGCCAAGGCGGGCGGATCACGAGGTCAGGAGTTCGAGACCAGCCTGACCAACATGGTGAAACCCTGTCTCTACTAAAAATACAAAAAAAAAACTAGCCTGGCGTGGTGGCGTGCTCCTGTAATCCCAGCTACTTAGGAGGCTAAGGCAGGAGAACCTGGGAGGCGGAGGTTGCAGTGAGCCGAGATCATGCCACTGCACTCCAGCCAGGGCGACACAGTGAGACTCTATCTCAAATAATCATAATCATAATCATAATCTCAGCCCTACAGGTAAGGCTAAGCTTAATTCCACTTTTCAAATCACTGTAGTAAGACCTTTTTTTCATGACCCCCTCTATCTGCTTTCTCTTACTGGCACCTAGAAATGTCTACACTTTTCTCCTGTTTATCATCTCCCTACAGCCAGAGGCTATAATGTTTGTATATAGTAAAATCGTTTCTAGACTGACTCTAGGGGAAATGCAACAGAGAATTAAATAAAGCAGTCTAAAAGAATCTGCTTTGTTGAATAAATGGTTTAACATAGGACTTAGGACTAACATCTCTTATCCTAAATTCATTGTTTCCATGTGACAGTCATCTATTGGATACTCTGTGAGAAAATCCAATATAAAGTTACTCAGTCACAACCCCCACAATGTCCAGTGAAAATAGGGATGGTCAGGCACATAGTGCCAGCATACATGACAGTTACACAACTGAATTGGAGCAAATAAGAGTCTACAGGAATACAGAATTAAAGAATAATGTGTGTGAGTGCTTGGAGCGGCAGTGATCATGGAAGCCTCTTAGAGGTTTGAACCACAGAAGAGTAAACAAAATAAGAAGTATTTGCTGACTGTGTAGAAATGAGATGATGCAAAGACCCCCTTTTTAGGGGCTTGGGGACTCCTAAGCATGGAAATAAAGCAAAATCCTGTGTTTCTTCAAGGAAAATTCCAGGCACCTAGCTGGCTCTGAGAAATAAGTAGCAACTTGAAAAGCAACAAGGTAATAGCAGCCTAAGACAATAGCCAAGGAAGTTAAGCGTTCTGAATAGGTTTGCTTTCCTCATAGAAACTAAAGATAACCTCTTAACATATGTCTCTGCGTTGTCTCTCAGAAACTCGGAACCCCACCAAATGAATCTGCTGGCATAGACCTCAGAGGACAGGAAAATGACTGAACTTTATAACCATCATCCTTTGTTCTAAGTTTCTTCCTGAGGAGCTTGGAGAAAGTAACACCTTCTAGGCAGTTAACATTTTTCTACTGGACCCCAAATTTTTAAACAAAGGTTCTCTTCCTTAACTAATTGCAAATTTGGGGTTTTTTTGTTTTTGTTTGAGACAGGCTTTTGCTCTGTTACTTAGGCCAGAATGCAGTTGCAGTCGTAGCTCACTGCAGCTTAACCACCCAGGCTCAAGCAATTCTCCTGCCTCAGCCTCTAATTAAAAAAAATTTTGTGTGTGTAGATACAGAGTCTTGTTATGTTTCGCAGGCTGGTCTCAAACTCTTGGCCTTAAGGGATCCTCTCTCCTTGGCCTCCCAAAGTGCTGGGATTACAAGCATGACCCACACCTGGCCAGAAAAATCTTTGAATCTACCTATAACCTGTAAGTCCCTGATTCAAGATATCCCACCCTTTTAGATCAAAACCAATGTGGAGGCCGGGCACGGTGGCTCACAGCTGTAATCCCAGCCCTTTGGGAAGCAATGTGGGCGGATCATGAGGTCAGATCAAGACCATCCTGGCTAACACGGTGAAACCCCATCTCTACAAAAAATACAAAAAAAAAAATTAGCCAGGCGTGGTGGTGGGTGCCTATAGTCCTAGCTACTCGGGAGGCTGAGGCAGGAGAATGGCATGATCCTGGGAGGCAGAGCTTGCAGTGAGCCAAGATCACACAGCTGCACTCCAGCCTGGGCAACCGAGCAAGACTCCATCTCAAAAAAAAATGTGGAACCTCTATGCACTGATTTCCAATGTTCCTTGTAGCTTCTGCTTTTCTGAAATTTACCCCTGCCTTTTTTTGTTTCCTGTTTTTTGAGACAGGGTCTTGCCGTGTTGTCCAGGCTGGAGTGCAGTGGCATAATCATGGCTCAGTGCAGCCTCAACCTCCTGGATTCAAGGGATCCTCTCACCTCAGCCTTCTGAGTGGCTGGGAGTACAGGCATATGCCACCATATTTGGCTAATTTTTTTATTTCTTGTAGAGTTGGGGTCTCACTTTGTTGCCCAGGCTGTTCTTGAACTCCTAGGTTCAAGTGATCTTCCTGCCTCAGCCTCTCAAAGTGCTGGGATTACAGGTGTGAGCCACTGCACACTGCCTTACCCCTGCCTTTAAAAACCCATGTTACAATAGTTAGTCAGACACGAGCAGGGCAGGAAAGGGCCTCCTTCCCCACCAGGAATGTCAGGCAACCATCAGGTGATAGGCGGTTGTTAAGCTGTCTCTCTAAAATAATCATTGGTCACAGCCTGTGCCAGGGAAAAACAGTCTCCCAATAAATAGAAAAACCTGAAACTAAGATCTCAGGAGTTGGGCAAGTGGGCTCATGCATGGGCACTAAGGGAGAAATGACAGCATTTAACTGGTTTATAACCTTATAGGAACACTCCCTGGTAAGGGAAGAATGCCTCAAGTCAGCATGCATACTACTCCAGTAAACATACCGTGCATGCAGCCCCTCCCAAGCACTAGCAGGCCACTGTACATGCAGACAGCCCACCCCAAGGGAAGATTCAGGGGAGAAGGGACCCTGGAACCCTGCCAACATATAAAACCCTAAGTCAAGGTCAAAACCACGCACTTGATCTCTCAAGTTGCCTGCTTGGCCCCCTTCCAAGTTGGCTTTACTTTATTTTGTTCCTGCTGTAAAGCTTTTTAATAAACTTTTACTCCTGTTCTAAAATTTGCTTCGGTCTCTTACTCTGCTTTATGCCCCTCAGTCAGATTCTTTCTTCTGAGGAGGCAAAAATTGAGGTTGCTGCAGACCTGTACAGATTCGCAGCTGCTAACATATTTTCATGCCATGTAACTCTGATACATTCTGCCGCTAATACCCTTGCCTGCAAGACATCAGGGAGGCCAGGACTTGAGTGTTTAGCTGCCTGGTCCTCCCTGCGTAGTGTCCTGCAACAAATGCCTTTCTTTCTATTGGTGCAATCCTTGGTGTAAGTATCTGGTTTTATTGCACCAGGCAAGCAGACCCCAGTTTGGTTCTATAACAGAAAAGGCTAAAGACAAAAATAAGCATGTTGTGCATTAAGATAGGGAGATGTGGGGGAAGGAGTTACACCGAGGAGCAAAATGATTAAGCAGGAAGGTAGAGATTATTTCAGAAAGATACAGAAGCTACTGAATTGAATACAACCAGAAAAAAAAAAAAAAAAAAGGATCCCTTACAGATGTTTCAAACCTACATGATTTAGGTCTCCTGAGGGCAGGCACTTAACTATTCATTCTAACATGACATGTGAGTTGGAAGCCTTAAAGGAACATTATTCAAGAACCTCGTCTCTACTAAAAATATGAAGTCTCTAATAAAAATTAAAAAGTCTCTACTAAAAATACAAATAATAATAATAATAATAATAGCCAGGGCTGGTGGCAGGTGCCTGTAAACCCCTTGCTTGGGAAGCTGAGGTAGGAGAACCACTTGAACCCAGGAGGCGGAGGTTTCGGTGAACCGAGATCACGCCACTGCATTCCAGCCTGGGAGTTAGAGTGAGACTCCATCTCAAAAAAATAATAATAAAATAAAATAAACCTCAAACGTCTGAAGGGCTCACCGAATCATGAATAGATGCTTATGTGTAGGGCCCAGCCCTGTCTTATCCTTCTATCTCCCAGGGAAGGGGAAACCTTCTGGCTCCTCCTATGCAGAATTAATCGCTCACCCTTGAAGGGTACCAGTATATGCCACCTCAAACTATCTTTAGCATGTGGATTATTTTGAGCTAACAATTGAAAATCATCAGACTAGTGAATGCTGTAAAACAGGATACAAGTTTTCCTTTTGTAAATAAATTCACATCTGTAAAGGTACAACTCTTACTAATGGAGAAGACATCAGTTTAAATCTACATAACAAACCTTTTCTATCTGTAAAGGTACAACTCTACTAATGGAGAAGACAGTTTAAATCCACATAACAAACCTTACTAAACCACTTTGTTCCATATTTTCCTGGTCACTTTCCCATAACTTGCCTGCCCATCTACCACTCACCCAGAAGCCCCAAACTCCTTTTCCTTTACCTAGCCAAGATGTTATACAGTTGCTAAGAACAACACGATTTGAACTCCATGGATTCACTCACACATGATTTTTTTCAGTAAGTATATTGAAAATTTTTGGAGATTTGTGACAATTTGAAAAAACTCACAAACCACATAGCTTAGAAGCACTGGAAAAATTAATGGGCCAGGTGCTGTGGCACATGCCTGTAATCTCAGAACTTTGGGAGGCCAAGATGGATGCATTGCTTGAGCTCAGGAGTTGGAGACCAGCCTGGGTAACATGGGGAAACCCCATCTCTGCAAAAAAAAAAAAAATTAACTGGGCATGGTGGCACGCACCTGTAGTCCCAGTTACTAGGGAGGCTGAGGTGGGAGGAT
The DNA here is from genome assembly GCF_000001405.40 of Homo sapiens. Lineage (NCBI taxonomy): Eukaryota > Metazoa > Chordata > Mammalia > Primates > Hominidae > Homo > Homo sapiens. The sequence goes on from NT_167248.2 coordinate 861,150, forward strand.
CTCTTGAGCCCAGGTGGTTGAGGCTGCAGTGAGCTGTGATTGCACCACCTCACTCCAGCCTCAATTAAAAAAATAAATAGGGCTGGGCACGGTGGCTCACGCCTGTAATCCCAGCACTTTGGGAGGCCGAGGCAGGTGAATCACGAGGTCAGGCAATCGAGACCATCCTGGCTAACACGGTGAAACCCCGTCTCTACTTAAAAAATACAAAAAATTAGCCAGGCGTGGTGGCACACACCTGTGATCTCAGCTACTTGGGAGGCTGAGGCAGGAGAAACGCTTAAACTCAGGAGGCGGAGGTTGCAGTGAGCCGAGATGGTGCCACTGCACTCCAACCTGGGCGACAAAGACTCCATCTCAAATAAATAAATAAATAAATAAGAGAAAAGTATGTCATGTGTAAACCAAAAATAAAATTCTAAGCCCCCTAACTGACAGGAAGAAAGGTAAGACATGCCAATGATACCCTCCTTCCTCTGGAGTTTAGGGACAACTGACCAGCATTAACATTACAATAGAGATCATAAGACTGACAAAAGATTCTCTGTAGCAATAAAATAGTCAACTCCAACCTGACTCTGATACAGCATCACACCACAGATAGCAGGCCCTGAAGGAAATCAAAGTATTTTACCCCAAAATATACTTATTTGACATTTTGAAATGACTCTGCAAAGCCATTTCTTGTCATGGGGATTTGCATTTTGTAGAGAATCCCCTTCCCCTTCCAGGTCTTTTTCTGATCCAGGAGGGATTTTACTAATGAGTCTGACATCTTTTAAGGTGCGATAAGAAACATTTACCATCTATTCTTTCTGAGGCCTGGAAGCTTCATCTACGTAACAAGAATCTTTGCTTCCACAAACATCTCCCCCAACGCCACCTCCACGCCCCCTTAACTCAAGCATTTCTTTCTGCTGACTTCAACTCTTTAGGCAGGGCTTAACTTTTTCAACCAATTGGCAATCAGAAAATCTGAATCCCCCTATGACCTGTGAGCTCCCTTGCTTCGAGATGTCCCGCCTTTCTGAGCTGAACCAATATATACCTTACATGTATTGATTTATGTCTTTGTCAGCAACTTCTGGCTCCCTAAAATGTATGAAACCAAGCTGTAACCCAACCACCTTGGGCACATGTTCTCAGGAACTCCTCAGAATGGCTCAGAATAAACCTCTTCAAATATTTTACAAATTTTACTTTTTTCATCAACAAATAAATGTATAAAATATATGTAGATACTACCAAAAAATATACACAAATCTACTATAAAAACCAAAAATTTGGCCAGGCACTTAGGGAGGCTAGGTGGGCAGATTGCTTGAATCCAGGAGTTCATGACCAATCCGAGCAATATGGTAAAACCCCATCTCTACTAAAAATACAAAAAATTTGTCCGGCATGGTGGCATGTATCTGCAGTCCCAGCTACCCAGGAGGCTGAGGTAGGAGGATCACCTGAGCCTAGGAGGTTGAGGCTGAAGTGAGCCAAGATCACGCCACTGCACTCCAGCCTGGGCAACAGAGTGAGACCATGTCTCAAAAAATAAATAAAATTTATCAAAACTTACGCACACACTTACAGACCATACATAAGCCACTCAAAGTCAAGAGAAAGCTTAACAAAAGATGCAGAATTAAATCATAACGGCATAAAATTAACTGTAGTGTATACTGTTCTACTGTAATTTGATAGCCACCTCCTCTTACTATTGCAAAGAGCTCAACTGTTGCAAGTATCTGCCTAAAATGCCAAGTGACACTAATCATCTCTGCATGAGCAGTTCATCTATCCAGTAAATTGTGTATAGCAGTAAAGAGTGGTCTCTCAAGATTCTTGCATATATTTCATCATGTCTAGAGCAATACTGTGAACCTTAAATAACACCATAGGGCCCATATGAAGTGCCAACAGTGATGCTGGAAGTTCTCCCAAGAAGCAAAGTCATGACTCTATAAAAAGTTGAATTGCTTGATATACACCATAGATCAAGGTCTGTTGCTGGGGTTGCTGCCATTTCAGACAGACGATTCATCATGTAAATGATGTAAACTTAAGGCATCAATAAATACAGTATAGTACCCTATATGTATTTTCCTTACAATTTTCTTGATAACATTTCCTTTTCTCTAGCTTACTTTATTATAAGAATACATATATAAGATGTATAGCATACAAAATATGTGTTGATCAACTGTTTACACTACTAGTAAGGCTTTCAGTCAACAGTAAGCTATTAGTAGCTAAGTTTGGAGAGAGTCAACAGTTATGTGCAGATTTTCGTTTGTGTGTGGGGTCAGTAACCCTAAACCCCAAGTTGTTCAAGGGGCAACTATATGAGCTCCAAATTCTTTTTTTTTTTTTTTTGAGTCAGAGTCTCGCTCTGTCAACCAGGATGGAGTGCAATGGCGCGATCTCTGCTCACTGCAACCTCCGCCTCCCAGGTTCAAGCAATTCTCCTGCCTTACCCTACCGAGTAGCTGGAATTACAGGTGCCTGCCACCACACCCGGCTAATTTTTGTATTTTTAGTAGAGACAGGGTTTCACCATGTTGCCCAGGCTGGTGTCAAACTCTTGACCTGAAGTGATCCCCCAGCTTCAGCCTCCCAAAGTGCTGGCATTACAGGCATGAGCCACCACACCCAGCCATGAGCCCAAATTCTAACTGCCCCTTTGCATTGTTCACCACTGGGTACTCCCATGTGTACATGCATGAAGCAAATGTTAATAAACTTCTATTTGTTTTTCTCTCATTAATCTGTCTTATGCCACTCTAATTTACACAGCCACGGCTGGAGAACCTAAGACAGGAAGAGGAAAAGGATTTTCTTTCCTACACTCCCTACACACACCTGGGGAATGCACTCTGCAGGCCACATGACGTTGCTTCTGCATCTGTCTCCCTAGCTTTGCTGCATCAGTCCCAGTGTCCAGCCCACACAGGCCTCAGTACATGTCCCTATCACAGCTGCTGCTGGTGCTGAACTCACCTTCCAGGAGAGTCTCCAGCATATCCTTCCACACTCCAGGGAGCCATGTAAGTGGATGCCATACTGGTTAAATATTTTGAGTAGCATCCCATTTGAGGGAAGCTGTCACTTAACATGAACCCACCATAAGGTGGCTAATGAATAGCACCTTTCTGCCTGCCTTCAAGTGACAGCCTCCCTTAACATGAAGCCTACCTTTTGGTAAGCTTCATGTCAAGTGATAGCTTCCCTCAAGGGCAAAGTCACAGAATTATCTGTTTCAAAAGCCTGAGTGGATAAACAAACTGTTGCCTATCCAGGGTGTCCTAAAACTACCAAGGACTGTGGGAGGAGCAATTGGCAGGACCATCTTCAACACTTCCCATTTTCTGCTGGGGTGAGATCACAGCTGGCCCCCAAGCATCCAGAGGAATCCAGGGCCTGGTAAGAGGCTGTATGACAGCAAATATACAAGGCTAGGGTGCTCAGCTCAGAGGGCGGACAAAGAACATGTTAAAGTGAAGTGAACACTGGCTTTGCAGCAGGCAGACCAGATGCAGCAGACTGCTTTTACCAAAGCAGCCTGCAACACACATTTGTCCCATTCCACATGTTCTCTTTACAGTGTGACTTACGCTCATCCCACCAACAGGTGAAGTGTTTCCTCTCCTGAACCTAGGCATGGCCTTGTGACTGCTTGGACCAGTGGAATATCTCAGAAGTGATGCTACGTGACTTTCAAGGCTTTGTCAGGGAAAAAAAAAATACAGCTTAAACCTGGCTGACTCTCTACAACTGCCTCCACTTGCCTTTGGAACTGTCATTAGGTCATGAGGAATACCAGGCCACATGGAAAGGTCATGTGTAGGGGTCTCAGCTGACAGCCAATACCTCCTTTAGATGCTGAGTGAAGGATCTTTTGGACAACAACCCTCAGACTTCAGATCTTCCAGATGCTGTGGAGCAGGGTGAACCCTCCCCACTGTACCCTATCTGAATTTCTAGCCCACAAAAACCATGATGGATAATAAATGATTATTGTTGTCTGAAGCCATTTAGGGTAACAGGTTTTGTGGCAATAGATAATAATATATGCAGTTTGAATACTGGCTTTGCTCCTTAGTTTTGTGACCCCAGAAAATGAACACACAGTCCCCTTGCTTTTAGATTTGTCCTTCACACCAGAGCTAATGGCTGTGAGATGCCCAACACTCCTGGTTGCTCTCTTAAGTGATCTCGTTTGTTTTTCTGCTTACTGGTCATCTTCCCACGTCGAGAAGGTACAACGCTTGAAAGCCATCTTACTCACCATTTTGCCTCAGTGCCAAAAAAAGCACCTGCCACAGCAACTCACCATCAACACTTGTTGAAGATCACCTAACTAATGTAGCAGCCAAGTGCACACAAAGTGCTCTCTACTGGTAGACAACCAACAGGAGGGCAGGGAGGCAACAGGCTAAGTCAGGGAAAAGCAGGGGACATGGAAGCCTGCAGGCAGTCTACATTCTAGGACATTCCAGAGTTAGAAAGTGATCTGAACCCTACCCAAAGGCAGGTCTGAAAGGCAAAGCCTGCCTCACAGTGCACAGGGAGCAAGTCCTCCCAGAACTGCCAAGCGGTAGCCTCTCCACCTGGCAACACATCTCCTTTGCACCCCTTGGGGTACAATTATATATTAATTATATATCATTGTGTGTGTGTATATGTATATATGTGTGTGTGTATGTGTGTGTATATCTCATTGTAATTATATATAATGTACTAATAATTAGTATTAGTGCTAATCAATAGCACCATTCACCCTGAAAAGACACTTTCAGAAATGAATACATGAAGTCTCATTGTAGATAAGCATTGACAGATGAACATTTGCAACTGATCTTAATCATCAGGAACATTAACTGTGAACTCAAATAAGTAGTTATCTCAAAATTGTTTTTCTTATTAGTAGGAGGCCTGTATGAAAAATAGTGCTCAGTCATGTTTTAAATTTGGCCAGTAAAAATCTTACAAGTTCTCTTCTAAGTACCTTTTTAATATTCTCAATCTCACTCCTTCCCACCCCTTTGCACTGGGCACTCTGCTAGCCGCACCGTTTGGCTCTCGACTCCTGCACTCCTGCTAGCAGAGTGTCTGGCTTACCTTTGGCCACAGTAGAACTTTTCACCCTTTGTTTATAATTTACAGCCCACTTAAGTGCAATGCAAGTTTGAGATGATAATTTGGGTCTTTTAGGTTCTACCCAGGGCTGTTCTATAGCTCCTGCTACTGTTGTTTCTTTTTTTTTTTTCTTTTTTTTTTTTTTTGAGACAGTCTCACTCTGTCGCCCAGGCTGGAGTGCAGTGGCACAAACTCACTGCAACCTTCATCTCCTGGGTTCAAGCAATTATCTGCCTCAGCCTCCCGAGTAGCTGAGATTACAGGCACCCACCATCACGCCCAGCTAATTTTTGTATTTTTAGTAGAGACAGGGTTTCGCCATCTTGGCCAGGCTGGTCTTGAACTCCTGACCTCGTGATCCACCCACCTCAGCCTCCCAAAGTGCTGGGATTACAGGCGTGAGCCACCACACCCAGCCTCCTGCTGCTGTTCTGATGCCAACTATTCATTTTCCAAACTGCAGGCTTATCTACTCCATAGACTTCTTCTCTTTTCCTAGCGGATATTTCACTGTGGGAAGAAGAGAGACTCAAATTAAGTCCAACTGGTCCAAGGTGGATAATCACAGTGGAAAGTTTTTCAAGTACTGGTCTAAGATTCAACCAGCCCATGCTTTAGTGGAAGTTCAGAAATTGGCTCTTAACAGGTCAGTGAATGACAGGGCCCATCCAACCCTTGCAGCTGTCTTACAAAAATCTGAGAATCACTTTAAAAATCAGTGCCAAAATAAAAGAAAATTTGAGCTTCAAAAAAGCACTCTCCAAGATGACACAAAAAATGTTTAAAGTCTCAGGCAAATGTTTTTGCCCTTGTCCATTCAAGATTTTTTTTCAGTTTGATAGCAAATTATTTCCAAGATGCTCAGAGTTCCTAAACAAAGATGTTTAAGGTTGGAAGCACTCAGCAGCCATCTCATCCATTACCTTCTAGCAGTCATCATTCTTTTACTCTTCTTAGTTCCTGGGAAGGAGCGTCCCTAGAGGGGATGCTTAGGCACTTGCTCCAGGCTCCCAATACATGCCCACTACTGTCAAGGAACTCATTAAACAGCAGGGACAGAGGCTAACATTCACGCAACATATACCATGGCCCAAGGGCCAACCTAGGCACCTGAATGCACAATTTATAATAGTCTTTGTACCCAACCTATGGAGGAATGTATTACTGTTATTCTCATTTTCATAAATGAGGACATGGGGAATAGAGACTAAGAAAATGTTTGCATGTGGTTGGATCTGATACCCTGGCAGTCTGACTCCAGAGCCCACACTTTTAACCAGTAGTGTCCTCACTCACTAATCTCAGACTTAATCATGTCCTGCTTCATTCTGCTAAGCCCTCAATGGATCAATAAAACACCTCTTTTCACCCTCCGCTTTAATGCCTTTTCATGAACTTGGAGTCCTCTGAACCTCCCTTCTTGGATTGAAGCCCATTCTGTTCACAGGAAGACTGCAAGGTGCCGAGTCACACTGTTCACTGGTTTATTGAGATTCGGGGAGATCCTTCCCCAAGAGACACCACAGTGTGAAAGGGACACCACCTCCCACCCCATAGGTCCATCTGTCTATCCCAACAGTCAAGGGTGCCTTCCTTTGGTCAGGATTCTCATCAACTATCCACTGGAAGCAGCTCTCCAAACCTGCCCCCACTTATTTTTCCTTAATTCCCCTCAAAAAAACACAAAACAAAAGGGAGCAGTCTTGGGAGAAGATGATTGTGAGTGTAGACTGAGGGTAGTACATGAATGCAATGGAGATGGGGGGAATCTGAGCAGAAATGGAGATTCTGTGACAAGGAGAGGGTGTGGATGGCCCCACCAAACATGAATTGGGGAAAAGTGCATAACAATGTGCAGGGTAGGGTACATATGGCTCTGTCAGAAGAATACCATGATTTAAGGGAAGAAAGTACACAAGGTACATGGAGGGTACACAGGGAAAGTACATGGATAAACATGGACGTGTGCAAATAGGAAAGACATGACTCAGCATGCTAGACAAATTGCACATGCCTACCCAAACACGCTCAAGGGCAGACCCATGACCATGAGAGGGGCACACGTAGCTGTGAATGCAGGGCACCCGAGAGCACATGTGACTGAACATGAAGAAAGCATACGGGAAAAGCGTGTGTACACATGAGCATGTTCAGTGGGCACACGCAGGAGAGGGGAGGATGCATGTGTGCTGAGCGTGAGTGCACAGAGCAGAGGCAAGGAGCATGTGAGCCTTGGCGAAAAGAATGAGCTCCCAAAGGAAGCAAAATTCAGGGGGAGCCACATGTGAGAAAGTATAGAAGGGCAAGTAAGATGGAAAGAGATTATGACAGTGGAGAAAAGGAGAGGCCCCTTTGGGGTGGAAAGAGCACTTGTTGGGAGACCCCTGCTGGACAGGAACAGAGCACAAAGGCAGAGGAGCTGCAGGGGTTGCCGTGGTAACTAGAAGAGGGTGTTGCATGGGAAGAGAAAGATGCAGTGAGGCTGCTGAGGAGGCAGTGTGTGAGCAGTGAGCAGCTTCAAGCCAGGTACGAACTAAATTGTGAAGAGGTGATACAAAATTACATGAAGCAGTAAGAGAGAAAAAGGTCTGTTTCCCAGAGGTATGAGAGACCCAAATCAGCCCAGAACTCACAGGGGGACATGTATTTACAAGAGATGAGATTGGATAGCATGTTCTTCCCAGCTGGGGATGGGGACCCCCTGCTTCCTGAGTCCCCTGCCCTTCCCCTCTCCCTTTCCCTCCCCCTACTGGCCTGTCCTCCCTCACCCTACCCTCACTTATAAAGCAAATGCACTCGACTCCCATCACAGCTAAGCCGGTCGGGGGGCTCAGGGGGTCCCCTGGGCAGGCCCCCAGAGGGTTCTGGGGGTGTCGGTGGGTGGCGCCGGGAGCGGAGCTGCTGCCGAGACTGGAGTTGATGGCGCAGTTCAGAGACACGCTCCTCTTTCTGGAGGAAGAAGCACAATTGGGATAGTAGGAGAAGAGGAGGTGATGAAGGAGTGGGGAGGAGGGAAAGAGAGGAAGGGCACAGGGAAAGAGAGGAAGGGCACAGAAAAATGTAGGGGGAGGACGTAGGGTAAGTGGACAGAATAAATTAAAAGGAGAAATCAAAACAGAACAAGAAAAGCCAGAGAACATAAGGATACCGATAGAAAAAATGCGATCAGGGAAATAAGAGAGAATTTAAAAACAAAAGGAAAAAGTGGGGAAGGAGAGAAAAGTCAGTGCACAGAGCTTCCAATAAATCAGAGAGATGTGTCAACCCAGTTGGAACATCCCTCTCTTTGGCATTGCACCAGCCCCTAATGACAGCCTGGGGCACAGTGAACGCCTGCCCAGGTCCTTTATGCTGGGGCTGCATGCTACACCCAGCTGCTGTGAGTGTTGACTACTAGAGGCTCACAGCTGCCTCTCTCCAGTTGTCACCTACAGCCAACAGCCATCCTCTTGCCTTAAGGAGGCTGAGTCAACCACATAGCTCCCACTCCAGAGCCCTTCCACCTGCCAGGCCAACACTGGATTTTGCCTGAGATAGAATCTTGCTCAGCCCTTTCCCCTCCCCTATGCTGCTCCATTCACTCCTTACAGGTTGTCTCCTAGGACCCTCCCTCCATGAGCCAAGAACATCTGACCCTGTATCTCAGGCTTGGCTTCAGACAACCCAAGCTAAGACGCAAGCCTCCTGGACCACTCCAACACCCTACCCTGACACCCACCCCCGCACCTCAGCAATGATCTTTTCCAGTTCACGGTTCTCCTTCTCCAACAGCCGGGACTTCTCCTCCTCGTTGTTGTTGGTCGATGACCCTGTCTTCATGGTGTCCTGCGCCTCCGACTGCCATTCCCCTCGGGTGATCAGCCTGCGCATCTGGGGGCAAATGTTTGGGCGTGGGGTGGCCCAGCAAGGACTGTACTAGTGACTGGCTGATGGAAGGTTGGAGGTGGAAGGAATGCTGATAAGAGTTGGGCCCAAAACAAGGGGAGGAGTGAGAGGAGGGTGAACGGAAGGGCAGAGGAACTCAGTAATATAGGAAGGAGGGATGGAGGGAACATGGGAACAAAGAGGGTGGGAGAAAAGCCAGATCCTTACCTTGGGCACAAAGAGCACAACAAGAGTGATATAGGAGGAGAAAACTATGGCAAGAGAGGCAAAGGCAAAGGCTGCATCCTGCTGGCTGGACAGAATCATGGTGACAGGAGCAGTGATGAGGCACAGGACCTAGAGGGAAAGACACATTGAGGGAGTCTCAGGTCTGCAGGCTCAGACAAGATCCAGAGTTTACTTCCCATGGGAGGGAGTCTATGCAGACAGTTTCCTGGTGAACTTTCCCTTTGAAAAGGATCCAAATTCAGGATCATCCTCAAATATAGATTGAGAAAAATCTCAAACTGTCCCAAACCAGTTTTCACTCTTGGTTAACCCCTCCCCTCAAGGCAGGAACTCCCAGGATCTCTATGCACAGATTCCGGGTCCTCCAGAGTCGGTCCCTGGCAGGAAATGTCAATAGAGTCCAGCCCATTAACCACAGACAAGCAATTTAACGTCTCTGTGTTTCTGTTTCCTCACCTATAAAGTGGGGATACTAATATCTACTTCACTGGGTAGTTGCAAGATTAATGATACAATGTCTGTAGTGAGCTTTGTAAACTGTAAAGTGCTTTATAGACCTGAAGAATTAACAAACTTTTTAAGACTTCTAAGCAACCGATCCCAGATCTAGCATTGATTCTTCCTAGTCCTCTATATCTGGGCTGCTGTGGTCAGCCTACAGGGTCAATGCCATGGGGTCAGTGCTCACTGCCACATTGTAGATAGCCATGCCCACAGCCCGGTGATCATTGATCTTCTCAGTGGACACACTCTTGGTCTCATAAGCAAGGAAGATTCCCAGCAGCAGCAGCAGCCCCTTGTAACCATAGAAAATGCCTAGGATGGCAGGAGAGAGTCACTTGAGCAACAAGGACCACAATGCTCCTCACTCAATCCCCATCCCCTCTCTGCCCTTCACCTACTCTGAAATGGAAAGGGGGCCCTCCTCTCCAATCCAACCCCTCTGACCTAGCAAACCTCACCCTGTGTCCCCTATCCCTTATGTCCACCCAACTTGCCCAGACCACATCACTTTTTCCTGGGATTCACACAGGAAAGCAATGGTGGCAAGCTGCTGTCAGTCAGGCAAGGGCTTGTTGAATATCTAGAAATAGGCCAGTCTGGGCCACACATGCCTCACCCTTACCCTACAGGTGGGAAGGTGGCTTTCCAGGCAGAGGGTAGGTTTGCAATTTGTGACCATGAATCGAACAATGCTAATAAGGCCAAGGGGGATCTAAAAGATAATGTCAAGTCTGGAGGTGGGGTTACCCCCACTTGTTCCTCTGCTGAACACAAGTTCTTCATCTGTGCTTTCTGTGCTTTGGGCCCTAAGCTCCTCATAGCAAAAGAGCAACTCTCCCCTATTCTCAGAAAAGATTAGTGCAATAACAAAGAGTAGGGTGTTCAAACTGGGTTGACAAGCTCTCTACCTCCTCTTCCAAAGACCCCTCTCCCTCCAAGCCCTCTACCCCTGCCTTCCCTCCTGCCTTTGTGCATCCCTGCCCTCCTTTGCCCACATCCCACACACCAAGCCATGTATTCATCTTCCTGGAGCTGCAATGCTCCAGCTGGGGCAGAATAGAGACGTCAATATCTTCCTTAGGTTCCTCCTTGGCAAATGTCTAGGGCAGAAACAAGGTCACAAGAAAGATGGTTGCCAGCCTCCCCTCCTCTCCTCAACGCTTCTCAGTCTCTGGCTTCCAACTGTTTTCCTATGAGACCCTCAATGCTGATGCCAAATCTCATTCTAGGCCTAAGAATGTTTTCCTGAACCCTTGGAGGTGCTTGTTCCCCACTTTCCCTGATGCCTGGAAGTTCTACACACCCTTCCCAGATTCCCACCCCTTCCTTTCTTCAGCTGAATCTGGAGGCCTATGAGGGGCTCCTTCTAGGAAGGAAAGGAAGAGCTTCCAATACGAGGAAGGCACTCTCTCCAAGTAGCTTCATCCCTCAAGACACACACAGCCCCAGGGCCCTGATGGCCACTGAGCCCTGCTCATTCTCCTGACCATAGCACCTCCTCTCCAGTGGTACCTCAATGGTCCGGTGCAGAGGGTCCACGATCTGCCAGATGGCGAGAGTGAGGACATCCATGCCCACCAGCAGGCCCACTGTGGCATACAGCTTCCAGGGTTCCAGAGTCTGGATAAATATGTGGGGAGAACAGGCACGTCAGGGGAAAATGCTCTGTGCCCCAGGAGCCAAGGATCTGGGGGCTGAGGATTGGGCAGCAGCTCACCTTCCTCCACTCCTTCTTTTCTTCCTTCTTTGTGAAGACCGTGTGGACCCACCAAATCTTGGTGAACATGGAACCGTAGCCCAGACTAAAGCCCAGGCCCAGGAGCCAGAGGCGGGCCTAGAAAGGAAGAGAGGGCACAGGCAGAACAGGGTAGAGTAGTAGCCGGGACTGCAGTAAGGATGGGCAGAACCCTAAGGGAGAGTGGGCAGGGAGCACGGGCAGGGAGCTCATGGTGGCACAGGGAGGATGCGAAAATGTGAGCAGGACGGGGAGCGGCAGGAGGAGAGCAGTCTCCCCACCTTGAACAATTCCTCCCATCCACCCTCTACTTCCACACCACCAGGGTGATCTTGCTAAAACCTCCTGGCTTTAGTGGCCAAAAACCTCCAACCACTCCCCAATATCTATAAGTTATAGCCTGAACACTTCTGGATATGACACAGACCCTTCACAACATGCTCCCATCCACCTGTCCAGCTAGGCTCATCTCCCAGCCCCACACCTACCCCACGCTCCAGCCATGCTGAACTACTCACTTTCTCTTCATCTACTCTCTTTCATGTATTTTCTAGCCACACGATGCTCCCTATGCCCCTGAAGTAGCCTTCCTCTATTTCTCTAGCTGATAAAATCCTATTTGTCCTTCAGTATTCAAATGCCACCTCTTCAGTGAGGTCCACCCAATCACGCCAGCAGTGAACTGTGTTCCCTTCTTTGCCCCCAAAGCACTTTGTGCAGATCCCTACTCTGGAACCTCTCCTATTGCACTACAGCTAATTGTCTGCTTCTCCAGCTGCACTCTGGCCTCACTGGGAACAGAGGATTCCTGATGAACTGCATGTGCATGTGCATGGAAATGCCATGTGCACAGATGTATGATCAGGACAGCACAGAGCAGAGGAAAAAGAGAGAGCAAGGACAGGCAGGCAGATCAGGAGAAAGAGTGGGTGTTTCCACCAGTGGAAAAGAGAACCACTCAACTATCACTGTTGAAGCTGGCCTCTCCCCACAGCACTAGAACCTTCCATGTACCAACAGTCCCAGAGCCCCTCCTCCCTGTGTGGCAGTGGTCCCTTCCCCCCAACTCTCTGCTGTGTTTCCATCTCTGCTTCTATCCTTCCAAACCCAACAAAGGCTCCCAAAAAAAGTCCACAGTTCTGATTCTCAGCCCCCATACCACAGACAAGCCACCATTGTTCAGGAGACCTTTGAGCAGATCCCCTTCCTTTGCCTTCAATGGCTCCCTCCTCTTCTCTGCAAGGCCTGCCATGGCAACCTTGGAACTGACAAGTAAACTACAGAATGAAAATGGCCTGCAGACACAGAAAGAAGGGACAGAGCCAAACAGAGAACAGAGGGGTGATGCTAGAAGGAAAGAACAGGGACAAGAGTCAGGGAAAGCTGAGGAGGAAGGGCAGAGAATCATAAATCATGGAAGGTGCTCCTGAGACGGGTGGGAGAGTCACATCCTGTAAGGAATTTGCCCACCACCTCCTCACCTGGCAGACGAAAGGAAACTGGTTCCTCCCAATGTGGTAACCATCGAGCCCCAGGGGGAAGACAGCAGCTAAAGCCAGTGAGCAGCCCACAGCAGTCAGGTTGTTCAGGTTGGGCTGTGAGTTCTGGATATAACTAGGGCAGAGGTGGAGAGGGTGAGAGGGAGAGAGAATTACCCCTCTTCTCCAGGGAGGCTGAGCTCTCCAAATACCACGCAATGGCATGACCCTAATTTCAGGGCCAGGGGCTAAAGGAAGACAGGATTGGAGAAGACAGTGGAGCCTTGAGAGGCAGAGCAATGCAGTCATGGGGCTGAAGATGGAGTTGCAGAGGGCTTCCCAAGCACAGGCCCCCACTAGAATACAGGCTATTTATGTAGAGTCCAAGACTGTGAGACCTGGCCCCAAAGGTTGTTTTTTTCTCTTCTTTTCTTTTTTCCTCCCGTTAGCTACTTTGGAGTAGGAGTGGGGGTTATATCTGGTTTCCCTGTTTTCATTCTCAACAAGTCAGAATGAAAAACTCCATGATACATGGCCATGGGAGTTACACAGGTTTTATTCTCATCCTGTCCAGGAACATGATCAGTATCTCAGAGAGGCAGACAAGGAAAACGTCAGAAGAGAAACTTACCGGACATGTGAGTTGTAGATGTTAAAGGACAGACAGACAACAGCTAGGACAATGCCCAGGCTGGAGAGAACTGAGACGGAGATAAAGAGTTTCTGTGACAGGAAGCGGAATGTCTTGATGACCAGGGTCTGGTCAGCTGGGGGGGACCCTCCTGCATGGCACAGGGGAGGAAGAGGGGAAGGGAAAAGAGAAGGGAAGGAGGACAAAGGAATGAAGACGGGATAGGAGAAAAGGGCAAAGAACTAGATTGCTGATGGACATTCAGTCATTGGCTGGGGACATGAGGCCCTAACTGCACTGGACAGAGGTTACTGCAGGCAGAATGCTCAGTGCCACTGGGGCCGTTAGGAAGCAACCAGAAATGAGATGAGAAGATGGAGTGAATGGTCTATCCATAGGTTGGGAAATGCTGAGGCATGTCCCCAAAGTTGTAGTCTTTGTTTTTGTTTGTTCTTTAAGTTTTTCTGTCTTTCTTACAGCAAAGGAAAATGGGAGGAGAAAGAAGGGGATCATTAAAAAATGTTATAAGGTTTCTTATAACCCAAATCAAAGTTTTAAATGACAATTATGGAATCATAAAGCTAAAAAGGCCTTGAAGTATCTAGTGTGGACACCTATTCTTAAGACAAACAAAAAAAGAAGGAAAGCTAATCTGAAATTTTAATCCTGGCAGGGTAATATTCCCAAATATGTTTTCCAGTTATTATTAGGGGGAAGTTCAAATTTGTCAGAGTTCACCAAAAAAAACTAATTTCAATTTGCTTAGTTTTTTTTTTAAAGAATAATTTAGGCCATGCAGCATTTATAGCAATCCAGAACATTGTCCTAAATTCGAATTGTAAAAAAAAAAAAAAAAGGGCAAAACTCCAGCAGTGCTGGGAATGACTGGATATCTGCTGGGCAGGGCAGACGGCAGCCATCTTCAATGGTTGAGCCTCCCCTTCATTCTCAAGGAGGCTTTCTTTTATCAGTAGGTCCTTCCTTTTGTCCACCTTCAGTTTCTCTCCTATGTCCTATCATTTAGACCAAGTACACAAAGAATAACTGCTTGCTTTCTCTCTTTAAAAAGTATATTTTGAGGGATGTAATACTACCTATTAGGTACAAGGTGCACTGTTCGGGTGACAGGCACACTAAACGCCCGGACTTCACCACTATGCAATATATTCATGTAACACAACTGCACGTCTACCTCTAAATTACATAAAAATAGGAAAATTTTTAAAAATACATATAAAAATAAAAAGCACATTTTGGCAGATGACAATTACATGAGGTTTTCCCTCCTCCTCCATAGTTTAAGCAACCGTTTTCCTGACAGAGACAGACAAAGAGACAGCTCTGGGCTTGAAGTAGCTGGTTCAAATATATCAAGACACCAGGACATCTGGGAAACCCAAATGGAGTTTCCATTTCCCGCCCTCTGCCCACCCCCTGCCTCTAATCCCCAGTTACCCCAGCAATGCACCATTAAAAATAGTACTAACCACCGCCTATTCCCTCTCCAAATACACCAGTCTCCCCTACCCACGCCTTAGGGGTTGTATTCACTCTCACTTAACCCTTTCTCCTGGCCCAGCTGCCAGCCACATTCCAACCTAACAGTCTCTACCATTCCATCCTCACTCAAAGGCATGACTTTTTCCCTTGACTGTCGAGAGGGGCTGAAGGAAAATACAAACAAGATCCACTCACCAATCCATTTATCTGTTTTGGACCAGGAAAGATCATCCTTGGTGCTGTCATAGTAGCCAATCTTCTTGTAGCTGCCACCTGGGCAGACGACAATAAAAGGAGTGACCACAGGTAGCCAAAGAGCTGATCCTAGGCATTTTCAACTTCCCACTTCCCTAGAGCTTTGCATGGTTGTATCTGATTTTATTTTCACCTGAGGCCCTAAGGATGCTTGGAAGGACCTACGAGACTCTTGAATCAGCAACATGACTTAAAAGCAATATAAGGTGGTTCCCAAGACAACTCAAATAAATAAGAATATCTATGTTTAAAAGTCTTCAGTGAGGAGGCTCCACAACATGTCTGCCACCTATTCCATTCCTCACACCTCTCTCGGCGAGATGTCTCTCACTTTGATTTTGGCTTCTAAAGCTTTACACATATTTCTGCTTATTCTTCCTCTCATGATGGGCAGGCTCTATTTTCCCAGTGGCTTTCATTTTAATTTTAGAACATTCTCTTCTGTTGGCTTGGGTTTTAATTCCTTGGATAAGTTATATCTGCCTCTTAAAGCGCCATTGAGTAAAATTTGGTCATTTCTAAGATTTCTGTTCTAGAACTGTTTCCGTTACCATAACTTTTCCTTCAAAAGCCAACTCACACTCCTTTCACCATGGCTGAAGTCCATTTCCTCTTGTCCTGGATACAAAGAGGAGCTGAAAGGATGTGGAGGTGGGGAGAAAGGAAGAAAGAAACTTTTCACAGGAGGCCAAGAAATAGCTCTCTTGGCCATGCCGTAAAAGACTGAGAGCCGAGTGGAGCAGAAAAATTAACTCCTAGAAGTTCTGCAAATACCTGTGTGCTAAGTTTCAAGAAAATACAATCTACAAAAGCCAAGCTATACACATTGAAGCTTTACACAGCAAGGAAATTTGGCAGATTCCCTTAAAAAAAAAATAGCGGTTCTCCTAGATTCAGCTTTCTTGAGTCTAACTGACAGGTCATCAACCTCTCAACCCAAGCCACTCAAGGGGAAATTCCTGAAATTAATGGAAGCCACTGGGAAAGAGAGTAGCTGTTTTTAATTTGCATGTCTCTTTTCTTTTCTTTTTTCTTTGAGACAGAGTCTTACTCTATCACCCAGGCTGGAGTGCAGTGGCGTGATCTCAGCTCACTGCAACCTCTGCCTCCTGGGTTCAAGTGATTCTCCTGCCTCAGCCTCCCAAGTAGCTGGGACTACAGGCACCTGCCACCACACCCAGCTAATTTTTTTTTTTTTTTTTGTATTTTTGGTAGAGACAGGTTTCACCATGTTGGTCTGGCTGGTCTCAAACTCCTGACCATGATCATGATCTGCCTGCCTTGGCCTCCCAAAAGTGCTGGGATTACAGGGGTGAGCCACCACACCCAGCCTGCACACCTCTTTTCAAGAGCAAAACCAGTGCAACTCAAAGACATCAATCTTCTTGTAGTTAAGCTTATTATTATTATTATTTACAAGCTTGATGAACAGAGTTAAAAGAGAAGGGCAGAAGTTGGGAGGTGCCAGGGCAATCTTGTGATGTCTCTGGCATTCTTCCCCAGGGGGCATCCCAGCCCAGCCCCAGCCTAGCCCCCATGT
This sequence comes from Homo sapiens, assembly GCF_000001405.40. NCBI lineage: Eukaryota > Metazoa > Chordata > Mammalia > Primates > Hominidae > Homo > Homo sapiens. The sequence goes on from NT_167248.2 coordinate 878,036, forward strand.
CCGGTCCCCTCCTGCCCCTGTACTAACCCTGAAGCTGCTCGATAAGCGTCCATGCCATCCGAGAGCCGCTGGCATCAAACACCACATGGCCCTGAGGGAAGGAACATGTGGAGCAAGGCAAAGGAGACAAAAGCAAGAGTGAAAGAGAACATCAGGGACTCTTTAAATCCTTCTGTTTTTGATGTAATTGAGCCTCTGAATGAATGCTATTTATGGCATTTGCCTGCATATAGGACATACCCCAGATGCCCATACCCTAGATTTTAGAAACATTATTCTTTGGAGAAGGAGCTTCACTTATGAGATTTGAATGGGAAAAAATCCCCAGACAGAACACCAGCAGGCTTCTGGTTGTGTGGCCTAAGCAAGTCAGCAAATCTCTCTGGAAACTAATCTTTTCATTTTAAAAGGAATAAGAAGATGACCTTTCAGACTGTTTTGTCTTTCAAAATCCTATAGTTCTCATCTGACTCATGAATACTTGGTCTAGTTTGAAAAGAAATGAGGGGAGGGGTTTAAAAAAATGGAATACATCATTTTTTTTCCTCTAGTCTTTGATGGGTTCTTCTAATTTGAAGGTCCCTACTTCTCTGGTCGGAGACTGATTCTGCAAAGAAGTAACTGAGAAAAACAGAGAATGCATGTTTGTAGAAGGTGCCTCTTGGGAGTCTCTCTCAAGATTGGGAAGACAGGGGAGTATGAAGGAAGTTTTAACTCACAGAGACACCCTCAAAGGACGAAGAGTTCATTGCCCGGTAGATTTGGTCGGTAATGGTCTGGTTGTTGTAGTTGAAGTCCTCCAGGCGCACACCAGAACGGCCGCCTCCTCCAGATGTCTTGTTCAGGGCCAGTGCCAAGGCCCAGATGGCATCATAGGCCAGCGGTGCCTCCTGGAAGCCTCCTGTCTCCTCAGGGTGTCTTTTCAGTCGCTTGGTTAGTTTCTCCACAAATTCCTGGGATGTCTTGGGAGGAAAAAATCATGAGGAAAGAACTGAAATGTGTGTGGGTGTGGGGGAAGGGGTGCAATCCAATTCTGACTCAATCACTTCTACTTGAATGGATGGTTTGTGTTACTGTTGTCAGATTGGACACATGTACATTCAAAATCTTTAACTATACCCATGTGTCTGCCTTAGATCGGAAGCTACTAGACTAGAGTAGGTATTAGCTGTGTCTGATGGTGTTAGTGTGTACAGTTGCTAGCTCAGAACTGCAAACAGAGAATTTTGACAAACACTCTGGATAATTAGTGGCAAAGGATGGAAGGTAGAGCAGAGTAAAGGAGGAGACATGGATATTCCAATGAAGAGCTGTGACACTGATGTTCTCTGATCCTTCTGACTTTCTTCATAGAGTTAACCCAGGATCTAACAGCTCCTACAATTCCAAAAGATTCTAGAAAAGGTGATAGCAGTCTTCTCACTCTGCTTGCCAGCCAGGAGGATATTTCTTCAGCATGCTAACTTCTTGCCATTCTTGTGTGCTTTTGGTTCACTGCCTCTTAGAAGGCTTTCAGAAGAATGAAAACTACAGAAATACCCTTCACATTTTTGAAGTCCATTATCAATCCTACCCACACCCCTCCCAACACTCAACCTTCTTTTTCCATGAAAGCTAAAAAGAATGATAGTTCCTTTAACTCTCTCATGAACTGGGTCAAGAGACCTGACTTCATATACCTTGCAGTAACCTTGTTTGGCTAAATAACTGTAAGTAAATTACTTAACCTCTTGGAACTGCATTCTACATACTGGAGAAAATCACATCATTCCTTCCTTACCTCACAGAAACCATACAAGGAAAAGCTTAGCAACTACTTCTTGGGAAACCACAAGTAATACACAGGGGACCATACAAATAATTGTTTGGGTTTGGAATGTTTTAACACAAACGGTAATGAAAGAATAAATAGATGAATGAAGAATAAATAAATAACTTTGTTCCTCATGCCTTGCTCACTTTTCTCTCCAACTTTCTAGAGAGATAGAGGAGTGAGATACGCAAAGGGCACAGGCAAGGTACAGCAGTTGCTACTACACTGGGCTTTGAAGGAGCCTGGGCTTTGAAGATGCAATGGGCCTAGGTTCTACCCTTGAGGACAAGACCAAATCCCATGCCCTCTCTTAATCATCAGCATCTAGCACTGTGCCCAACCATAATGAAGTAACAATAAATGTCCATTGGATTAGGCCAGTGAAAATACTCTGTAAAGTATTTAATAGTAGATACGTCTCATTATACATTTGTCCAAACCCATAGAATATATAACACCAAGGGTGAACTCTAATGTAAACTATGGACTTTGGGTGATTATGATGTATCAATGTAGGTTCATCAGTTGTAACAAATGTACCACTCTGGCGGAGGATGTCGATAATGTAGAAGGCTATGCATGTGGGAAGCATATGGGAAGTTTCTGTACCTTCATCTCAATTCTGCTGGGAAACTAAAACTGCTCAAAAAAAAAAAAAAAAAAAAAAAGGCCAGGCACAGTGGCTCACACCTTTAATCCTAGCACTTTGGGAGGCCAAGGTAAGCAGACTGCCTGAGCTCAGGAGTTAAAGACCAGCTGGGCAACATGGTGAAACCCCATCTCTACTAAAATACAAAAAATTAGCTGGGCATGGTGGTGTGCACTTGCAGTCCCAACTACTCAGGAGGCTGAGGGCTGAGGTGAGAAAATCACTTCAACCCAGGAGGTGGAGGTTACAGTGAGCTGAGATGACGCCACTACACTCCAGCCTGGGCGACAGAGCAAGACTCCGTCTCAAAAAAAAAAAAAAAAGGCATTATAAAAAACAAGTCAGGCTGGGCACAGTGGCTCACACTTGTAATCCCAGCTCTTTGGGAGGCCAAGGAGGGTGGATCACCTGAGGTCAGGAATTCCAGACAGCCTGGCCAACCTGGTGAAACCCGTCTCTACTAAAAATACAAAAATTAGCTGGGTGTGTTGGTGGGCTCCCGTAATCCCAGCTACTTGGGAAGCTGAGGTAGAAGAATCGCTTGAACTCAAGAGGCAGAGGTTGCAGTGAGCAGAGATCACGCCACTGCACTTCAGCCTGGGCGATGGAGTGAGACTCTGCCTTTAAAAAAAAAAAAAAAAAAAGGCAGCCAGGCACAGGGGGCTCACGCCTGTAATCCCAACATTTTCATTTTCAGAGGCCAACGCAGGAGGATTCCTTGAGCCCAGGAGTTTGAGACAAGACTGGGCAAAACAGAGAGGACCCAACTCTACAAAATTTTTTTAAAAATTAGCCAGACTTGGCCTGGGCACGGAGGCTCACATCTGTAATCTCAGGACTTTGGGAGGTCAAGGCGGGCAGATCATGAGGTCAGGAGTTCAAGACCAGCCTGGCCAACATGGTGAAACCCTGTCTCTATGAAAAATACAAAAATTAGCTGGGCACGGTGGCTCACGCCTGTAATCCCAGCACTTTGGGAGGCTGAGGCGGGTGGATCACCTGAGGTCCGGAGTTCGAGACCAGCCTGAGCAACATGGAGAAACCCTGTCTCTACTAAAAATACAAAATTAGCCGGGTGTGGTGGCGCATGCCTGTAATCCCAGCTACTCCGGAGGCTGAGGCAGGAGAATGGCTTGAACCTGGGAGGCGGAGGTTGCTGTGAGCCAAGATCGCGCCATTGCACTCAAGCCTGGGCAATAAGAATGAAACTCTGTCTCAAAAAAAAAAATACAAAAATTAGCTGGGTGTGATGGTGGGCTCCCGTAATCCCAGCTACTCAGGAGGCTGAGGCAGGAGAATCGGAGAATCGCTTGAACCCAGGAGGCGGAGGTTGCAGTGAGCCAAGATCATGCCATTGCACTCCAGCCTGGGCAACAGAGCAAGACTCCATCTCAGAAAAAAAAAAAATTAGCCGGACTTGGCTTGGAGCAGTGGCTCACGCCTGTAATCCCAGCACTTCAGGAGGCTGAGGAGGGTGAATCATGAGGTTAGGTGTTCGAGACCAACCTGACCAACATGGTGAAACCCCATGTCCACTAAAAATACAAAAACTTATCTGGGCATGGTGGCACGCACCTGTAATCCCAGCTATTCAGAAGGCTGAGGCAGGAGAATCACTGGAACCCAGGAGGCAGAGGTTGCAGTGAGCCGAGATCACACCATTGTGCTCCAGCCTAGGCAACAGAGCAAGACTCTATCTCGAGAAAAAAAAAAAAAGTTAGCCAGACTTGGTGGCATATGTCTGTGATCCCAGCTTACTTGGGAGGGGCTGAGGTGGGTGGATGACTTGAGCCCAGGAGGTCAAGGCTGCAGCGATTGTACCACTGCACTCCTGCCTGGGCAGCAGAGGGATACTCTACCTCAAAAAAAAAAAAAAAAAAAGGCTGGGCGCGGTGGCTCACGCCTGTAATCCCAGCATTTTGGGAGGCCGAGGCGGGCGGATCACGAGGTCAGGAGATCGAGACCATCCTGGCTAACACGGTGAAACCCCGTCTCTACTAAAAAAAAAAAAAAAAAAAAAAAAGTCTGTTGGATAGATAAATGGATGAATTCATATTCTAATCATTTTACCTGCTATGAAATCTCAAACAAGTTATTAAACCTCACTAGTTGGTTATTCAGCTTTAAAATGAGAATAATACTATCTAAAATAGTATGAAATGAAATTAGAACATGTATAAAAATGCTGGGTATGAAGTAAGTTACATTTTCTCTACGTGAATTTCCTTGACTCTCAACCTCATCTTTGTTATTGATACTCAGATCTATAATTTCAGCCCAATATTTCAAGTCCATATTTCTTTTCTTTCTTTCTTTCTTTTTTTTTTTTTTTTTTTGAGATGGAGTCTTGCTCTGTTGCCAGGCTGGAGTGCAGTAGTGCGATCTTGGCTCACTGCAACCTCTGCCTCCTGGGTTCAAGCGATTCTTGTGTCTCAGCCTCCCAAGTAGCTGGGATTACAGGCACACGACACCACACCCAGCTGATTTGTGTATTTTTAGCAGAGACGGGGTTTCACCATGTTAGCCAGGCTGGTCTTGAACTCCTGGCCTTGTGATCCACCTGCCTCAGCCTCCCAAAGTGCTGGGATTATAGGCGTGAGCCACCGCGCCCAGCCTCAAGTCCATATTTCTAACTGACTCTGAGGCATTTTTAATGTATGATGAATAATCTCAAAATCAAAATATCCAAGATGAAGCTCAATTTTTTCTTACTCCCAAACAGCTCCCAGTAAATGAGACTGAAGCCTTGGAATTACATCAGACCCTTTCAAATCACTGAGTCCTCTTAACTCTTTTGTTGAAATGTTTCATTGATATCGATCCCTCCTTACACAGGATGATGATGATAATGATAACGATGATGGTGGCTAACATGTATACAGTCCTTAGGACGTATCGAGCATTTTCCTGAGGAAACTATATTACCTTATTTAATCCTCAAACAATCCAATGAGGTGTTATTATCCCCATTTTAGAGATAAGAAAACTGAGGCACAGAAAAGTTATATAACTTGCCTATAAAAAAGTTATACTATTAATGAGTAGCAGAGCTAATCCATACTCTTACCAGCCACCCTACACAGTCTCTGTACATGAGACTGCCTCTCTCTAAGAGCACCTGCACAAATAGCAGCTAGGCTAATACTTTGAGTAGTCTTTTGGCTTCAAATTGAAAGATTGGTCTATCCAATCTTCAGTTCAAGGTAAATATGGCATCAAAAAAATCACCCAGAAAGAAAGGGATTAATCTGCTCAGCACGATGCGGTCCCCTGCTCAGGTGGTCAGACCCTGTGCTCACGCCAGGTCACTACCACTAACACGCCTAACCACTGGGGGCACCACTGCTCCTGCCACCCCAAGAGTAAAGAAGAGTAGAATGCTTCCCCCTTGAGTCAGTAAAGATACAGTTATAGATTGTCAAAGAGACACTCTACTCTGCAGCTTAAGGAAATCTGAACAATAAAGACCCCTCAACCCACAGCAATTAGTTAATCAACCAAGTGCAAATTTATACCTAATTTTTTTAACAGCCTTGTCTGGCTCTCAAGAATGGATGCTTGACAGTGGGCTAAAATGTATATCTTGAGGTAGCTTTTTAGTTTGTACTGGTCCTAGGTCTGATGGGATCTCTACCCCAATCAAGATTTCCTCACAATCTTATCTCCAGGATGCCACCTCCCACATTCCCCTCTAGCCCACAGCTACATTTCTCTAAAACCACTCTAACCCACTCTCCATTTCCACATATTGCCCCTAAAGATGTTTTCTCTAAACTAGGGTTTCTCATTCTCTGCACTATTAACATTTTGAGCAAGATAATTCTTTGTTGCCAGGGGCTGTGCTTTGTAGGATATTTAGAATCATCTTTGGCTTCTACACATTAGATATCAGGAGCATGTATCCCTCCCCATCCCCTACCCCCAACTGTAACAACCAAAAATGCCTCCAGATAGTATAGCGTCTGAGTCTAGGGTAGTAGTTGAAAACCACTACCCTAACTAATAGTTCTCGAGGTGTGATCCCCAGACCAGTACATCTGCATCCCCAGGGACTTGCTAGAAATGTCAGTTCTCAGGCCCTAGCCCAGATCTACTGAATCAGAATTTCCAGGGGAAGGGCCTGATAACCTGTGAACTAACTACCTTTCCAGGTGGTTCTGACGGATGTTAAAGTTTGAGAACTATTGATCTAAACATAAGGCCATCCTTAGGGAATAAAAGCAACTCTGCTTCTTTTCTAAGTCTCCATGGCTCCGGCCCCCTAGGTCCAACCCTTGCTTTGATCCACTTCTATTTGTGCTGTTTGATTAATCTATAATCTCTTTTGCCCCTAACCTATTGTTAAGACTGCTCTATCCTCTTCAGAAAACATTGGCTTCCCCACTGGCATTTTAGGCTGGTCCCACTGGAAGCCCTATGGCCTCAAAAGCAGGAACCATCTTTCTCTAGACACAAAGTCAGAAAGGGACCTTCCAAGTCTTCCCACCCCAATGCTCAGGTGTCCCTCTATGTCCCTAACCATCTCTCTGTTCTCTCTCTCTCTCTTTTTGTTTAGAGCTGGGGGTCTCACTATATTGCCCAGGCTGGTCTTGAACTCCTGGGCTCCAGTGATCCTCTGCCTTGGCCTCCCAAGGTGCTGGGGACTACAGGTGTGAGCCACTAGATCCAGCCAAATCCCTGTTTTCTGTCAGCCTCCTCTAGCTCCCTGCTATAAGACAGAAGCAACGATTGGCAAGTCCTGGGCTCAGGGCACCAACAAGTCTTTCTGGCTTTGGTAGCCAGTTCCAATACTTTCCCAGGTTTTATGGATGACTCACCTCTTGGGTACTCTACAGGAAAGTGATCTTCCAAAATTTTTTCATTGTATTTTTCAACTAACATACCTTAAAACATAGAGTCCATTTAGAATGTCCCAAAACAGTGTGTATCATCAGAGTCCATGTGGCAGCAGATCTTTCATCACAACACACCACCAGAGTCAACTTCCTAAATCTTATTTCTCCTTTGCTCAGCAATTGCCAGTAGCTAAACAGTGTTAGCAGATAAAAGTACAAACTTTTTAGTCAGGCTTCATGGTTTTCCATGGGAAGTGATGAGCAGAGCAGTTTGGAGCCAGATTTAACTAGGATTCAATTCCAGCTGGACTGCTGAGTAGCTGCATGACCTGAGACAAGTCATTAAACCACTCTGAGTCTCATTTTCCTGGTCTACAAAATGTAGATAAGTCCACATCAGAGTTTTGCTGTTAGAATCCCTGAAATCATGAATCTAAGTACCACACAAATGCCACTGTTAGTAAAACTTTTTAAATCAAGCTATTTTGGGGCTTTACAACCATTAACTCACCCCTAACATGCTCTCCAAAGCAGGTACACACTTGGTGTAATAAGCAGACACATAGGTGGCCGTATCGAGCTTACCCAAAATTCCTGTACTCTTTACAATGTAGTGCTGAGCAACAAAGAAGCCTCTTCCCCTGTGCCCACACCCACACTCACTTCTGCCCCTCAGCTGCAGGGCTGCCCCAGCCCTCTCAAATCAGAGAATGCGCCTCCTCGCTCCAAGTCTGTCATTAACCAGCTGTCTGGGGCTAAATGATTTCAAAAGCCCCTTCTCCACATAAAATTCTAAAAAAAGAATCATTAAAAAAAGCAACAGGATCCAAGCTAATTGCATATCAATCATGAGTGAATATTAAGCAACTCTAAAACACTAACATAAATCACCAAGAAAATGAAATGCAATTCTGCCCAGACACAGTGCTCCTGTAAAGGTGTGCTTGAGTATACAAGCATCCATATTATCATTAATGCCGGTTCCTCCTGACTTCTCACCAACTGCTCCTCGTCTCCATGGTAACAGCCCTTCCACTCATCAGGAACCTACTGAACATACAACTCCATCGTTTTTTTTTTTTTCTCTCTCTACCCAAGGAAGTCAGAGCAAAGGTAGGATCCACAGGAAACATAATGCAGACAAGTTCAGGGTGGGCACAGCCCCCTCTTCTCCTTTATATCCAAATTCCGCACCCTCTCCCTGCCACCCTTTCCCCTGCAAGGCCCCCTCAGTCCTCTCCACCCTCCCAGGTGCCAGACTGCAAGTCCCCACACTCTCACCATGTTGGAAATGCTGCGGGTATTGGCAGGATTCAGCATGACAATCTCAGTTGTGATGTGGCCCTCCACCGCCTCAGTCATCTCATCCACTGTGCAGTTGATAGAAGGGTCGTAGATCTTGAACCAATTGTCAGCATACCACCCAATGAGGAACCAGACGTACTTCTTCCCAAAGAGACGCTCCTTGTACACCTGAATACAGAGGAGAATGGCTGAGTTTTTGTTTGCTCATTTGTTTGTTTTTGTCTTATCTCACTTGATACTATTTAGCCTCTTGGGAATCAGGGAAGAGCAGTAGAACTAAAAAGAGAAATCTACAAGTCTTGGGGATAGTAGGAAAGGCTGACAATTCTTCCTTCTAAGTTTCTCCCCAGCCCCTGTATTTCTGAGTGGCCTTTTCCAGCCAGTCAGGACAGATGGAATTCATGGGCTTCTCAGGAAACACAAAGCAGTAGAAAAATGAGATCTGAAGAAAGTATCATGTGTGTGCAGACAAGGGATGCAGTCAGAGCCAACAGACAGAGACATCCTATGAATCGTCACCTCAGATCATATGCTATCAACTCAGGCACAGATGCCAAGAGGAGGCCCCACAAGAAAACCAAGGGAAACTCCCACCCAGTGCCCCTCCCTCTTCAGATCCAACTCCACCTCACAAAAAACTTTCCGGGCTTCAGTCTCATAGAAAAGTCCCACGATGATTCGGGCATCCTGGCGCTACAACAGAGAAAGAAACAGCTCCTGAGGGATGCCCGGGAATGCCTGAGGGGCTAAGCCAGATGTCTTCACAGCTTTGATTTCCCATCCCAAAGTGCTTAGTGCAGGGTAACGCTCAACGTATAGTGAATAAACGTCAACTGGAAGATGGAGCTAAACTTCCCCAGGAGATGCTATTGCCTCAGAGAATCAAAACCTGCCCCCGCCTGGCTTTCCTCTCCAACCAGTCACTGTCCCCCAGCTTGGTCCCTCCGTAAACAGAGCCCACCACTCCCAGCCATCTGACCTTCAGGTTTTTGACGGGCACAGCTGGATCTGAGAAGAAACTCTGGCGGAAAGTAATCTCAATTCCAGCCTCCTTCACTCGTTCCTCCAGGTCGTCCAGAGTCTTGGGTGGGAATAAAAAACAAGTTGGAAAAACACGGGGTGCATGAGGGAATAAAGACCAGAGAGGTTAACTGGGGATTTCAGAGCAATACTCAGATAGAGCAAAGAAGCAGCCATTCTGAACCTTCCTTCAACAGCTTCTGTCCCTGAAGTGAGGAGTTCGGGAAGGCATCTGGTCTTAGGATGTGGATTCCAAGTGGGAAGGTGAATGGTGAGCCCCTGCTGAGGCTCTGTGTGGGGGAAGCCACTCCATTCACCCACTCCTACCACTGAAGGCAAAGATGGGGTAAAGAAACATAAAGGAACCAGGAAAAGACAAGGCAAGGACTGGGACAGACAGCATGATGTCAACCTCAAGAGGCAAATGGGCAGACAGACAAAGGATCAGAGAAGAATGGTCTGAATCAGAGTGAAAGTGGGGGAGGATTAAAGGGCCACTGAACACAGTGGATAGAAGACCCAAAGAATAGAATAAAAGGGAGGGAGCAGACTGCCTTCTTCAGATGTAGAGCCTGTATTTCCTCTCTACCTCCCCAAATCTCCCTCTTCCCCCTCAACCTCTCCTTGTCTGTCGGCTTCTCTCTCTTAGTACCAACTACCAGATCCATGCAGCTGCCTTTCTGCCCCTCTCTCTCCTCTCCCTCATTCCTCTCTCTCTCTCTCTTTCCTCTCCCTCTCTCCTCTGTAATCCACTGGCTCCATCCCCTCTGTTCCCATTCACACCCACCCACCACCCCCCTTGAAAGCCTCTGGAATCTGCTGCCTTCCTGGATTCCTATCTCATCTTCGCTCCCATCTCTTGCCCCCACTTTGGATTGAACCTACTTTAACAGAACTGAGTCATTCTGGGTCTATATGTCTGGGGAACAGGGCATCAAACAGGGGAAAAAAATCATAAAATCATAAAGACAGAGAGGATCCCAAAAACTCAACTCATTCTTTCCCCTGGCTACAGAAAGAACTGCACTTAATCCACATGGAATGCGTTCTCTTTCAATGAAGAATCAAGTTCTTGCCCCTAAAAGTGACTCTCACGTCACATCTCCTGGTGCTGGAATTTGAGCTTATGTCCCTTTACCCCTTGCCCAACCCCTCCTCACCGAAGTGAAGACCTCAGTGGTCTGCTGGATGGTAGCAATCTTCTTCCAGCCCCACTTTTCAAAGAGTTTCACGCGGGTAGGGTTGTGGAGTGTGGCTGATGGGTGCGTTCGGAAGAAAGTGGGGAAACGCTGCCGGTTTGACAGGGCTGGTGAGCTGGAGCCATAGGAAAGCTGTGGGGCAGGGAGAGTGAGTGCAACAGGGTCTGTTCACTGAGGACACCAAGAGTGGCCAAGAGTTCCTTTAACCCTCTTCCTGCCTTTGGGTTTCTCTTCCTTACTCTCTCCAAACCTCCCCACCTCTGGTCTGCCTAAGGAAAAGAGATTCTCAAAGGCCCACACACCCCTCACAACCGGGATGCTCTTTCACTGATCTAATTTCAATTCCTTCTGAAGAAGGAGGTCAGCTGCAGCACTGTCAGGCCACTGTTGCTAGGAGGCTGCCTAGCTCAGGTCTGCAGAGGACTCTGAATCTTAGTAGCAGGTCCTCCACACTCCTTTTCAATACAAACCCACAATCGCCATCGTCCCTTCAGTAGAGCTCAAAAGGGAATGACCCCATCTTCTGACCCCCATAGCCCTGCTTACCACAATGAGGTTCCACATCCTAGCAGCCTCAGCCACCAGCGTGGAGACAGAGCTGCAGCCAGGCATAAGGATGATCTTGATAGGGTCGTTGTAGAGCAGCTCATATAGGTACTTGGTGGCTTGGCCTGGATCACACTGAAAGACAAGAGGAGATGAGGGCAAGCTCTCCTGGGGCCCCTCCCCTGTCTGCAATTCCTGCTCTTATCTTTCTCGAACAAATTAGTTCCTTTCTCAATTACTCACTTTCATCATTAATTACCGTTTTCTTCTCCTTTCTGGCATCTCTTCCTGTCAAGTGCCTTTTTTCTCCTCTTTCATTAAACTTCCTTCTCTGTCTTCCATCTGGAGCCTTACCCATCACCTCTCCTGCACACCCCTCCTTTGGTATTAATGAACATACCACCTTACCTCCTTTCAGCTCACCCTCAGACATCCCCCTTCCCTCTGTCACCAAGCCCTTTACCCCATGTTTCTATGCTTCAAACACCAGTGGGTGGAAGAAGTCAGTAGGAATACGGTAAACTCTTTCCACATCCCCAGATAGCTTGCTCAAAGCCATATTATGAAAATTCCTTCCTCACCTCTGCAAACCCCTTCTCCCCACCTTCCATTTGTTTCCTCCCTCTTCTCTTTTCAGAGCTAGTGATAAGTAAAGAGAGAACAGGAACAAGACCAGTAGGGGGTCCCGCTCAGTGATCCATCCCTCCTGCTGGGCGCTGACATTTGACAGGTCCATTAGAAAAAAAGACACTGGGGGGTGGAAGTAGGGAAGAATGTAGGATGAGGAAAGAACAGAGAGAATGAATAGAATGGAACTCTCAAGAAACCAGACAATTTGAGAGGTGCCTTAAAGAGAGGCTTGGAGCTAGGGAAAGTAAACAAGCAGAAAGCTGGAGAAGAAAGGAAGCTTGGGAGGAGGGGAAATGGGGGAGGAAGAGCCAGCCTTGGGTCTCCCACTGCCTGTTCCCCTCCCACTGATATATGACATTTCAGAAGCTGCTGGAACCCCAATGCATGTGAAGACGAAATGGCAGCCAGTGGGGAGCCAGGGCAGAGGGGACACAGACAGGGGGCTCAGGGGACTAAGGAGGGTGAAATGTTGCCAGGAGGGGAGGATAAGTAGAAAGGAAATAAAGAAAGCACTCTGGAGCCTGCTTACCTCCCACTGAGGCCTGACATTTGGGACACGGTGGGAAGTTGGAGAAGGGGGAGCCAGGGGAAGCTGTTGGAATCTGAAGAACCAGCAGTCACTGAGAATTCTCTGTTGCCCACCCTACCCTCACTCTGGCCAAGGGCAGTGCTCAACAACATTGGAAGGTTTTCTCTTTATGCCTCCCACTAGGGCAACTTTGTAAATCTTTACCATTCTCAGGACCCACCTTCCTGCACTCTCCCCACATCTATTACTCCAGATCCTGCTCCCAGCTTCTCCCACAGCCCCTCAGTGCCCCTCCACTTCTCTAAAGACAGGGTTAATAGGAACAATGAGGACATACAAGAACATATAAGATACATATCAACAGGGCAAGGCATGCCCCCCATTTTGTTTCCTGATTTCTTATCTACCTTTTCTTGCAACCGTTTCCCTCTTCCACACACTATTCATCACTGCAGATTCTCTCCACCACGTGATTCTCTCCCCCTCCCCAATAGATTTCCTTAGTTCTCCTCCCTCTCTTTGCTCTTGCAAGGATCTGGATTTGCAGGCAGGAAACCGACTCATTCCAATTGACACATTCTGGTTCTTCTGCCTTCCCATCCCACCCCGCTTGATGCCTCTGATGTTCTCCAGTTCCCTTCTCCCAGGTCCCACGTCTGCTCCCCGCCACCTCCAGGGAATCACCTGTCATGGTGGATGAGTTTGAGCTCACAGCCAGGCCTCCCCTATCTCCTGTGATCCCCTATCATAAAGCCTGCACCCATCTCTCCCTGTCATTTTCTTCACACTCCACTCCCCAAAACCAATGATCTCTCTGACTGTCCCAAGTCTGACCCTCTACCAGATCTGATCCTCTACTTCTCTTCCTGCCTCCCGTACCCTAATACCTAATTATTTTCCTGTACCCTGCTGCTCTTCCCATAGGCATTCTGGGGTTAGCTTACAGCTCAGGAATCCACCAAGATAGGATGTCTATTAGTAAAAATACAGATAAATACTTGGGATTCATCCCTGACCAAGGAGCTAGAATCTGTATTTTTAACAAACTCCTCTGGTGATTCTTATGTACACTGAAGGCTGAGAACCACGAGAAAGTAACAGTCAAAAAGGATTTTAAGTTCTCTTGCCAAGCTCCTGATAATCCTTGTGCTCTCTTCTCTTCAAGCACCCTACCTTCAACCTCACTTCTGTCCCCTCACACACCTATCCCAGACACACACCTATTTCTAGGTGTATAGTGATGTTCTAAAAATGAATATAAATCCTTGGATCACCCCAAGGTTGATATTTGGTAAGATCACCAAATTCTCACCTTGTGTACTCTATTTCACCCTAACCCAATTCCTTAAGTCTCTGGGGCCACATGTCAGTGAAGATAAATTTGAGATCTTAAATCTCCTTCCCTGTGTCACATCCTTCCCTGCACCCCCAATTATTCATGTAGGGGAGAGGGGTGGGAAAAAAAACCTCATTATAAGCTATCCCCTAATACCCCTGGACCCAAATTTGCTTACCTTCTCTCTCTCCCTCAACTCACCTCCCTAATCCCTACATCCCATTTCCCTTCTCACATCCTAGAGGCCACAATGCTATAAGGGAAGGGAAGGTCAGGACCCAAGTTCCATAAGGTGCCCCAAGATCTCTCATTATCCCCACGCTACCTCCTTGCCCCTCTCCCCCACTGCCATTCTTTTCTGTTCTCTTCTCCTTGTATGTTGACTCTTCTTCATCCCCATGCTATTGTGGGGGTTCCCATGTGGATCCCCAATCCAATTCATTTTCCCAGTGCCTCTGCCCACCTCTTGATCATTAGCCTTCCCCAATCACCATATGCCATCTATCCCACAGTCTGGGAATGCTCAACAGGGTTGGGAATAGAAGGATGAGAAGGAGTCAGGTAGGGCTCACCACTACCTTGCTGTTTTGTTAAGATAAATAAACTAGAGCTCTCAAGTCTCTCAAAATTTTCCTCATTCTGTCCCTATTCCTTCCAGCTCCAACCTACGCCAAGATTTTACCTTGTTACCATGGTAAATGTAAACCCCCAATCCAGCTCCCCACCTCTGACATTCCCTCCACCCCCAACCCATTCCAGGGTTAGTTTACTCCCTCAGAGGATCAGTGTCTCCTAATACCTTAAATCCACCACCAGTTTCTCCAAACCCCGACACTTCTGCGAGACTCCCGCAGCGGGGCAGAAGGGTCTGCCTTGCAGCATGCTTAACCATCTTGAGCCCCTAGACCCTCATCTTGGACCTCCAGCCCCTGCGACTCTCCCCAAGCTCCTGCACCCCCAGCCCATCTCCTGCCAGTCACACAAGGGAGGGGTCTGCCTCGCAATCCCAGAGACGACTCAGACAGATGGGGGCGCGTGCAGCTGGCTGGCCCCCTGCCCCGCAAGCCCCCACCTCCCACCCACCCCCATGTCCAGGGCTACCTTGCTGTCGTGGTGGATGAGCTTGAGCTCATAGTCCGGCAGGATGTCCCTGCGGCTATTCACGTCCTCCAGCGCCATCTCCACCGCGGGCTGGCAGGCCTGGCCCCCTGGCCAGCCCCCGCTCATGGGAAACAGTGCCCCGATGTACACTGCGCGCCGTTCTGAGGAGGGGTGCGGGGGGACCCGCGAGTGAGGCCGCGGGAGATGGGGGGAGTGGGAGGCCCACACCGGAGCCACCCCTGCCGCCATCACAACCAGAAGCGGCAGTGGCCACCCCACCCGGGCAAAAGGGGCCCCGGGCCCCATGGCGTGGGGGGCAGGGGTAGCTGTTGGGGAGCGTTAGGAGCTCAGGGGGGACACTTTTCCTGGGGAGGGCTGCTAAGAGGGTGCCGGGGAGGCGCCTCCATCCCTGATTTTGTGGGGAGGAGGGGGCGAGGGCCCCGGAGAAGCAGGGAAGGTTGGCTTCCTACGGCCCCCGCGGCTCTCGCCACCGTCGCCGCCACCGCGGACTCTCCTCGCGGACTGACTGACCGACGGAGGGGAGGAGGAGGAGCAGGAGGGAGATGTGGGGCTGGGAGGGGGCTCTGACGTCACGGGCGGCGCGCGGCAGCGGGGGGTGGGGGGGCGGGCGGGAGCTGGGGAGGCAGGAAGGGGGCGGGGAGGGAAGCGAGCGCCGAGGTGGGAGCGACAGTCGGAGGGGCGGGGAGGGGAGGGGGGATGCAACCTCGAGGAGGAAAGGAACGAAAGAGGAAGGGAGGGATCTCACTTAAGGGGACCCGAGGGGAGGAGAAATGGGGACGGGGCGTGCCAGGAGGGCGGGGTGGGCGGAGGGAGCCGCGGGAGGCTGAAGCACGGAGGAACCAGGGTAGGAAGGGAAGGATGCGAGTGGGACGGGAGAGAAACGGGGCTGGCGCCTGAGGTCTGAAGTGGGAGTATGAGTCGATACAGTGAAGCACTGAGGATGTGGGGGAGAGGAAACGGTTTTGGAGGGAACGAGTTGGGTACGGAAGGGAGGCTGGTTTGAGGGAGTGGTGGGGTCGTGGAAGGGAGCCTGGGGCTGGGTAGACAGAAGCCTAAGAAAGGGAGACAGGACATGGAATTGAGAAAAGACGAGGGAAGGGGTACACGGAAGGAAAAGATGTGGGGAAGAGCGCGAGAGGCCTGGCCAGGGTTGGGATGGGTGGGACAGGCTGAGAAAGTCCATTAGGTGAAATCCTAGGAGGCAGCAGGCTGGAAAAGGTTCCAGCGAAGGTCGCAAGGAACCCCACAGGGGAAAACGTGGTGGGAGCTCAGGGTCTCCCAGCACCCTGCCGCCCTCTGCTGGGCTCTGCCTGACACCGGCGAGGCTCAGTCTGGGAGGAGGTGGAGCCCAGGGAAGTGTAGCCAAGCAGGGACAAGGAGAGACCGCAGCCTCGTGGAAAACCGGGACTGGAGGCAGGAAACAGGTAGGGAGGGAAGGGGGTGGCCGCAAACTGGGGTGGGTTGGGGAAGGTGCGAAAGGACGACGCCCCGTAGCCTAAGGGCAGAATTTCAGGGGGGTGGAGGGTGCAGAGTGAAGGGGAGGGCATTGCAGTGCGCGCGGTAAGGGTTTCTCATCTCACCTGAGTGTGGCGTTCGATTCACTGGCAGCAGGAAAGACGGGGATCAGAGAAGAGTTACCACTGGCGCCCAGCTTCCCTGGCCTGATCCCCAGCCCCCTCCCACACCTGTCCATGCTGAAGACCGGGGAGAGCAGAAGCCTGCGTTTCTGAGGGGAGGGTGCCTGGGGATAAGAACAAGGTGGGTCTGGGGGTAAGGGGGTCAGGACTTATTTTCTTCTTCGATTTTTCATAGGACAACAGAATTTGAGACGGGAATGCCAATAGCTAAGTTTGGGGCAGATCTTGGTTCTGTGGTGCCTGAATATTACAAAATTGGGAGTCTTTAAGAAAAAAAATTACACATACAATTGGCTTTAAGCAATTGCTGTTAAAATCTTATTTCTGCAATTTTTACAAAAGCCTGTTACCATATGAACACATATCCATCGAGCCCTCTATATTATTAGAGCACAGGAAGAGGGCCCTGTAGGTGAGGAACCTTGAAGTCTAAGTTTCAGTAGTGTCATAAGTCCACCCCTGGATGGGACTCTCAATTTCCAGAATAAAATGGTAAACTAGAAGCAGAATAACTGAGTTATGTGAGGAAAGTAAAGCCCAAGGATCTTGAAAGAATCTACCAGGGTAGAGGAAGTATGAGGCATACAAATGGGATGACTGCATCCCAGGAGAGAAGATGGCAGAGAGTTCGGGTGCCTAGAAAAGGGAGAGTTTGTAAAATTACGTGGCAAAAAAAAAAAAAAAAAAGTAGACAGACACAACACTGATTCCCTTAGGGAATAATGGAGGTTGTCTAGGAAGTACAGAAAAGGACCTGTCTTCTTCCCACCCCATCCCTGAGTTGTTCTTCATCTTCTGATAATGCTGCCTCCAATTTTAAGTCTTTTACCCTAATATGTTTCCACCCCCAGAGCTCCCCTTCTCAATTTTTCTTAGTAGAATGTTTGATTTATTTCTGAGTCTTTACAATAAATCAATTATATAAGGAATGGTGAGGGATGAATTCTAGAAGAGGGTGATGCATGGAAATTTCTAAGTTTAGAGAAAGGGAAAATTGGAGTATTTAAACCTGAAGAAGGTGAGAGAGGTGAGATTCATAAAGGAAAAGAGAAAACGTGAGGTCTAAGAATCGGGAGCAGGAAGATTTTTTTAAAAGGTAAAGGAAGGAAGCCCCCAACCTACAGAGGATACCGGGGACTGCAAGAGGAAGTTTGAGGCAGGTGATGGAGGAAAAAGGGACTTTCATCTCCCCTTTCCAGTGTCCTCCCCCACATTTTTATAGCTCTCCATTCTTTCCCATTATCCATTCCCACCCCACTCCCATCCTCACACAAGCGTCCTCATCAGCTGCATGCAGGCAGCTGTTCCCCTCACCCTGGCAGTGGGGCTTGGGGGTGCTCCACTGGCCCTGACTACAGATGCTCCGGGAGCTGCCCACCAGATGGAAGTCGGGGTCACACCGGAAATCCACCCGGGCTCCGTCCAGAGCTGGGAGGTCCCCACCCGTCAGGAAAACCTTCCCATTTTCCAGGGTCAAATAAGACTTGGAGCAGATTCGGACTGTGGAGAGATAGGAAAATAAGAAGAGAGGCGAGTTGAAGAAGGCTCTTTCCCTTTAAAGAGCAGGGGACTCAGGTGCAGGTTTGGGTCCACAAGCATCCTGCTCTAAAGAAAATCACATGTGAAAAGGATTTGCCTACCTATCTTCCAATCCTCCCTTACCTGTGCAAGCATCCACACATTCCCAAAAGAAAAAAAAAATTACCATTTTAGGAACCCAAGATGGGGCTATAAGCACACAAAATGGGATCTCTTCAAAGTCAGCTACAGTGGGCGGTTCTCTGGCTTTGAAATATGTAGATGTATATAACTTTGGATGCACAATCAGATTTGCTTTTCTTATTATAGTTGGCTTCTATTAATATTAAACTGGCTTTTGTTTCTTGGGCATATGGTCTCTGGGTTGGTGACAGAGGTATTCAAAAATGTGATGAAATCATTTTAGAATTTTTTTGTCATCATCTGCCACTAATGATCCTCAAAGAGAATAACTGACAAGATGAATTATCAATGTTATAGGCCAATGATCAGTGGCCTAATGAAGGGAGGATGAAATGAACTGTGCAGGCTGCTAGCTCTACTACCTCCAACCGCACAGAGCAAAATTGCTCTTATGTAGTAGTCATTCAATAAATGTATTTGTGAATTTTGGTATACTGGATTTAAAGTGCTGACTTGCAAGCAGTAATGCTAAGTTTGCGGCAGGAAAAGGAATAGTCTTGAAGAGGGGAGGGGCTTCCGAGGCTACTCACCACAGCGGCTGGGTGTGTCCATATCTGTCCAGGAGCCGTTGGCCAGGCACTTGCGGACCTTGGGCCCCACCACCTCGCGCTCCCCCCGGCACACATACTCAATCTCATAGTCCACTGGCAGGAAGTTGATAGCCTTCACCTGGTCCCGAGTCAGGCCCCGGTACCTGATGCCCCCTTCCCAGGGCGGGTGTATGATCTGGCAACCTAAGGGGTGAGTCGGGGAGGCATACAGAGAGGAATGGTGGGAAAGAGGAAAAGGCAGGCTCCCCAGTGGGAGGAAGGGGAGAGTAGGGCGTGGTCTGTGGGCAGGCTGGGGACAGAGGAAGAGGGATGGGGCACTAGAGGGTGGGAGTGGGGACAGGTACAGATCCCCTGGCTAAAGGACAGAGAGTAAAGGGCCAGGGTTAAAGCTGATGAGAGAACCCACAAGTGGGGAGGGAAGGGTGCTGGGTGGAGGTAAGAAAGAAAAGTAATTAAGAAATCATGAAGGGTATGATATGTGGGTGGAGCTTTTCTTTAAAAAAAAAGGCTAAATGAGGATATTCGAGTTGAATTAGGATAGGAGGATAAAGGGAGGCTAATAAGATCATCTGGACAGCAAAGTGGGACCAAGAAAAGGGAGTAATTGAGGTAGTAATGTGGGGCTGGGAAAGGGGATTGAGGCGGAGAAAATGCACAGGAAGGTGGTATAGTGTAGCAATGTGGGCAGAGAAAAGAGGTGCTGGATAGTAACGTGGGGTGACAGAAGGAGGTCAGCAGTAGTAAAGTCGGGCCGAGCAGAAGGGGTTGCCAGACCGGGATGATATGTGGGACTGATGGGATAGTGATGAGGACCAGAAATGAGGAGATGCAGGGAAAGGGAAGTGGAGCGAAGGAGGGCCGGAGGTCGTCGAAGAAGGATGCACCTTCTGAGGTGGCGTTGGGGGTCTGCGCCCCGCCCGCGCCCGGGGGGCGGAGGAAGAGTGGCGCCAGTAGCAGCAGCAGCAACATCTAAGTGAGAGGCGGCCATGAGGACTGGACCGAGCCCCGCCGGCGCGGCCCGCACCCGGAGACTACTCGACCTCTTGCCGGTTGCCTCGCAGGCTCCGACCGGGCTCAGCCTGGGGACCAAGAGAGCGCCCCGCGGAGGAGGCGGGGGCGGAGCCCCGCGCGGGGTGGGGGGAGAGGAGGAGAGAAAGCCTGTCCCCACCCTCCTCCTGCCTCCCTCGGCCCCCAACCCTCCCGGGACTCCACCTCTCACCACCTCCTCTCCCCCGGCCCCCGCGGCTCGCAGAAGCCTGGCTTACCCACGCTCCCGGCATCGGCCGCCTCAGCGCTCCCCGATTCCATCCCCGCGGTTCCTCCTCTCCCCCAGCCCCGCTTCCCCCAGCTGGGCCCTGCGCCCACTGCCCCCTCCCCCACCACGCCGCGCGCCCCCTCTCCGAGCCCTGCTAACCCGGGGCCCTGGCTCTTACCTCGGCGCGCGGGCCCGGCTCCCCGGCTCTCCCCGGGCCTCAAGGCCCCAGGCCCGGCCGCTCCTCCCCGCTCCCCCCTCCCTTCTCCTCCACCTTTCTCCTCCTCCCGTCCCTCCTCCCCTCGAATCCAGGCTCCAGCCTGGCCAGGGTCTCTCCCCTCCTCTCTCGCTTCCCCCAAACCCCACCCCTGTCTCTTCTTCCCCGGGGCGGCGGCAGCCACGGGAGCGGGGAGCGGGGAGCCGGGAGGGAAGGAGGCGGCGCCGGGGACCAGGGAGAGCTCCCGGGCGGAGGGAAGAAGGAGGGTGCAAGGGAAGGCAGGGCGGGGGGAAGAGAGGGGAAGACCGGGGAGAGGGCGCCTCCCACAACCCGAGCCCCGGGAGCCGCCCCGGATCCCAGCCCCGCCCTGGACCGCCCACAGCGCGGTGGGGCGGGCGGTGGAGAGGCGCGGGGCTGAGAGGTGGGGGAGAGGGAGGTGCCCTGGTGCACACGCACTCGTCGGGGGGCGCCGGTCACTGCCGAGGGACCTGCGGGCCAAACAACTGGAAGCTGGGGTGGGGGAGAGGGAACCCGAGCCAAAGGCAGAGGAGCTGGCGCTGAGACAGGGAGTCTGGGATGAAGGTGGAGAAAGACGGCTGCACAAAGAGAAGGCAGCCCTAGATCCGGGTGAGAGGAGAGAGGCAGAGGCAGATGCCCAGGAGAACTGCGACCGGAGGGCGAGAAAGAAGCCTGGGTCAGAAGGAGGTGGGGGAGGGGGACTGAGGACCACCTAAGCGCAAGAAGGGTTGGGTGTAGAAGAGATTTCTGGGAGACTAGAGCAGCTCCATGGTCCAGCAGCATTGCTACTCGCCTGCTCTGCAGGGAACGCGCAGAACGGATTGGAGGCAAAAAACAAAACAGGGAGGGGGACATCAAGGAGAGAAATTGAAGTACGAAGGGAGTAAAAGGACAAGAGAAAAGAACCTCAGGGTGGTTTAGAAGCCAGTATTACCTGATGTACTCCAGCAGAGCCTAGCAAACAGTATTTCTTGACCAAGGGCAAACTGGAAGCTCTAAAGACAGCAGGTACAGACCTTTTTGACGGCTCCAGAAGCTCTTGGCTATACCTTGAAGTGGAGGGGTGTGTGTGTGTGTGTGTGTGTGTGTGTGTGTGTGTGTGTTGTGCTGTTGTTGTTCGTAGGCCTGAGTTTGGGCTGGGAGAGGAAACAGTGGGCTCCTTGTTGGGGGGGACAAAAAAAAAGCTGCTTTCTGGCTGGTCCTAGGGGGAAAAATGGTAGGAAGAAACCAAACACTGAGAGACTGACTAGAATTGAGATTCTCAACCTCCAACCCTTTTTTACAATAAATATTTTGTAATGACACTTTTACTGTCCTAAATTGAGATTCATAGATGAGGCTCACGCCTGAAATCCCAGAACTTTGGGAGGCCGAGGCGGACTGATCACTTGAGCTCAGGAGTTTGAGACCAGCCTGGCCTGGCCAGCATGGCGAAACCCCATCTCTACTAAAAATAGAAAAATTAGCGTGGTGTGATGGTGTGCGCCTGTAATCCCAGCTGAGACACCAGAATCGCTTGAACCCGGGAGGCAGAGGTTGCAGTGAGCCAAGATCGCACCACTGCACTCCAGCCTGGGTGACAGAGCAAGACTCCATCTCAAACAAAAAGAAAGGGAAGGAGGGAGAGAAAGTCATAGATGATATAACCTACCTACATACACAACTTTAAACAGAAAGCAAAATGCTTCCCTTTCTGTAACGTAAAGGGGAAATGAAAGAAAAGTAACTTGCAATAAAATAACATAAACAGTATTTTAATGTGTGAGTGCCAAGGCCCGACTACCCTAGAAGTCCTGATGGAGTAAGCAGATGCTTCCACCTATTCACAGAACCACGGGGATGAAACTGCTACCAACACAGGCTGATCCAGGTGCTGAGTTGGTGACTCAACTACCTCCAGCATGTTGCCATCAATGAAGTGATTTAACAAAATGTTGAACAACTCTTGGTAGCAAAGTTAATTTTCCCTAATTTTACACACAACTATAATTGCATTCCTAGAAAGTTCACTGTATATTTAAAAAAAAATTTTAAAACTGTATTAAGTTATAGGCTCAGATAATTAAACACAGGTTTTCACTACGTGAATGTCCTGGGGGACTTTTGAGAATCTGGGTGAGGAACAATTCTTCAACATGTAGGTAGTGCTTTGAAGAATATCTTACACCTCTGCCCCAACCATAAATGTCAATAGTGCCCCTTCCCTTATCACCTGAGGTTGGGAGTTCGAGACCAGCCTGACCAGTGTGGAGAAGCCCCAACTCTACTAAAAATACAAAATTAGCCAGGCATGGTGGTGCATGCCCGTAATCCTAGCTACTCAGGAGGCTGAGGCAGGAGAATCACTTGAACCCGGGAGGCGGAGGTTGCAGTGAGCCAAGATCATGCCATGCCATTGCACTTCAGCCTGGGTGACAAGAGTCAAACTCAGTCAAAAAAAAAAA
This sequence comes from Homo sapiens, assembly GCF_000001405.40. Taxonomy (NCBI): domain Eukaryota; kingdom Metazoa; phylum Chordata; class Mammalia; order Primates; family Hominidae; genus Homo; species Homo sapiens. The sequence goes on from NT_167248.2 coordinate 900,861, forward strand.
AAAAAAAAAAACAGCTAAAAGATGCATCAAAATGTTAACAAGGATTGCCTCTGGGCCATTAATTGTTGCATAACTTTTCTTTTTTACTTTTTTTTTTTTTAAACAAGAAGTTTATTTAAACAACAAGACGCTTGACTTGAAGGGAAAACTATCTAGGATTCTTTTTTGTTTTAGAGTAATTTATCCCTACTTAAAGACAGATTGCTCTGCATGTAACAGCTAAGTACAAAAAAGTTATAAAATTGTCCTTGGTTTTACAATGATAAATGAAAAACATTAAAATTCTCCAATTGAACAAGGTATGCAAGGATTTTTATGTTGTTGTTTTTTTGTTGTTGTTGTTAAAACAGTGAGAGCAAAATAACTTACTGGAATATAAAGATAAGAGCTGAATGAGCATGCCACTAATGGAGAAAGGGGGTATTTTCACAGAATCAGTATTTTCCCCCCCGTCTCCACTTGATGTCAATCAAAACATACCATTGGCTGTTTAGTTTTAAAAAAAAAAAGTAATATGCTTGTGCACATATACCAGTTACTTTATGTACAGTAAAGGAATGGGGAAGGGGGAAATGAAAGAATAGAGAAAACTATACGGTAGTAGTCAGGATGTGGTGGAAGCAAATTGCAGTTTTCTAATTGAGAATGTAATCTTGGTCTTTAAAGAACAGAGTTCTGGAGTAAAGAAGCAGGTTCCCTTTTCAGTAGACACCTCCCGTCTGCTGTTGGAACACATCAATTGTATCTTCATCCTCCATTTCCAACTGTGCAGGTGTGTCTGTTTCATTGGTTGCCCGTCGAATCGGAATCTGATCTGCCTCATTGACAATCCCTGTCGTTCACAATAGGCTTTCATTAGTTTACTAAGTGGTGTATGCCTCTTAATCTTAAACTGCACCACAGAACCATCCTGCCCCGCCACCTTCAAATTAATATGATCGTTGTTCTCAGTCTTGACTCCTTCCTTGGGCTTTTCTTCGGCCATGGCGAGCGCCGGAGTCTCCTCAGCTGCCGCTTCACAAAAGAGGTACCAGGTCCGCTCCAAACGAGCACACAAGCAGCACCAGGAGCGGCAGAAGAAGGAGGCGGCAGCAGTGGACAAGGGGAGAGGGTGCGCGCACGTCGTGCTCTCCCTCCCTCCACCCTCACTTTTCTTTTTTTTTCTTTCTTTTTTTTGGTGGGGGGACGGAGTTTCACTCTTGTCACCCAGGCTGGAGTGCAATGGCGTGATCTCGACTGACGGCGACTTCCGCCTCCCGGATTCAAGCGATTCTCCTGTCTCAGCCTCCCGAGTAGCTGAGACTACAGGTGCACACCACCATGGCTGGCTAAATTTTGTATTTTTAGTAGAGACAGGGTTTCACAATATTGGTCAGGCTGGTCTCGAACTCCTGACCTCAGGTGATCCACCTGCCTCAGCCTCCCAAAGTGCTGGGATTACAGGCATAAGCCACTGTGCGGGGCCTGCACACTTTTCTTTCGTCATATTTGTTGTTCAACTTTTATTCAAATGTTTTACAAGTGTCTCCTCTATAAATCATTTTTAATTGATTTATAAAGGTTTAAAGAAAACCTTCCTAGCAAGTTGCATCAGTATAGCTAAAATCTGTTACTTGTTTGGGAGGCAGAGGCATTTGAGGGTACAGACAAGGGCTCCAATTATGTTCATTATACAAACCACTCACCTTTTTCCACCAGTAGCTACAACTTCCCCCTTTCACATCTTTTCATATTCCAATGTCACTGCCAGGATTCCTGGCCATATTTTTCAGGATATTTGTAGAGGTCCTTCCAGAACCACTACTTGAGTATCCTAATTTCATCCTCCCCACAATCAATCTACTTCCTTCTTTTCCTTTTACATCAAGCACAAAACTTCTTTCCTCTGGAAGGATCCCCAGGCTTGATCCCATCCTTCTCTCACTTCTGTACAATTTGTGCCTTTGGCAATGCCATCTCCTTTTGTAGTTTTTGACGGTTTTTCATAGAGATAGTGGAGTTCCTACTCAGATTACTGGAAAATGACAAATCTTATTCATTTTAGTTCCCATACTTTCTTTTTTTTTAATAATTTTTATTTTTTATTCTTATTTATTTATTTTTATTTTATTTATTTATTTATTTTTTGAGACAGTCTCACACTGTCGCCCGGGCTGGAGTGCAGTGGCGCGATCTCGCTCACTGCAACCTCTGCCTCCTGGGTTCAAGCAATTCTCTTGCCTCAGCCTCCTGAGTAGCTGGGAATTACCGGCGCCCCACCACCACGCCCAGCTAATTTTTTGTATTTTTAGTAGAGACGGGGTTTCACCATGTTGGCCAGGCTGGTCTCAAACTCCTGACCTCATGATCTGCCCGCCTCAGCCTCCCAAAGTGCTGGGATTACAGGCATGAGCCACGGGGCCTGGCCTCCCATACTTTCTTTCTACTTCCTTTTCTCTCTTCTGCCTCATCTTCCATCCATCCCTGAGAGCATATAGCCCAGAATTTAACACTCTGGGAGCCCTGAAAACATATTAACCAACGTAGTTCACTTGATTGATGATCAGGTAGATGCTAGGTACATTTTGGGAGTATCTCATTAAATTCTCACCTAACCACACAGAGTGGATATTCATGTTCTATACTGAGCCTAGTAAACTACCATTTAAAGAAAGTAAGAAGCAAATCAGAGGTCACACAGCTATAAAGCTGACAGAGCCAACATTTGAACTTAAGTTCGTTACCCTATTTTCAAATTCTTTCTACTGCATTGAGAGGCTTAGTTTTGAGGCACTTCTCTCACCCAACTCCCACTCCAAGTCTTTTTCTTTCTTTCTTTCTTTCTTTTTTTTATTGAGACGGAGTCTTGTTCTTTTGCCCAGGCTGGAGTGCAGTGGCACAATCTCGGCTCACTGCAACCTCCGCCTCCCGGGTTCACACCATTCTCCTGCCTCAGCCTCCCGAGTAGCTGGGACTACAGGCGCCCGCCACCATGCCCGGCTAATTTTTTTGTATTTTTAGTAGAGTCGGGGTTTCACTGTGTTAGCCAGGATGGTCTCGATCTCCTGACCTCGTAATCCGCCCACCTCGGCCTCCCACAGTGCTGGGATGACAGGTGTGAGCCACCACACCCGGCTCCAAGGCATTTTCTGTCAAGGGTCAAACTGCAGTTCTATTCTCTCATCTAAAGTAGTGGTGATCACTGGGTGAATGGAAGATGTTCATGTCCTCTTGGGTTAGGATGAAAGACCTGTCTTCTGGGAGAGTTTTCTGTCCTGTAACAGCTCTTGCTCTTTAGAAAAATGTATAGGGCAAAGGTTTATTATTCAAACGTGAAGTTATTTACACTCTGGGATTCACTCTGGCTTTTTAGTGAGGTTTTGAATCCTTTGCATCATATTTAATATCACTAAAATAGGATATTTTTGTGAAACTGTTTGATCCTTCCCCTCAGTTTCCATTTGTGTGTTCTCTTTCTTCCCGTCTTGATAGGCACAGGCACTCAGAATCACTGGGCCAGAAAGAAGTAAGAGAGTAGGCCGGGCACGGTGGCTCATGCCTGTAATCCCAGCACTTTGGGAAGCCAAGGCGGGCAGATCACGAGGTTATGAGATCAAGACCATCCTGGCTAACACGGTGAAACACCGTCTCTACTAAAAATACAAAAAAAATAATTAGCTGGGCGTGATGGTGGGCGCCTGTAATCCCAGCTACTTGGGAGGCTGAGGCAGGAGAATGGCGTGACCTGGGAGGCGGAGCTTGCAGTGATCAGAGATCGAGCCACTGCACTCCAGCCTGGGCGACAAAGTGAAACTCCGTCTCAGGAAAAAAAAAAAAAAAAGAGAGAGAGTAAGGGAACATCTTTCGTTAATAAACCCTCTCTATTGCTCCCCACACACAATCCTAGTTTGGTTGCTGTCTTCGTCTGTTTGGGCTGCCATAACAAAATCTCTTGCACCGGGTAACTTATGAACAACAGAAATGTATTTCTGACAGTTCTGGAGGCCGGGAAATCCAAGATTAAGGCACTGGCAGATTCAGTGTCTGGTGAGGGCTGGCTTCCTCATAGACTGCCATCTGCCATCTGCGATCTAGCTGTGTCTTCACATGGTGGAAGGGCAAACAAGCTCCCTGGGGCCTCTTTTAGAAGGGCACTAATCTCATTTGCAAAAGTCCCCACCACTTAATACCACATTGCATTGGGGATTAGGTTTCAGAACATGAATTTTGGGGGAACACAAACATTCAGACCATAGCAGTTGTACATTCTTGGCAGTTCTGGCCTTGGTTTATTGTGCCAATAAAAGTAAGCTCATGAAGCTATTTCTATCATGTCTTTACAGGCATGTACAGGTGAGCCCAGTTTGGGAGTCACAAAACTTCAGTGAAATTAAAAAGCCACACTATGAGTACCTGCACTAGCACTTACCACTCTCACACACAAGAATCCCTGAGGCAGTGGGGATCCTACCCCTGTCTCAGGAGTGCACAGAGCCAATAACCAAATTACAACATTGACATTGTGAAGTTGCCTCTAGAAATAATTTCTCAATAAGTACACCTTTATATAATAAGTGAATGAACACAATGTAATTAAATGCTAGATTAACCTAAGAAACAAAAAGGAAAATAGCTTCTTTGTCCGTTCATCTACAGGATAATGAGGTCATGTTAAAAGACTTAGAAAAGGTTCAGTTCTCCTGCCGGGCGCCGTGGCTCATGCCTTTAATCCCAGCACTTTGGGAGGCCTAGGCGGGCGGATCACCTGAGATCAGGAGTTTGAGACCAGCCTAACCAACATGGAGAAACCACCCATCTACTAAAAATACAAAATTAGTCGGCCATGGTGGTGCATGCCTGTAATCCCACCTACTCGGGAGGCTGAGGCAAGAGAATCGCTTGAACCCAGGAGCTGGAGGTTGCAGTGAGCTGAGATTGTGCCATTGCACTCCAGCCTGGGCAACAGGCAAAACTGTCTCCAAAAAAAAAAAAAAAAAGGTTCAGTTCTCATAAACACAAATTTAATGAGCATTTTGAAGATCTCAAAATAAGTATTATATTTAATTAAACGTGTAATTAAGTATATACTGGTATGAATATCTACAAATAATTATTCATACTAATCTGAAAAACGTATGCATCATAATGTGTGTATATAATTGGTTGCTAGGGGATTTGTTTGTTCATTTTGCTGCAATAGATTTCTGTCTCTCGTCATATTCTGTTCAAGTACCTAAAATGATTGCTCACTTATTCGAAGCACACTAATGAAATAATACTCAGAGTAAAAGGATATATCACCCAGATTTTTCTATTAGAAGCTACACAATACTCAAAAATCTATCATTTAATATGTGTATGCAGGTCTAAAGCCCATAATAAGCAAAAATATATTTTCACGTTAAATGTATGGCTATTTACACTAGATGAGGTAAAGAAAGACTATAAATAGCTTCACATCTCGTTTTGTCACAGAATGAATGCAAGTCAGGCCAGGCTTTGCCGCCAAATGAGTTACAAAATTTTGGTTTTCAGAGTATTGTGAATTTTGGAATTGCAGAAAAGGATATGTGAAACTGTTTATAAACATGAGAAGATGTTTACAGATAGATGTTTTAGAAGTCAAATGAACAAATCTGAAGCAACAGACTAGAAATTCTATTCATGGAAATATGATAAAAATGCCAGTAAGAGGGCTGGGCGTGGTGGCTCACACCTATAATCCTAGCACTTTGGGAGGCCGAGGCGGGTGGGTCGGAGTCCGAGACCAGCCTGGGCAACATGGCGAAACCCCATCTCTACCAAAAATACAAAACCCCGTCTCTACCAAAAATACAAAAAATCAGTTGGGCATGGTGGCAGGTGCCTGTAATCCCAGCTACGGGGGAGGCTGAGGAAGGAGAATTGCTTGAACCTGGAAGGCAGAGGTTGCAGTGAGCCGAGATCACACCACTGCGTTCCAGCCTGGGCGACAGAGCAAGACTCCATCTCAAAATAAAATAAAATAAAATAAAATAAATTTTAAAATGCCAGTAAGGATCTCCATAAAGGCTATGTATGAAAACCTGACCATGTCACATCCATGACCCTATTACAGCAGGTCAGATTAATCTTACCCTAGTCCAGAGAACCACGGGAACCACTGAGTCCTAGTGGAGGGAAAGCCTGGAACAGATGTGAAGCAAGCTTGGCTTTTAGCAATTGAGAGTAAACAAACACCTGCTGAGTTTACTCTTCCTTGCCTGTCTTTCTAAGCCATCACTCTGAAGACCTAAAAAGCAGACATGACTCATACACACCTTCAGATGCTTTCAGTATTTGTTACACCTAGATCTGTGCAGAAACTGAATACCTTATTGGTGCATAATTTACAAAGAATTCTCACATTAGCTCTTCTAATTCTTTCTGTTGTTTCTATATGATAATATCTCCATTTGTCAGATAGGAAAACTGAAGCTCAGAAAGTTTGAATGAACTTCATAAGATCACACAGCCAATAAATACCAGAGCTTGGCCTCAAAGTCAAGTCTCAGGTCCTTCTGCCCTTCACTAACAGTGCTCCAGCCATGGTCGTCTGACTGCTGTTCTTTAAACTTCCTTAACTTTCAACTCAGAAACCAAACACACCCAGCTCCCTCTGCCTGGGCGTGGTGCTCTGTTCAGCCTCCTCACCCCACACCCATGTTGCTAACAGCTTAAATGGCACCTCCTCAGTAAAGCCTCCCCTGAATTCCCCAGACTTAGAACACTGTTTCCCCAATCCCACTAGCCACTCTCATATATGGCATACTGTAGTCATTGTTTTGTTTGTTTGTTTTTTAGAAAGAGAGAGAGAGAGAAAGAAAAGAAGAAACGAAAGAAAAGAAAAAAAGAAAAGAAAAGAAAATCAAAATCCATGTGGGTGTGGTGGCTCATGCCTGTAATCCCAGCACTTTGGGAGGCCGAGGCAGGCAGATAGCTGAGGTCAGGAGTTCCAGACCAGCCTGACCAATATGGTGAAACCCCGTCTCTACTAAAAATACAAAAATTAGCTGGGGGTGGTGGTGCATGCTAAAGGGAAGGGAAGGGGAAGGGGAAGGGAGAGAGGAAGGAAGGGAGGGAGGAAGGAAGGAAGGAACTTATCTCCGTCTGGGTAACATGAGGAGACCCTGTCTCTAACAAAAATTAAAAATATTAGCCGAGTGTGGTGGCATGAGCCTGTAGTCCCAGCTACTTGGGAGGCTGAGGCAGGAGGATCGATTTAGCCTAGGAAGTCAAGGTCAGTAAGCTGCGATCATGCCAATGCACTCCAGCCTGGGTGACAGAGAGAGATTCTGTCTCAAAATAAAAATAAAACCACAAAACTTATCTCAGTGGTAATTAAGGTAACTGTGGAATCGTGTATTTACATTTGCCTTCCTGACCAGACCATAAACTCCAGGAGGGCAGGGATTTTGACTATGTGGCTCATTTTATCCCACTAAAAGAGCTACATATTTTCTGACTCAGAGATGAGTTTCATTCCATTGTACAGAATGATCACACCAGTTTCCAAGTCTATTAATCTAGCGGTCTCTGTTGTTTGTTGAAGACCTACTAGGTATTGGTAAAATGGGTTGCTTTGTTCCATGGGCCATAATAGTGACACATTCTAAACACATTTAAGTCATTCCACCCTATAAGTTACAGGATAATAATAATAATAGCATTTATTTTACTATAACCAGTTTTGGGCTGTGTGTTTTACTTGGATTGTCTCACTTGCTCCTTATAGCATTCTCTGATATAGATATTAGTCTTCCCATTTACAAAATGGGAAAACTGAAACTCAAACATGTTTAATAATCTGCACAGTGTCTCACATGTAACAAGCCAACATGAGATTACTGATTCCAAAGACCCTGCTCAGCCCAATGACAAGATGTGGAAAGCACCCTCAAGGCACCCAGGGGTCTCTCTCCCTGAGAGTCCTGTGCATATCAGCAATGCTGCTAAGGATTAAATCACTGCGGTTATCACTATGTGGGTAAGATTTCTGTTAGTAGAAGATCCAGAAGATTCACCCTGCCATAGAGCAGGGGGCCTTGGCTGAGCCATAGGCAGAATCACTCTCCAAAAAGACTTACCAGTGTTTATCTGAATATTTTCTTTTAGCAATAACTTTACTTACTTGCGTTATTTGTAGGTGCTGCCATTTTGCTGTCCATGATGCTACTATGCTCAGTACCCTTACTGTACTGCCCAGTAGCCCTTACCATTAGCAAACTAAAGCTTCCTCACCAGCATTAGACCTGGCAAGACCTCTGTGCATCCCCCACCACCCATGAGTATTTTGATAGCATTGCAAGTATAATCTCTGGTGCATGCACAAATTCTGCTCCACATAGCAGCGCTAATGGTGGCCCACATCGGGAATAGGAGTAGAGCAAGATGTTACCAGGAAGAGGGCCTTACTTCTCTTCTCTCTCTTCTCGCTGCTTTTTTGTTTGTTTGTTTGTTTGTTTGGTTTGTTTTGTTTTTTAGATGGAGTCTTGCTCCATTGCCCAGGCGAGTGTAGTGGCGCAATCTCAGTTCACTGCAACCTCTGCCTCCCAGGCCTGTCCCAGCCTCCCGAGTAGCTGGGACTACAGATGCCTGCCACCACGCCTGGCTAATTTTTGTGTTTTTAGTAGAGATGGGGATTCACCTTGTTGGTCGGGCTAATCTCAAACTCCTGACCTCAGGTGATTCACACGCCTTGACCTCTCAAAGTGCTGGGATTATAGGCATGAGCCACTACGTTCAGCCATTCGCTGCTCTTAAGAAAGTACTTTTCCAAAGATCATTCTCCTTGGTCTTATCTTAAGATCCTGCTATGAAATAGGGACACGGGTGGAAAATTTTCACCTGTGCCTGCAGCAAACTTTCATTCTGTCTGAATAATTATAAGTAGGATGGGGGAGGGGAGAAGAAAAAGAAAGAGACCATGATCTGAAGAACCTTAACTGTTCCCCTGTTATCCCTGGTTACTGTCAAGCAGCTAGCAGGCTAGGCTAGGTGGGGTATCTTCTTTAACTCTACTCCTGCATTAGCTGTTCTAAATCCTAGAACTCATGCCCTGTTTGAAATTTCTTTCCCTATGCCCAACTCAAGTGATGCCATCCTATTTTCTATTTTCCACCATGGGAAAAATGGAAAATAACAGGAGAAATGTATTAAGAAAGCATTCTTGAATTTGAGTTTGTTAACTTTTTTTTTTTTTTTAACAGTCTTGCTCTGTCACCCAGGCTGGAGTGCAGTGGTGCAAGCTTGGCTCACTGCAATCTCCACCTCCTGGGCTTAAGCAATTCTTGTGCCTCTGCCACCTGAGTAGTTGGGATTATAGGCATGCACCACCACGCCCAGCTAATTTTTGTAATTTTAGTAGAGATGGGGTTTCACCATGTTGGCCAGGCTGGTCTTGAACTCCTGACCTCAAGTGATCCTCCCACCTCGGCCTCCCAAAGTGCTGGGATTACAAGCATAAGCCACCACCCCCGGCCTGAATTTGTTAACTTCTTACCAACATTTTACAAAGAAGATTGAAGGTAATGTGGGTTCTAAGACTGAAGAGTACAAGGTAAGCTGGTGGTTAATGGGGAGGAGGGATGATGGATGAACTGGTCAGGGAAGAGGATGAAATGGCTCAAAATAGAGGTACAAATAGAATGGGCTGGGCTCCTCCAACCATTCCTTGTGATTTTATTTTTACTTTTTTTTTTTTTTTTTTGGTGGAGTTTCACTCTTGTTGCCCAGGCTGGAGTGCAATGGTGCGATCTCGGCTCACTGCAACTTCCACCTCCTGGATTCAAGTGAGTCTCCTGCCTCAGCCTTCTGAGTAGCTGGGAATGCAGATGCGATCTCGGCTCACTGCAACTTCCACCTGGGTTCAAGTGATTCTCCTGCCTCAGCCTTCTGAGTAGCTGGGAATGCAGGCGTGTGCCACCACACATGGCTAATTTTTTGTATTTTTAATAGAGATGGGGTTTTGTCATGTTGCCCAGGCTGGTCTTGAGCTCCTGACCTCAGATGATCCGCCCACCTCGGCCTCCCAAAGTGCTGGGATTACAGGTGTGAGCCACCGCGCCTGATCTATTTTTACTTTTTTAAAAGACAGGTCTCACTCTATTGCCCAGGCTGCTCTTGAACTCCCGGCCTCAACCAATTCTTCCTGCTCAGCCTCCTGAGTAGTTGGGACTACAGCACTCACAACTGTGCCTGACCCTTCTCTTAATTTTAACTCCTGAGTGATTTTCTTCTCTGGACCCCAAGGAGTCATGATATCTCTAAATTATATCCTGAAGTTATTTCAACTTTAGAAAATAAAGTTTTAGGCCTGGTTCAGTGGCTGACACCTGTAATCCCAATACTTTGGGAGGCTGAGGCAGGCAGATTGCTTGAGCCCAGGAGTTTGAAGCTAACATGGCAAAACCCCATCTCTATCAAAAAAAAAAAAAGAAGAAGAAGAAGAAGAAGAAAAGAAAAAAGGCTAGGCGCGGTGGCTCACACCTGTAATCCCAGCACTTTGGGAGGCTAAGGTGGGCAGATCACGAGGTCAGGAGTTCGAGAACAGCCTGACCAACATAGTGAAACCCTGTCTCTATTAAAAATACTAAAATTAGCCAGGTGTGGTGGTGGACACCTGTAATCCCAGCTACTCAGGAGGCTGAGGCAGGAGAATCACTTGAACCGGAGAGGCAGAGGTTGCAGTAAGCTGAGTTTGCGCCATTGCTCTCCGCCTGGGTGACAGAGTGAGACACCATCTCAAATAAAAAAGAAAAGAAAAAAAAGATCTTGGAATGCTTTTTTTCTGCCTGTGTATTGATATTATTCTTAAGGGGCTCATAAGAAAACTAAATATATATATTTACATATATATATATATATATATATATATATATAAAATCACCCAGGTTGGAGTGCAGCGGTGCAATCTCAGCTCACTGCAATATCTGCCTCCAGGGTTCAAGCAATTCTTTTGCCTCAGCCTCCCCAGTAGCTAGGATTTCAGGCATGCACCACCATGCCTGGCTAATTTTTGTATTTGAAGTAGAGACAGGGTTTCGCCATGTTGGCCAGGCTGGTTTTGAACTCTGGACCTCAAATGACCCTCCTGCCTAAAGTACTGGGATTACAGGGGTGAGCCACCATGCCTGGCCCAGAAAATATTATTGTTATTTAATATGACCTGCCATAACTACCATTAAAAGTAGTACAGGTGTGCAAAAGAAACTTATCTGGCTATGGCTGGGCGCGGTGCTCACGCCTGTAATCCCAGCACTTTGGGAGGCTGAGGCAGACTGATCATGAGGTCAGGAGATCAAGACCATCCTGGCTAACATGGTGAAACCCTGTCTCTACAAAATATACAAGAAAAAATTAACCGGGCATGGTGGCGGGTGCCAGCTACTCGGGAGGCTGAGGCAGGAGAATGGCGTGAACCTGGGAGGCGGAGCTTGCAGTGAGCAGAGATCGCGCCACTGCACTCCAGCCTGGGCAAGAGAGCAAGACTCCGTCTCAAAAAGAAAAGAAAAGAAAAGAAATCTTACCTGGTTGTAAGATTTTTTTCTCATTTAGTCAATAAATATTTATGGAATAGGGCAGTTTGGGATCACACACATGAGCTAAGCATGATGTCAGCCTTCATAGCTCCTACAATGTGGTATGGTGATTTTTTTTTCTTTTTGAGATGGGAGTCTCACTGTGTCAACCAGCCTCAAACAGTCCTTCCATCTCAGCCTCCCAAGTACCTGGGACTACAGGTGCATGCCACCATGCCCAGCTACTTTTTTGTATTTTTGATAGAAACAGGGTTTTGCCATGTTGGCCAGGCTGATCTCAAATTCCTTTCCTCAAGTGATCCGCCTGCCTTGGCCTCCAAGAGTGCTGGGATTACAGGCATGAGCCACTGCACCCAGCCAATGATTTTAAAACTGGAATACAGAAAGAGAAGAAGAAAGTCATGCTCCATCTTTATTATTTAAAAATCAGAACAGATACACATATTTGTTGTGAGCACTAATTAAAATATCCTTAAAGTTTCCTTACCTTGGAGTGGAATTATTTGCATATGTATACACATGATGCTGACTTTAGAAGAAAAGTTACAAGTTAAAACACGTTTGATTAATAAAAGAAAAAGAAATAAATTATACATAAATTTAGCTTTGTTGCTGAAAATCACCTCTCCAAACATAGAGTTCAGGTTGGGGCAAATAAAAAATTGCATAAAACAAAAAGGCTAAGAAATGGTACAAAAAACTCAGAGAACCACTACTTCACGTTTCCCAATAAAGCATCTTTTATATTTATAAAAGTTAAGCCTGCATATCTCTGCCCCCAATTGCAGCAGAAACACCTGAAAAAGAATGCCAGTCTGGTCTTGCTCTGACAATGGTTTTCTGACTGACCTTGAGCCTGTCACAACCCGTCTGGCCTCAATTTCATCAACTGTAAAATAAGAATAAAACTATTTGATATCTTTAACTCACATACTATTGTGAGAAATAAATACAATCATAGACAAATGTTTTCAGAATGTGAAAATGCTATAGGAACACACTTTTTCTCCAGTGGCTGGCATAAAAGTGTTGGTATGCTATACCACCAAGTCATTAGATATGAGTTAATTTCTGGATTACTGTTTCAGTAAGAATAAGCTCTACACAACTTCAGCAAGTGATGTTGGTATGTCATCCACAAAGTTCTATCACCCTATTCCATAGCATACCCCTGTTGAACTTCCCACATCCCTGTCTTCCCTTAGCTTCCTGTATCCAACCTCAGCGCAATAGCTCAGTTTGACCATTAGATGGTACCAGTTACAAGGCAAACTTAGGTCCCTTCAGAAACTGAGCATTTCTAAAAAGCAAATATTTTTTCAGGTTTGTTTGTAACTTAAACAACAAAAAAATCATTATTTTAAAGGCCATATGCTCACTGTGAAAATATATCAGGTGGTGTATGAAATAATAAGTAAATTATCTGCCGGGCGCGGTGGCTCACGCTTGTGATCCCAGCACTTTGGGAGGCCTAGGCGGGCAGGCAGATCACGAGGTCAGGAGTTGGAGACAAGCCTGGCCAACACAGTGAAACCCTGTCTCTACTAAAAATACAAAAATTAGGCCGGGCGCGGTGGCTCACGCCTGTAATCCCCGCACTTTGGGAGGCCGAGGCGAGCGGATCACGAGGTCAGGAGATCGAGATCATCCTGGCTAACACGACGAAACCCCGTCTACTTAAAAAAAAATACAAAAATTAGCCGAGGGTGGTGGCGGGCGCCTGAAATCCCAGCTACTCAGGAGGCTGAGGCAGGAGAATCGCTTGAACCTGGGAGGCGGAGGTTGCAGTGAGCTGAGATCACGCCACTGCACTCTAAGAGTGAAACCATGTCTCAAAAAAAAAAAAAAGTCAAAAATACTAATAAAAATACTAATCTCGTAGTTAACAGATTGCTGTGACCTAGAGCAAGTAAAGGTGTAATTATCAGCCTATAGGGGTTAGAGTGGCAAGAAGATGCCTGAGGGTGAGCCTACAGCCTAAAAGATAATAGAATACAAAGGCTGAAGACCTACAGGCAGGGATTCTTTGTCATTCATTCTTTCAGCAAACTTATTCTAATATGTATCCCTCACTATTCAATGCCCAGGAGGGCACAGGGAAAATAAGACGAAGTCCTGCCCTCACTGGCTAACATTCTAAGCACAGGTGCTGCACAAGAGGTGTTATGTTTTTTGGGGGAGCCAGACACAGGCCTAAGCACTTTATGTACCTTGTCTCATTTAATCCTCACATCAGCACCACGAGGTGACAGAATTATCATTTTGCAGTTAAATAAATTGATATTTCTTCATGGCCAGGTGCAGTGGCTCACGCCTGTAATCCCAGCACTTTGGGAGGCTGAGGCGGGTGGATCACCTGAAGTCGGAGTTCGAGACCAGCCTGACCAACATGGAGAAACCCCATCTCTACTAAAAATACAAAATTAGCCGGGCATAGTGGCGCATAGCCTGTAATCCCAGCTACTCGGAAGGCTGAGGCAGGAGAATCACTTGAATCCAGGAGGTGGAGGTTGCGGTGAGCCGAGATCGCGCCACTGCACTCCAGCCTGGGCAACAAGAGCAAAACTCCGTCTCAAAAAAAAAAAAAAAAAAAAGAGAGATTTCTTTAAGCTCTTTGCCTAGGGTCACAGGTCTTTCCACAGGACCGTAGACTAGAGTCAGATGTGTTCCTCAATCAATTAGGAAAGGGTGGTGCTGGAATTTGCATCTGAGTATTCCAAGCTTCTATATTCTCATATTCTGGAATGAGGATATTATGAGTCCTGAAACAACTCTAGAAATTCTAGGCTACATAATTATCCCTCCATAACGTGTTCTCTGCCAGAATAATAATGAAAAAAAAGTACTGTGGTGGCCAGACCCCAAGATGATTGGCGAAGTGAAAGTTGCCCAGTTCCAAAATGGCCACCACCGCACTTTCCTGGCGTCGGAGCGACTACGTAGTGACAGAAGGACCATCAGCAGGTGGGTGCTCACAGGGACTGTGCCAGTTGCCAAACTGGCCACCTGGGCCTTTCTTCTCCTGAGCAACAGCCAAGCAACATTATAGGCTTCAGGCCTACCTAGCCCAGGTTGGGTTAAAGCAGATAAACGAAGCGGACAGCGGAGGAAAAGCACGTAACCAAGTGCAGTGGGTCTGAAGCGAAAGGCAAGAAAAGCTCTGCCCTTAGGAACGGGGTGTCACTGCGCGGCTCGCAGGCACCTCTCTTTGACCTATTTATAATCTGCGCCTTATTCTCCGCCCCCAAAGGCTGCTGGCAACCAATTCTCGGTGGCGAAGTCGTGACGTCAGCTGTTGCGGGTCAGATTGGGAGAGCTTCCTGGTCCTTACCTAGCAAGATTCTGCCGCTAGGTGGCGAAAAGCGAAGGGGCCAAAGAAATGGAAAGAAGGCGAGGAAAAGCGGGAGAAGATGGGGAAGGAAAATGTATATTCTTGTATCATCCTACAGCTAGGCAAAAATATTAGGATAATGTGGCCTAACCTCCAGTTCTATGTTGGCTGGAAAATCCAGGAATGGGAAGCTCACTCCCGTAGTTCCCACTCATTCCCACCACGGTTGGACAGCTCTGAAGGAGGGAAAATTCTTTCTTTTGAGCTGAAATCTGCCTTCAGAGTCTTGCACCCAACTGTTCTACCCCACGGGGACCTACAGAACAGCCCAAAGCCTCTTACGCAGGACAACCCATAGCAGTTTGATTAAAATCAGCGCAAACCCATTCCCATTTGGGGAGGGGGGAGGGGGAGGGGCAAGCCTCAGTGCCTGACTCACTTGACTCACAAGAAGCTGAATGTTTTTCCTTTTGAAAGATAAAAATATTGGTGAATCTCAGACTAACAATAGGGAATACATAAAAATGGAAAAAATGTTGATAGATAAAATTTAAACCTTTGGTAGAACATAATTAGTTTTTTGTTCTCTACATTTTTCCATATCGTTTCTAATTTTTCTACACTGTATGTGTTACTTAAAGAAATAAACCAGTAGGCCAGGCGCGGTGGCTCACGCCTGTAATCCCAGAACTTTGGGAGGCCGAGGCGGGCGGATCACGAGGTCAGGAGATCGAGACCATCCTGGCTAATACGGTGAAACCCCGTCTCTACTAAAAAAATACAAAAAATTAGCCAGGCATGGTGACGCACCCCTGTAATCCCAGCTACTCAGGAGGCTGAGGCAGGAGAATGGCGTGAACCCGGGAGGCGGAGCTTGCAGTGAGCCGAGATCGTGTCACTGCACTCCAGACTGGGCGACAGAGCAAGACTCTGTCTCAAAAAAAAAAAAAAAAAGAAAAAGAAATAAACCAGTATGGCCGGGCGCGGTGGCTCATGCCTGCAATCCCAGCACTTTGGGAGGACGAGGCGGGTGGATCACGAGGTCAGGAAATCGAGCCCATCCTGACCAATATGGTGAAACCTCGTCTCTACTAAAATACAAAAAATTAGCCGGGCGTGGTGGCGGGTGCCTGTAGTCCCAGCTACAAAGGAGGGTGAGGCAGGAGAATCCCTTGAACCCGGGAGGTGGAGGTTGCAGTGAGCCAAGATCGTGCCATTGCACTCCAGCCTGGGCAACAAGAGCGAAACTCCGTCTCAAAAAAAAAAAAAGAAAGAAAAGAAAAAGAAATAAAGCAGTATGAAAGAGCAGCCCCTGGCTGCATTCACCACAGCACCCATGCTCACACATGCTACAGGCGCTCACTTGCTGGGAGCTGCCTCACATTGATTCGGATCAGTGTTCTCATTTCTCCGACCTACCTAGGAAGCATCTGGCTAAATTGATGTAAATTAGACATTTTATAGTCTATCGGTCATTGAGCCTCAGTGGAATATCTAGACCAATTTAAACACACAAATATTATGGGAAATAGGGCCACAAAAGTAGAAAAGAAAACGTGAATTCCTCTTTATATTTATGCCACTAGAGGGAGTTCCAGAAGAAAATCACTGCATGTAAGGGCTAATGACTGTATTTACTGAGTGGTTACTGTGTACCATTCACAGTTCACAGGGACTCATTCATGTCATTCTCATGATAACCCTGATGAAGTGGATGATATTATTCCCTCACTCACTAAGGAGAAAGCCAGGGTACAGTGAAGTATACAACTTTGTGCAGGGCAATTTATCAATATTTATTGAAATTACCAAAAAACATGCTCTCTGAACAAACTATTCTACCAGTGTAGAAAGCAGAGTAAACTTCATGGGTGAGTGACCAGGGCAGTCACACAAGGGCCCCATGCTTAGAAGGGATACTGTGTTTGGGTTCTAAAGCTCTGTGGTTCCTGTCTTGAAATTCTTAATAATTTTATCTTTCAATTTGTGTCTTATAATGAAGTCCGATGAGAAAGCAGAACATGGGCTAGAGACTTTTGGAGCCTGGCTCAAGCGAGGTCCTGCTCCCCATGCCTCCCAGCCTCCCCAGGACTGGTTTTCAGCTGCCGGCTCCACCACCTTCTGTGCAGGCTCGCTCCCAGCAGGGGCCTGGGAACAGTGGAAAGGAGGGGAGCGGTCAGGCATACACACCTCCCTTGCCAAATGGAAGGCATGGCCCTAGGCACTTGTGAAGATCTGCACTTCCCCCTAGGTACTCCTGTGCCTGGAGTGTGACATTAAATTAAAAAAAAAAAGGCCGGGCGCGGTGGCTCACGCCTGTAATCCCACCATTATGGGAGGCCAAGGCAGGCGGATCACGAGGTCAGGCGATCGAGACCATCCTGGCTAACACGGTGAAACCCCGTCTCCACTAAAAATACAAAAAAATTATCTGGGCATGGTGGCGAGCGCCTGTAGTCCCAGCTACTTGGGAGGCTGAGACAGGAGAATGGCTTGAACCCGGGAGGCGGAGGTTGCAGTGAACCGAGATTGCGCCACTGCACTCCAGCCTGGGCGACAGAGCGAGACTCCGTCTCAAAAAAAAAAAAAAAAAAGAAAAGAAAAAAACCCCACATAATAGGTTGACAGTGGAACCACAGAAAAAAGGAAAAGGTTGGGTTTTTTTTCTGCTTTTTATTTTCTATTTTATTATTTTTTAATAGATTTATTTAACTAGAGATGGGGTCTCACTATGTTGTAAAGGCTGGACTCGAGACCCTGGGCCCGAGCGATCCTCCAACCTGGTCCTCCCAAAGTGATGGGATTACAGGCGTGAGCCACTGCACCTGGTCTTTTCCTGCTATTAAACAAGGAGCTCCATAGTTTCATTTTGCCCCTCAAAATATGTAGCTGGCCTTAGTAGACTGATATTCATTGCCAAATTATATGTAAGAGCAAAAAGGTTGAAAATGATGGCCTGACATTGATCAATTTGTGCCTTTAGGTAACATATAACTGTAATATAACTGCAATACAACTAGAATATAACTCATAAAGGCAAGAATCTTGTCTGCCTTGCTGAAAGTTTTATAATCAGGGCCTAATATAAAGTATGACACATAGCACTTGCTTTTAAATATGTATTGATTTAAATTAATTGAGTACATTTTTGCTTCATCCTAGTAAAAATAGGTATTTAAAAAACTGAAACAGTCTAAATGTCTTGGGATGCTACTTAAATAACTATATTATATTCATCCAATAAAATATTGTAAGCTGTTTAAAAATAACAAGGATGTTCTTTAGGTACTGATAAGGAAAGAGCTTCAAGATAAATTGTTACCATTTATGTAAAACAGGTGGGAGAAGGGAGAGGGAGGGATGTGTGAGCGCTACTTGCAGTACTCACAGGCAGTGACTTTCGTGGAGCGCCCTCTAGTGGTATATATATACAAACGGAAGGATTTAGAGAAAATACAGATCGGCTTTAGCTGGCTGAGATTTATTTTCAAAGCATGTTACTTTATAAGAATCAATTTTTATTTAAAAAATTTTTTTGAGATAGGGTCTCACTCTGTCGCACAGGTTGGAGTGCAGCAGCACGATCAGTGCTCACTGCAGCCTCTCTCTCTTGGGCTCAACAGGTGCATGTCACCACGTCCAGCTAACAATCAATTTTCAAAAGTACAAAAAAGCCATATTATGTATTAATGTGGAATTATGAATTAAGTAGACAACAAGAATCAAAACAGGGTGTCTATTATCACTTCTGATAACATAAATAATGTAAAGATACATATTTTACAGATTATCTGTAAAAGCTTATACAGTACTGTTGCTGGGTATTTATGTAGGAAAGCTACCATTTATTGAATGCTTACTATTTCACATATGGACAGCATAGAGCATGTTAAAAAATTACCACACACATTTACTGTATTCAATGTGTCACTCTGAATATATTACTGTGTACATGGTCTGTCATTGGACATGGTGAGAGATGCAGATTAAGCTGAAATTACTGAGGACAGCAACACTGGAAGAAAATTGAGCTGGGTGTAGTGGCTCAGCCTGTAATTCCAACATTTCAGAAGGCTGAGGCAGGAGGATCACTTGAGTCCAGGAGTTTGAGACCAAGGGAAAGAAAAGAAAAGAAGCTTTCATTTAGCCAGGCATGCTGGCACATACCTGTAGTTTCAGCTACTCAGGAAGTTGAGGCATAAGGTTCACTTAAACTTGAGAGGTAAAGGCTGCAGTGAGCCCTGATCACGCCACTGCTCTCCAGCCTGTGACAGAGAGAGACCCTGTCTCAAAAACGAGAAAGAAAGAAAAAAAGAGGCAACTCAAGAACTCAGGAATACTTGCAGGATCTCATAACATATGCTATACAAAATCAATTAAAATAATATTTAAATGCTGAAAGAAATGAGCAGCTCCCAGGGTGATACAGGGTGGTTTCACTTCTTGGACACATCTACACTGAGCTCTATTCCTGGCAATACCTGATGTTCCCATACCCCAGATTTCTTTATTTTATTTTGAGACGGAGTTTTGCTCTTCTTGCCCAGGCTGGAGTGCAATGGCGGGATCTTGGCTCACCGCAATCTCCGCCTCCTGGGTTCAAGGGATTACCCTGCCTCAGCCTCCCGAGTAGCTGGGATTACAGGCGCACGCCACCATGCCCAGCTAATTTTTGTATTTTTAGTAGAGGCAGGGTTTCTCCATGTTGGTCAGGCTGGTCTTGAACTCCCAACCTCAGGTAATCTGCCCGCTTCGGCCTCCCAAAGTGCTGGGATTACAGGCGTGAGCGGGCCCAGCCCCTATACCCCAGATTTCTGCAAGTGGCAACACCACTGGCTTCATTTTGCTGGTGGCCCCTCTGGCCTTCCCTTGTATATATCACCTTTGCCCAAAGACCATGTCAGCCAAGGGACTGCTCTCACAGCTCCAGGAATCCTCCCCTTTCAGGAAATTTGAGGCAGTTGAGGGCATGAAAGTAAATAAGCTGAGCTCATCAGAGGCCTTGTATTGTGGTGGTTAAAAGAGCCAGTTCTAGGACTAGAAAGCCTGGCTTGAAATCCCAGCTCTGCCACTCCCTAGTGGTGTGACTTTAGCAAGTTCCTTTACCTCTTTTGTACCTCCCTTTTCTCACCTGTAAGATATGGGTGATAATAGTTTAATATTTGTTTTGTTGTTGTGAGGATTAAAGGTGTTAATGCAAGTAAACCACTTAGAACCACAGCACATAGAATATCTCAGTAAGGTGGTTAGTTTTTTTTATTGTTGTTTTCAGAGATGCTGTGATTTCTCCAAAGTGGCTGTGATGGCTCGGCAGGCTCCTGACCCTCTCTGCTCCCACATGCCTCCACCCTCATCCTGATCTCCCATCCAGCTTTTGACAGCTTGCTTGGTGCTGGACAATTGCACACATCTTACCACCCCCAAATCCTGCCCAGAAGCATCTTGTGCATAACTCTCCTACCTGAATATGCAACAGGGAGAAAGAGCGTCCCAGGACATTTTAGGTTTTTGAAGAAAAAAAAACCCCTTTGGTAAAAAGCCAGAGATCCACAGCGGCCACTTTTTCCATGGGATTGACCCCTGCAATCTTGACTTTCAACCACACAGCACCAGAGTAGCCAAACATTGCTTGTGTCCAAACGCTGGCTGCCTTGAAGGGTGAAAGAATAAGCAGTTCCCAAACTCAGCTGACCTTAATGTCCTTCTAGCTCCTTACGCCCATCTCGGACAAAAGCAGAAATGTATGTCTCAGTTGTGTTTCTACCCCTTGCTGCCCAATATAAATTTTTGTGTTGCCCAATATAATTTTTTGTGACGATGGAAATGTTCTGTATTTGTGTTGTCTGATGAGATAACCACTAACTGTAGTGCTATTGAGCATTTGAAACATGGCTAGTGTAATCAATGAACCAAATTTTTAATTTTATTTAATTGTAATTAATTTTAAGTGGCCACATGCAGGGAGTGACTGCTGCATTGGACAGCACGGCTCTAAATTGAGCCTTTTTTCCTTATTTGGTGAGGCATACTTGCCTTAAGATTGGGAAGTCTATTTTTGGAACCTGCTACCAATGCTGGTCTCACACTTGCAATTCTCAGCTGAGCCAAGAGGTGAGAGAAAGGTCATTTTCCATTCCAGATCTCACTCTCCCCTGTGACACTGAGGAAACTGGCAAGTGATGTGAAGGCTGGAGAGCGTGTCCTGTATGCTGGCTCTGTCCCTTCTGCCTGTGTTGACTGACATAGTTAGTTGCTGCCCTTGCTGGTCTCCCTTCCTCCAACCTTGCCTCTCTGAGCACACCTGACATTCATCTCATGACTTCCCTAAAAACATTCTTTGGGAACAAGAAACTAACAAATCCCAAGTGACCTATCACATATACAAACATACAGGGCAGAGTTTGGATTCGCGGTAGAAGAAAGGGAGGTTAGACATTAAGAAGAATGGTCTGGTGATGACAGTTGTGAGATAATAGAAACAGGAAAAAGAAATCTAAGTTTTCTTTCTTTTTTTAAGAACCAATAATAATTTCTCTCTTTTGACTAGTCAGTAGGGCTGGGGTGGATTGGAGGAAGCTTACATATTCCATGAACAAGCCTCTTCCTAAGGTCCTGTAAGTGATCCTGCCCCACTGATTAGCCCCTAGAAGACCCTTCAAAGGTTGGATCTCCAGGAGGGAGTGGGGGAGGAAAGCCCTGTACCAGGCAGCCTCTGCTCCATTGCTCTGGGGGGGTGGGGAAGGCAAACCCTGGTCATCCCCTCAGTCTGTAGCCCTTTTGTGTGAGTGCCTGGCAAGGGTGACGTGGGGCTGTTTCTGCGGGCACAGCTGCAGCAATTACCGGAGTGGAGGCAGGGCCCAGGCAGCACTGCCCTCCAAGATCTTCCCTTGGGCTTTTCAGCAGTAAGGGGACATGCACCCCAAGGGCCTCCACTTGGCCTGACCTTGCTGCGGGGGCTCTCTGTCCCCAGGAACAGTAGAGATGGCAAGCTTATCGAGACCCTCTCTGCCCAGCTGCCTCTGCTCCTTCCTCCTCCTCCTCCTCCTCCAAGTGTCTTCCAGCTATGCAGGTAAGACATGTTTTTTTTCCTGCCCTGGGGAGACCCTGAAAACAGAAAGGCTAGTTTCCTGGGGCTTAGCTCCTTCAAACATCCTCAAGTTGCTATATTATCTTTCTAAAACATAGACCTACTGACATGCCTCCCTTCCTCAGAAACCTTCCGTGGGTGGTTCTTACAGCCTTCAAGATGGAGTCCAGACTCTTTTTTTTTTTTGAGACAGAGTCTCCCTCTGTTGCTCAGGCTGGAGTGCAGTGGCATGATCTCGGCTCACTGCAACCTCAGCCTCCCTGGTTCAAGCGATTCTCCTGACTTGGCCTCCCAAGTAGCGGAGACTACAGGCGCCTGCCACCACACCCAGCTAAATTTTTTCTTTTCTTTTTTTTTTTTTTTTTTTTGTATTTTAGTACAGACGGGGTTTCACATGTTGGCCAGGATGGTCTCGATCTCTTGACCTGCTGATCCGCCCGCCTCGGCTTCCCAAAGTACTGGGATTATGGGCGTGAGCCACTGCACTAGGCCTAATTTTTTTATTTTTAGTAGAGATGGGGTTTCACCATGTTGGCCAGGCTGGTCTGGAACCCCTGACCTCAAGTGGTCTGCCCTCCTCAGCCTCCCAAAGTGCTGAGATTACAGGCATGAGCCATTGCGTCTGACCCAGACTCCTTAATGTGACTAACTCAAGGCTTTCCTTGAACTACTTCTTACTTGTCTTTCCAGCTTTGTCTTTTCACCTCTCAAATTGAGATAAAATAATAACAACCTCTTGGAGTTCTCATCAGGATTACATGAAATGAGATATGTAACATGCTTAGCAGTGCCTGTCCATAGTAAATCTCAATAAATGTTTGTGGAATTATAATATCTTGTCATGTTTGAGACTTTGCTCTGCATAATCAGGCACCAGTAGGTTTTTATAAAGGAACCCGGCTGTCACGTGCAGAGGAGAAATAAACAGAAAGTTTCCCATCCTCAGGGAGCCACCTGACTGACAGAGGCACAGTGCATCCACTCTCCAGGTCTAGGGGAGAAAGCAGCCTTATTTCTTAGTAGCTCAGAATCTGACTTGAGAAACACATCCACATAGAAAAAAACAAGGAACTTTTTCGGGTCAGGGTCCGGGAGCCACAGTGAGGTGGAAGATACAGGGGAAGGAAGAGGGAAATAGAGCCATCCCCAGGGTGGAAGATCTCAGAAGAGAATTTGGGAAACAAGGTATGAACAAGGACTGAATAGTGAGAAGTGATGGAGAGACAGTTAAAGTAGATGGAGTGACAAAAGCAAAACCTCTAAGGGTAGAATAGGCAGCAATTTGGCCAAGTCCTAACAGGGAGGCCCATAGGAGGATTCAACCTCAAGATGCTGTGCCACATTCCAAGAGGGAACCTAAAGGCTGGGCTGAAGAGTCAGAGATGGCTACAGCTGGCAAAAAGATGGGCAGATGCTGAGAGGAGATGATTGCTAAAATGTTCTGTC
The DNA here is from genome assembly GCF_000001405.40 of Homo sapiens. Taxonomy (NCBI): domain Eukaryota; kingdom Metazoa; phylum Chordata; class Mammalia; order Primates; family Hominidae; genus Homo; species Homo sapiens. The sequence continues at coordinate 924,262 of NT_167248.2, forward strand.
CAGGACATTCACAGTATCTCTATAACCAGAGTCTTTTTTGTCGTTGTTGTTCTCAAGAAGGAAACTTGAGGCCGGGTGTGGTGGTTTATGCCCATAATCCCAGCGCTTTGGGGCCAAGGCAGGCGGATCACCTGAGGTCAGGAGTTCGAGACCAGCCTGGCCAACAGTGTGAAACCTCATCTTTACTAAAAATACAAAAATTAGCTGGATGCGGCGGTAGGTGCCTGTAATGCCAGCTACTCGGGAGGCTGAGGCAGGAGAATCACTTGAACCTGGGAGGCGGAGGTTGCAGGGAGGCGGAGGTTGCAGTGAGCCAAGATTGCACCACTGCACTCCAGCCTGGGCGACAGAGAGTAAGACTGTCTCAAAAAATAAATGAATAAATAAAAAGGAAGAAGAAGAAGAAGAACAATTGCAATCCTCCCTGGCTCTAGAATGTCATTTAAAAGTCGAGTGTCTTCTTCCTTCCCTGTTTTGAAGCAGCCCTTCTCATGACAGGCTTGCTTGCCAAGGTTCCCTCTGACCTTAAATCTCTTCCTTTTGGTGTCTTGGACAGGGCAGTTCAGAGTGATAGGACCAAGACACCCTATCCGGGCTCTGGTCGGGGATGAAGTGGAATTGCCATGTCGCATATCTCCTGGGAAGAACGCTACAGGCATGGAGGTGGGGTGGTACCGCCCCCCCTTCTCTAGGGTGGTTCATCTCTACAGAAATGGCAAGGACCAAGATGGAGACCAGGCACCTGAATATCGGGGCCGGACAGAGCTGCTGAAAGATGCTATTGGTGAGGGAAAGGTGACTCTCAGGATCCGGAATGTAAGGTTCTCAGATGAAGGAGGTTTCACCTGCTTCTTCCGAGATCATTCTTACCAAGAGGAGGCAGCAATGGAATTGAAAGTAGAAGGTGAGTAGTGCCATATAATATTAGGTATTAACTGTTGGGTGGCCAAGAACAATTATTCTCTCAACTGAGATGAGATCCCTCAACCCAAACATCTCAGTCCTGGGAATGATTTCCATAAAAATGTACACATCAATAAACAGAAACTCATGCTTAGGGATGTCTGTTGCATCATTATTCAGAGTAGCAAGGAAATTGGGATCAAAATCAATGCCTTTGAGTAGGTAAGTGACAGAATGAACAATGGTAGCCATACTGTGAATATTATGCAGGCATTAAAAAGATTATTTTAGCACTAGGCCAGATGGTTTGGAGGCCTTCTATAAGGTATTATTGAGTGATAAGAGCAAGCTGCTGTAGGATACAAAAACAAAAACAAAACCCTAGGGCATGGTGGTTTGCCTCGCAGCTACTCAGGAGGCTGAGACGGGAGGCTGGCTTGAGCCCAGGGGTTTGCAGTTACAGTGAGCTATGATTGCACCACTGCACTCCAACCCGGGTGACAGAGCAAAGACCTTCACCCCCACTCCCTACCCGTCTCTAAAAAAAACAAAAACAAAAACAAAAAAACCCTTGGGCCCAGCGCCGTGGCTCACGCCTGTAATCCCAGCACTGTGGGAGGCCGAGGTGGGCAGATCACAAGGTCAGGAGATCGAGACCATCCTGGCTAAAACGGTGAAACCCCGTCTCTACTAAAAATACAAAAAAAAAAAAAAAATTAGCCAGGCATGGTAGCAGGCGCCTGTAGTCCCAGCTACTCGGGAGGCTGAGGCAGGAGAATGGCGTGAACCCGGAAGCGGAGGTTGCAGTGAGCCAAAATCCTTCCACTGCACTCCAGCATGGGGGACACAGCGAGACTCCGTCTCAAAAAAAAAAAAAAAACCCTGTATTTGTGAGCGCACACACACACACACACACACACACCTGTGCTTGGTCCTAGTGAATAAGCAAGTAAATCAAATGTCTAAATATAATTATAGAAAGGAGATGTCACCTTTTGGCTGTACCTCCACTATTTCATTCTGCAGAATTGCAGAATTTCTTTTTTTTTTCCTTTCTTTCTTTTCTTTTTTTTTTTGACACAGAGTCTCGCTCTGTCACCCAGGCTGGAGTGCAATGGCGCCCTCCGCCTCCTGGGTTCAAGTGATTCTCCTGCCTCAGCCTCCCGAGTAGCTGGGATTACAGGTGCCCACCACCACACCCAGCTAATTTTTGTATTTTTAGTAGAGACAGGGTTTCACCAGGTTGTCAAGGTTGGTCTCAAACTCCTGACCTCAGGTGATCCACTCGCCTCAGCCTCCCAAAGTGCTGGGATTACAGGCATGAGCCATGGTGCCCGGCCTCAGAATTTCATTTTCAACATGTTTTGCATGATGGGTGATTTTGGAGAATATTTTTTGCTCTATCGCAGGATGATTAAGATGTGGACAAGGTGAAGCGGATGGAGGGGGAGCTTTGAAAGTTACTTGCTATTTAATTGAGGAACTAAACTGCTTTGAGAGCCTGGGGGTCAGATCCTCTGCCTTTTCCTCCTCCCCACCTGCAGTGCAAACATCAGACAATTGATCACTATTGTATCTTGGAGGTGGGAGTGACCATTGCAGTGCTGGGACCAGAAGATGGCATTGTATGTGGAACAACAAAGCACTATTTCTAGAGACTGCCTGCAGGGATATGGAAATAGCTTTATGTGTCTCAGAATGTTCTTCATACAGCTGTTTTTATTGGGGAAATTCTACTTGCCGAAAAGTTTGATAGTGAGACCCTCTCCAGTTTGCAGATTTTTCTCCTTCCTGCTCAACAACTTCCTAGCTCAGTAACTGCCTCTCCCAACAAACTCCCTCAGTTTCACCACACCAAAAAAGGAAGACAAGCCGGTTGCGGTGGCTCACACCTATAATCCCAAAACTTTGGGAGGCCGAGGCGGGTGGATCACCTGAGGTCGGGAGTTCGAGACTAGCCTGACCAACATGGAGAAACCCTGTCTCTACTAAAAACACAAAATTAGCCTGGCGTGGTGGCGCATTCCTGTAATCCCAGCTGGGAGGCTGAGGCAGGAGAATCGCTTGAACCCCGGAGGCGGAGGTTGCAGTGAGCCAAGATCGTGCCATTACACTCCAGTCTGGGCAAGAAAAGTGGAACTCCATCTCAAAAAAAAAAAAAAAAAAAAAACAAGGAAGACAAAAAGAAAAGCAGCTAAAGACTTTGCCTCAGGGGAGAAAGTTCTCTTTTGGGTTGCTATCCACATTCCAACCTCCTGTTCCCACCTCTTCGTCTGCATGCCTAAGAAACTGTTTTACAAGTAAATAAGGGACGCTTTGTCTAGGCTTTGGAGCCAGGAAGTTGAGACAAATTTAGGAATGAGATGAAGTAATGGTATTATTGCAAGTCTCAGGTGTAACTACCTCTGCTCTTTCTCTGAAGAGTTTCTAATTTCTCTTGTTTACTTATTTTTTTCTTGTCATTTTTGTGATTTTATTACTAGTTGTCTCTAATCCTTTCTTTAAATTCTTCATTATGAAACATAAAAACAAATGCCAGGCGCGGCAGCTCACGCCTGTAATCCCAGCACTTTGGGAGGCCGAAGCGGGCAGATCACCCGAGGTCAGGAGTTCGAGACCAGCCTGATCAACATGGAGAAACCCCGTCTCTACTAAAAAATACAAAATTAGCTAGGCGTGGTGGCACATGCCAGTAATCCCAGCTACTTGAGAGACTGAGGCAGGAGAATCGCTTGAACCGGGAGGCAGAGGTTGCGGTGAGCCAAGATCGCGCCATTGCACTCCAGCCTGGGCAACAAGAGCAAAACTCTGTCTCAAAAAAAAAAAAACCACATACAAACCAGAGATAATATTATAATGAGCCTCCAAGTGCCTACCACCTTGCTGCAGCACTTGTCAATCCAGGGACCACCCACCTCACCGGCTCCCCACTCATTACCACCCTCCCCTACTCAATTACTGAGGTAAATCCTAGGCAGCATGATCATTTCTTTTTTTTCTTTTTATTTATTTTGAGACAGGATCTGTCTCTGTCACCCAGGCTGGAGTGTAGTGGCATATCTCTGCTCACTGCAGCCTCTGCCTCCCGGGCAGAAGCCATCCTCCCACCTCAGCCTACATAGTAGCTGGGACCACAGGCACACACCACCACACACTGCTAATGTTTTGTATTTTTTGTAGAGACTGGGTTTTACCATGTTGATCAGGCTGGTCTCAAACTCCTAGGCTCAAGCAATCCTCCCACCTCGGCCTCCCAAAGTGCTAGAATTACAGGCGCGAGCCACTGCACCCAGCGAAGAACACTTTTTAAAAAATAAATAGGCCGGGCGCGGTGGCTCACACCTGTAATCCCAGTACTTTGGGAGCCCAAGGAGGGCGAATCATGAGGTCAAGAGATTGAGACCATCCTAGCTAACATGGTGAAACCCCATTTCTACTACAAATACAAAAACAAAATTAGCCTGGCGTGGTGGCAGGCGCCTGTAGTCCCAGCTACTTGGGAGCTGAGGCAGGAGAATGGAGTGAACCCGGGAGGCGGAGCTTGCAGTGAGCTGAGATCATGCCACTGCACTCCAGCCTGGGGCAACAGAGTGAGACTCAAAAAAAAAAAAAAAAAAGCCCCCCCTCCCCACACACAATAATATAAATAAATAAATAACCACAATACTATTATCACATCTTACAAACTCAACAAAAATTTCTTAATATCATCAAATACCCAGTTTGTGTTCAAATTTTCCTGATTGTTTCATAAATATACTCTTACAGTTGGTTTCTTTTAGCGAGATTCAAATGAGACCCACCTGTTGACCTTTGCCCTTAGGGTTTCCCAGGGTCTGAATTTTGTTGACGACATTCCCATGTTGCTATGTAATACGGTCCTCCATGCCCTGTGTTTTTCTGTAAACTGATAGATGTGGAGGTGCAATGACATTTGTGTTTGATTTACTTTGGCAAATATAGTTCATCAGTGATACTCTATACTTCTTGTTGCTTTACATCCGGAGGCTGATAATGTCTGCTTTTCTCTCTTTTCTAATTATTTGTGAAAGGAAAAATGTGGGGGGTTGGGAGAAAAAAACCCTTAAGTACATACTCGCTAAATCACATTGCTACAGGTAACTTCCATTAAGAACTTGAAAGTAAAGGTAGCTGCATTTTCCCCTAGGGAACACAATGATAGACAGGAGCCTTAGTCTACAGCTTGAAGGATTGTAATTATACCTAAGCAACCCTCCTGGACCAGTTTAATGTTATTAGCTGTGATGTATCCCTACCTTTGATGTCATTATCCTTACTTAGCTCCCTTAAAGCAGAGATCAAGATGAAAAGGGCTTCAGCTGCAGCATGGCACATGGAGATTAGAGTGGGGCTTTTGGATGCTGAGGAGCAGACCTAGAATGGGAAATAGATGGGAGCCACAGAAGTGAAGGTCCCCCTCCCTCATTGCTCAACCTACTCCACATCTCCAGGTCTGCACATCTGTTCAGTTACTGAATCCTGTGTAAGCTACCTTCTTTTTCTTTTTTCTTTTATTTATTTATTTATTTTTTTTTTGAGATGGAGTTTTGCTCTTGTTACCCAGGCTGGAGTGCAATGGTGCAATCTCGGCTCACTGCACCCTCCAACTCCCAGGTTCATGCAATTCTCCTCCCTCAGCCTTCCAAGTAGCTGGGATTACAGGCTGCACCACCATGTCTGGCTAATTTTTGTATTATCAGTAGAGAGAGGGTTTCACCATGTTGGCCAAGCCGGTCTCGAACTCCTGACCTCAAGTGATCCACCCACCTTGGCCTCCCAAAATGCTGGGATTACAGGTGTGAGCCACCATGCCCGCTGTAAACTACCTTCTTAAAAGCTCTAGAAGAGGGCTCTTAACCTTTTGTTGTGTGTCATGCACCTTCCGCAAGCTGATGAAGTTGATAGACCCATCTCAGAATTTTTTTTTTTTTTTGAGACAGTGTCTCACTCTGTCACCCAGGATTGGTTGCAGTGGCACGATCATGGCTCATTGCAGCCTCCACCTCCCAGGCTCAAGTGATCCTCCTGACTCAGCCTCTTGAATAGCTGAGACCACAGGCTTGTGTCACCATGCCCAGGTAATTTTTAATTTTTTTTCGTAGAGGCAGGGTCTCACATTATGTTGCCCAGTCTGGCCTCGAGAACTCCTGGGCTCAAGCAATCTTCCTGCCTTGGCCTCCCAAAGTGGTGGGATTACAGGGGAGAGCCACCACACCTAGCCAGAAGAATGTTTTAAATACACCAAATAAAACATTTATACCAAAATACAGTTATCAAAATATTAAATTAACAAGAGTTAGGGTGACCCTATTAATTAGTGTAATTTCAAAATAGTAATGAACATAAGTGATAGTTTGAGATTTCTGTGACTTTTCTAATGTGACGTGAAAATATTTGTGATTTTTCTTTTTCTTTTTTTTTTTTGAGATGGAGTTTCGCTCTTGTTGCCCAGGCTGGAGTGCAATGGCAAGATCTCGGCTCACCTCAACCTCCGCCTCCTGGGTTCAAGCGATTCTCCTGCCTCAGCCTCTTGAGTAGCTGGGATTACAGGAATGTGCCACCACGTCCAGCTAATTTTGTATTTTTAGTAGAAACAGGGTTTCTCCATGTTGGTCAGGCTGGTCTTGAACTCCCAACCTCAGGCGATCCGCCCGCCTCGGCCTCCCAAAGTGCTGGGATTACAGGTGTGAGCCACCGCACCTGGCCAATATTTGTGATTTTTATTGACGACAAAGTCAAAGGTTCTCTTCATATTATTGTGGTGTATCGCCTACAAGCATAATTAAAATAAACACTAAATTTCAGTTTAAAGTTTACTGAAAATAAATATGTATTTTTTATTCCCTATTTAAGCTTTGAATCCCCTGACTTCCTATACCATTACCACTGTCCTAGTTCAGGTTCATGTTGTTTTTTACTTTAATTGTTATCACAGTCTCTTAACATTTCTCCCTATGTTCTCCAGTCCTGTAGGTGCTAAATCTGACGTGGTCACTTCTCAGCTTGGAATCCTTCAGTGCACCACCACAGCCTTGAACTACATATTTGAAATACATATTTATTTTCAGTAAACTTTAAACTGAAATTTAGTGTTTATTTTAATTATGCTTGTAGGCGATACACCACAATAATATGAAGAGAACCTTTGACTTTGTCGTCAATAAAAAGTCCCTTGAGGGACTTCAGATGTAAGTCCCTTAGCTGCTCGTTAAAACTCCCCCAGCCTGACCCAATACACAATCTTGACTTTAAACCACTTGTCATTCTAAATCACTAGCATTTCCTGGAAAAAAAAGCCATTTTTCCTTCAGGGCTAAGCTCAGGGACCAATTCTGTGTCACCTTCTTTGAATCCTGATGATATTCACTTCTTTATTTGACCTGATTTATTGGGCCCCAGACACCATGCTGAGTGTTGGGGATTCAGCTCTGGACAATGTCAAATGTCAGTCCTGCCTTTCAGATCCTTTCTACTGGGTGAGCCCTGGAGTGCTGGTTCTCCTCGCGGTGCTGCCTGTGCTCCTCCTGCAGATCACTGTTGGCCTCGTCTTCCTCTGCCTGCAGTACAGACTGAGAGGTACAGGGCAGAGGGTGGGTGGATCAGGATCCTTTCTTTAAATGAGCTGGCTTCTTGGAGCTACACCACTTAACATGTATTTGTGAGTGACTTCTGGGTTCAGAAGTTCTTCTCACTATTGAGTGATAAAGAAAAAAAATAACTCCATGATGAAAGAGTTTTACATCTTACGGAATGCTTTCATATGAATAATCGGACCTAGCATTTCCCTATGAGCTAACTATGCCATATAGTAACCCCATTTTACAGAGGATACAACTGAGGCCAGGAGTAGTTCAGTGACTTACTCAAACCGATATAACTTATAAGTGGTAGAGCTGAGGCCTCTGTATCATACCTAGCAGCTCCATGCAACTTGGGAGAGTGTGAGCTTCGAAGTCAGACAGGTCTAGGCTATTAGGAGTTTTGAATAAAGATACTGAAGTGAAAGTCTCTACCACACAGTAGGCGTTCGAAAATTGTTTCCTCTTTCTCCATTCAACACTGAGGACTCAGGTTCAGCTGCTGATGAAGCTCCTCTTTTTTGCCTAGAGCTTTCATTCTGAGCCTTCTCCTCCTACCAAGTGTCTCCCCAATGCCAGAGCAGGAAGAGTCTTCACTCCTCCCCATGCCCCACCTCCCATTTGTTACTAAGAGGAGAGGAGAAAGTAGCAAGGAGGGTATGGGGAATGTTCTGGGGGAATGGGTGTTGGTGCGATCAACAACAAAGTCCTTTCTCTCACCTTGAATTCATCCCAGATGCCTGCTTGTTTACTTCTTCCACACAAAAAAAGGCCTTCAGCCCTCATGGCTGAGCAGAAAGAATCTGAATGTTAGAGTCAGGCAGCCTGGGTTTGAATTCCATCTCAGGTACTGAACTCTATAGCAAAATTCTTAGATTCTCCAAGCTTCAGTTGCCTTGTCTGTCAAATAGAGAAAACATCCTTCGTCCTAAATTGTAGGGAGGATTAAAGTCATGCAAAGTGCCTACTACAAATCCAGTCACAAAGTAGCTAGCTACTCACTAAATGTTCAGCTCCTCCCTCCTCATTCAGATGGGAAGTGGCTTTAGATAAACAAAAGTGGCAACGCAGTGGGCTGGAGCAGCTCTGTGAACTGAGAATCCAAGAAAAGGGGCGAAGAGCAGCTGGGATGTATTGGATGCTTGTGCTGGCTTGGAGCATTGCTCACATTCTTTATTCGCTATTGTATCTAGACTATAGCTAGAGAAAGAGCCGCAACCATTGGCTTTAAATCCAGTGCTCTTCCTACTCTCCTGAGGTTGTTTCCAGGCTGCAGAGAAATAGCCTGCACAAGGGGCCCAGGCGCTGGGTGTGGGAGGGTCCCCACCGAGAGCCAGAACATGCAGGAACTAAAATGTTGCCTTTTTCTATTTTAGGAAAACTTCGAGCAGAGATAGGTGAGTTCCAGTCATCGTTTCTCCCAATTCTTGCCTTTTGGTTTTTTGGCATAACGGAAATGGTCCCGTTCTTGGACCGTCTCTCCCTCTCAATACCCTGTTTTCCCCTCAGTTTCCCTTTCTCTACAGTGGGTGTGTCGTGCCTAGAACAAGTTTTAAGTAATTAAATAACAAAGACTCAGGATAAAAGATCCTTTTTGAGTGCCCTACTAAATCCATTTCCATTTGTTTCTCTTTCAGAGAATCTCCACCGGACTTTTGGTAAGTTCCGGCATGTCTAGGCCCTCCCAGGTCAACTTGGTATTTCACTCTAGTTCCAGTCACCTGGGGGAACAAGGACCCCTGGCTCCTGGTTGAGTCCCTTCCTCTCTTCTCTTTTCTTTCTTTAAATAAGAAGTCATTTGCATTTAGGATTGGTAAAATCATAATAAAAATACTCATGTACTGTTTTTATGTGCCAGGCACTATTCTAACTACTTTACAAAAACGTTATCTTATTCTGTTTAACTCCTTATGCACATGATCTCTCTTTTCAGGAATGGCAAAACAGAGGTAAATAGATCGTTTACACGTAAACCTGATGTCTGGTTGGGGAGGTGAAACAAACAGAAACAAGACACAACTGTATCACCTGTACTTATATTTCTGCTTTACAAACTCAGGATGTTTCCATGAGTACAGAACATGACTAATCAGAGAAGACCTCATAGAGGAATAGAAAAGCCACCAAGCCCCACTAGGAATTGACCCCTCAAGGACATGGTTTCTAGCCTTTTTGTTCACTGCAGATTGCCCAATGCCTAAAGATAATGGCAACAGAAGAGCACCCAAATATTTGTTAGATAAATGTTGCAGACACTAGAAGGTGTCATTAGGGCACAGATGGTACCTTCTCTGAGCAAACTTCCTTCACAGCTCCTCCTCCCGAGGCTGTAGGTGACTCTACTCTTGTCACCTGGCACACAGAGGTCTATCGTACGATTTAGGAAATTAGACCAGTGTGTGGACCACACACACACACATCTTTACACACCCAAAGAGGAGGAATAGTATCTTTGTTTTGGAGGACTTGACTATGAAAGGTCTTAACTCCTTTTTGTACCATGAATCTCTCTGGCACTCCAGTGAAGTCTAAAGGACCCCTTTGCAGAATGTTTTTAAATATACACATAAAATAGAACACATAGGATTGCAAAAACAATCATTGTACTAAAATACAGTTATCAACCGATAATCACATTTGTGATATAGTAACATAAATGTTTCTTTTTTTTTTTTTTTGAGGCAGAGTTTTGCTCTTGTCACCCAGGCTGGAGTGCAATGGCGCGATCTAGGCTCACTGAAACCTCTGCCTCCCGGGTTCAAGCGATTCTCAGCCTCCCGAGTAGCTGGGATTACAGGTGCCCGCCACCACACCCAGCTAATTTTTGTATTTTTAGTAGAGACTAGGTTTCACCAGGTTGGCCAGGCTGGCCTCGAACTCCTGACCTCAGGTGATCCACCTGCCTTGGCCTCCCAAAGTGCTGGGATTACGGGCATGAGCCACCGTGCCCGGCCATAAATATTTCTTTAGCCAAAGTAATACATTAAGTAATGTAGCAGCAAGTCTAATAACCTGTAATTTCTTTCTTTCTTTCTTTCTTTCTTTTTTTTTGAGATGAAGTTTTTTTGAGATGGAGTGCAATGGCACAATCTCGGCTCACTGCAACCTCCACCTCCTGGGTTCAAGCGATTCTCCTGCCTCAGCCTCCCAAGTTGCTGGAACTACAGGCGCATGCCACCATGCCCAGCTAATTTTTGTATTTTTAGTAGAGACGGGGTTTCACCATGTTGGCCAGGCTGGTCTTGAACCCCTGACCTCAGGTGATCTGCCTGCCTTGGCCTTCCAAAGTGCTGGGATTACAGGCATGAGCCACCAGGCCCAGCCCAATAACCTTTAATTTCAACATACTAATAAACATAAACAGTATTTCAAGATTTCTGCAATAACTCTAATGGGAATGAAAACATCTGTGGCTTCCATTGGTAATTAAGTCACAGGTACTGCTCATATTGTGGTTAGTTGTAAAATGTTTTGGTTTGTTTTGTTTTTTCCAAGACTTGGGGGAATGGGTGTTGGTGGGATCAACAAGAGTCTTGCTCTGTGGCCCAGGCTGGAGTGCAGGGGCAGGATCTTGGCTCACTGCAACCTCCGCCTCCCAGGTTCAAGCGATTCTCCTGCCTCAGCCTCCTGAGTAGCTGGCATTACAGGCATGTGCCACCACGCCCAGCTAATTTTTACATTTTTAGTAGAGATGGGGTTTCACCATGTTGGCCTGGCTGGTCTTGAACTCTTGGCCTCATGATCCACCCGTCTCGGACTCCCAGAGTGTTGGGATTACAGGCATGAGCCACCACACCTGGCAGTTGTTACATTTTTAATGAAAGAAAATGTTAAATCCAGTTATTGAAAATAAGGAGGCAGTACTTTTCTCATCCAAGTTCATGGACTTTCTGAATTTTGTCCCCAGAGTCCTTTGGTGTTCTAGGACCCCAGGTTAAGGAACCAAAAAAGACAGGTGGGTGGGGCATGAGGGGGAACACATGTTAACCCTGTTTGTTCTGGTGAACAATTCAGATCCCCACTTTCTGAGGGTGCCCTGCTGGAAGATAACCCTGTTTGTAATTGTGCCGGTTCTTGGACCCTTGGTTGCCTTGATCATCTGCTACAACTGGCTACATCGAAGACTAGCAGGTGCAGTGGCTGGGCAGCAGGCAAGACCACCAAATAGTGGGGGACCAAGTCAGCTCTGAATGGGAAGCCAAAAGAGAATAGAACCAGGACTCAAGATTAGGGGAGCTGGGATTTCCTTATTCCTCTGTCCCCATGCCCAACCCCAGGCTCTTCTGAGAAACTGTGAAGAGAACCACTTACTGGATCTGTGGGATCCCCCAGTGGAAAGGGCAGTGTGGGTCACTCCAAATGTCCATAGGGAGGATGTGGGGAAGGTGCTGTTCATCTTCCACTAATCACATATTTGTTTCTTTTTGTTTTCAGGGCAATTCCTTGAAGAGCTACGTAAGTTCTCTTCTCTCTGTTATAAGCAGAGAATAAAAAGCCAGGAAAGGGAGACAGAAGCAACAAGAGGAAGAGGCGGGCTATTGAGGGATCACATTCCCAGAGGAAAGGAGGAGCTGGAGAGCCTGGGTGGAGGGAAGACTCCTCCTGGGAGGTAGAGGGCAAAGAAGCCAGCTGTTAGAGACACATTTACAGGTGGCAGAGAAGCTGGAGGCACTCCTATCTGCCACCTGATCCATTCCTCCTTCACTGCCCCTAAGCAGGAATCCAACCCTAGCTGGTCTCATTGCCCATTCCACAGCAACTGCCCAGTGCCTCACCTCTCAGATCAACCATTGAGGCAGGAATGGAGACAAGATGACCCCAAGGGCTTTTCTTCTCCCTAGTTCAATGGTTTTATGATACAAACTACTGACATACGTTTTTCAAGTTATTTTCTCCTTCTTCTAGGAAATCCCTTCTGAGTGATGTCACATCTTGGCAGGGGTGGAGGAGAGCCTGGTTGCCCAGGGATTTGTCCTTGGGGACATCTCATCCATCAAGTTGCACACTCACTGGCATCTTTGCTATGGGGACATTCCAATTTGCACTTTCAGGAACACTCTGAATTCCAAGTAGAATTGATTTCCCTTCTTCTGTCATCTACCTTTTCTCTTCATTTTCCCATTTTTATTACCCTTCTTTCCATTTCTCTCTCCAGTCTTCCACCTGGAAGCCCTCTCTGGCTAAGGACAGGCAGGTGCCCCTCTCTCCATCAGAGGACACCTGTACTGGAGAGCAACACAGGATGGTCTCTGCCATGAACTGGAGGCCAGGAATCTCCTCACTGAAAATTACAGTATGGTAACTTTGCAAATGGTGGTTGTTTCTTCCAAGACTCCAGCCCTGATTGCGCAAAACTGAAAGGCATGTGAAGGGAAGGAAGAGGAAGAGTGCAAAACATTGAAGAGAGAGCTGAGTGAGCTGAAGAGTGAGGATATGAGTAGCCCCAACCCAAACCTGGAGATGGGGAGAAACCTACAGAATACTAGCCAGAGCTCCTCCTTGTCTTGGCAGCCTACTAGGGACCTGGGGAAGCAAAAACGAAAGCTGGGCAACATGCCTGCTTTAGAATGTTTTCCTTCTACTTACACATCTTCCACAGGTCTCAGAATCTTTCCTTCCTCTCATCCTTTTCTCCTATCTTCATATCTATCAGAGTATCCACTGTTTATTCAACAACTACTACTTGATGGTCAGACACAAACAAACAAGCTAGGTGCTAATTAATAAAGATATGAGTTTTGGCCGGGTGCGGTGGCTCACGCCTGTAATCCCAGCACTTTGGGAGGCCGAGGCGGGCGAATCACGAGGTCAGGAGTTCGAGACCAGCCTGGCCAACATGGTGAAACCCCATCTCTACTAAAAATACAAACAATTAACTGAGCATAGTGGTGGGCACCTATAATACCAGCTACTCCGGAGGCTGAGGCAGGAGAATCGCTTGAACCCAGGAGGCAGAGGTTGCAGTGAGCTGAGATCGCGCCACTGCACTCTAGCCAGAGTGACAGAGTAAGACTCTGTCTCAAAAATAAATAAATAAATAAATAAATAAATAAATAAATAAATAAATAAATAAAAAATAATAATACAAGTTTTCATAAGCACACTTCTAACCCCTTGTCTTTTATGTATTTCCTTCCTTATCCACGCACCTGTCTCCCTCTACTCCAGCCTCATTACCCCAGAGGTCAGTCCTCAGGAAAACTAAACACAAAGAAAGAGCTCAGTCAGAAAGGCCATTTATTTATGTTTCAAGATGCTCACTGCCTCCTTTGTTTTGTCTCCTTTGCAGGCCTTCTCTCTTAGGCCTCTTCTCCTGGGGGTATGGATCCTGGGGGGAGATTGATCACCTCCATGCTTCCATTCCTCCCCAGCCATAGTGGGGACATCATGAGAGAAGCCAAGCCACTGGCCCAGGATCACCCGGCATTTATGGTGGCTGCTCTGGCACAGGTCCTTGCCTTTATAGCCCCTCCAGTGATCCATAAGGCCCTCTTTCTCCCCAAAGGAGAGGTCACAGATAGGGCAAAGGTAGCTCTTCTGCTTCCAGTGGGTCTGCTGGTGTCTGACCAGCCTGGAAAATGAGCTGAAAGACTTGCTGCAATGGAAGCAGTAGTTGGGCGGCTCTGTGAGGTGGGCCTTCTGGTGTCTGGAGAGATAGGATTTCTTGCTAAAAGTCAAAGAACAATGGGGGCAACAGAAGACATTGAGTCTTGAGGGCTTCACTGGATGAGAGTTGGATCTGGCATCCTGACAGAGGGTTCCAGTGATGGGTGCCTGGGTCCTGGTCACAGGTGCTTGGTTCTTAAGTACAGATGCCTGGTTCTGGGCCATAGGACCCTCAGTTCTAAATATGGGTTCCTGGGACCTGGCCACTGGTGCATGGTTCACATCCAAAAGCCCCTGGATGGACCTCTGGCTTCTGGCGATGGGTGTCTGGAATTCAGCCTGGGTGCCTGGAATCCTCAAAGTACACTCCTGGTTTCCATCCACTGGCTCCTGGTTTTGGTGTATCTTCTGGTGGCGTTTGAGCTCAGACTGGTCCCGGAAGCTCTTCCCACACACAGAGCATGAATGGGGCCGGTAACCCAGATGGACGCGGCGGTGACGACTTAGTCCAGAAGCATCACAGTAGGTCTTGTCACAGAGCGTGCAACAGAAGGGCCTCTCCCCAAGATGCATGCGTCTGTGATAGCTGAGGGACTTGGGGCTCCGAAACAACTTCCCACACTGACTGCAGCTGTTAGTCAGCTTGGGATTGTGAACAAACTGGTGGCTATAGAGGTAGGAGCGCCTGCTGAAACATTTGCCACAGGTGTAGCAAAAAAAGGGTGGCCCAGCCTGGGATGCTTGAAGCACCCGGGTCCTGTCCATAGTCCCAGCTGGGGCAGATAGGGGGCACTGGCCGGCCCCTCTGCATGCAAGGAAGACCTTGTCATCACTAGTCCCCTCATCTCTCAGACTGGGATGTTGTTCTCGAAGCTCTTTCTTCTTGCCTTCTACAGTGAATGAGGAAGAATAACACAAAATTCACTGTAAGAACTCCAACAGAGGCTTGGCATGGTGGCTCACACCTGTAATCCCAGCACTTTGGGAGGCCGAGGCCAGCGGATCACCTGAGGTTAGGAGTTCGAAACCAGCCTGACCAACATGGTGAAACCCTGTCTCTACTACAAATACAAAAATTAGCTGGGCGTCATGGCATCTGCCTGTAATCTCAGCTACTAGGGAGACTGAGGCAGGACAATCACTCGAACCCGGGAGGCGGAGGTTGCAGTGAGCCAAGATGGTGCCACTGCACTCCTGCCTGGGCAACTAGAGTGAAACTCTGTCTCAAAAAAAAAAAAAGAAAGAAAGAAAAAGAAGAAGAAGAAGGAGAAGGAGAAGAAGGAGAAGGAGAAGAGAAGGAGAAGAAGAAGAAGAAGGAAGAAGAAGAAGAAGAAAAGAAAAGAAGAAGAAGAAGAAGACGAAGACGAAGAAGAAGAAGAAGAGGAAGAAGAAGAACTCCAACACAGCACTCCATTCAGCCTAACACACTTCTTGTCTCTGCCCTTGCTCTCCCACCCAACACATTCATCCTTACCCTTGGGCCTCATAGGCTAGAAATAAGAAGAAAAAAAGAAAAAATTGGCTTTTCAAATTAGAAGCAAATAAAAAGTTAACTGGAATCTTTCAACACTGTCAGAAATGTAAATTTTAACTTACAACAACACTTCTTGAAATCTATCTTATCTCATTCTCAATATTGCTCAAACTCCCATAGACAATCCACAGACACCCACATAATAATGCATCATGAACACTGGGCCACTTGAGGGTGAAAAGAGGTGTTATTAATAATCAAGCTGGGATGAGAAGTATAAACCAGGACTGTCCTGGAAAACCAAAAAGTGTATCAGCCTGGCTTGATATCTCTCTCAACTATTTACTACCAGGGACAAGCCTCCCTTACTCCAACCCAGCATGAAACCTATCTCCTTTGCTTCTCTTTTCTCTTGGAAAGAACATTTTAATCAGAGCACTATCATGGACATAAGCAACTTTCATGTCATCTCTCAATCTCTAGAAACTGAAGACATCTACTTCTCCTGAAAGACTTAGATCTTCAGCCAGCCAGGCACGGTGGCTCATGCCTGTAATCCCAGCACTTTGGGAGGCCGAGGTGGATGGATAACCTGAGGTCAAGACATCAAGACCATCCTGGCCAACATGGTGAAACCCTGTCTCTACTAAAAATACAAAAATTATCTGGACACGGTGGCACATGCCTGTAGTCCCAGCTACTCGAGAGGCTGAGGCAGGAGAATCGCTTGAACCCGGGAAGTGGAGGTTGCAGTAAGCCAAGATTGTGCCACTGCACTCCAGCCTGGCAACAGAGCGAGACTGTGTCTCAAAAAAAAAAAAAAAAAAAAAAGAGAGAGAGAGAGAGAGACTTGGATCTTCAACTTGAAGTCAAGGGACTTGAGCCTATGATATTAAGCTCTCTTTCAACTCCAAGTCTGACCAGGCTGGACAGAGGTACACTAGGAGAGCATCTATAGAGCATTCATCCTCTTCATCAGCTCTCCATCCTTTCAGGGGTTATCCTGGGCCCTTTTCCCCTTCCTCCCTGCTTGGCAATTCTTACCTGAAAGGCCTTCTGTGTTTGGGAGATGGACAAACTCTCTCCACTGTTCCTCTTCTTGCTCAAGCTTGGTGATTAGCTCTGGCTTATGCAGAAAGATTCTGGCTGATGTGTGGGAATGAGAAAGAGTTGAGTTGGTCCCAGGTATGGCCCCTTCACATCTGATGGGGACAACAGGCTACCTCCTGTAGCCTTTGTTTAAGAACCATAACCTGGGACATGTAGATGCGGAAAGGAGACATTAAAAGGCCAGCTGCTAGCAAAGTACCTGGTTCTCAGGAGTGACTTAGTAAATATTTGTTTGATGAATGGAAAAATTTGCATATTTTGAGAACACTGTCATCATGTTACAAGTGTTATCTTTGCCTTCATGCAGGCTATCATTTCTTCTCTTTACCACTGAGCTTAGTGACTCAGATCTTTCACACCTGGAAAGCATAGAACCAGGGGTCAGTGAAACTAATTGTAAGCTGATCTACCTGTCCAGGGAAACCAGATGTTCCAGGGCCCTTAGGACAGGGGGCTTGCTGAGGGAAGCCCAGCCTCTTACCCACAGATGTTAGATTCTTAAAGGTTTCCGACATAACATCCTGGTAAAGGACCCTCTGGCTGGCATCTAGACAGTCCCACTCTTCCTGGGTGAAATTCACTGCCACATCCTCAAAGGTGACTGGCTTCTGGAAGAACAGGAGAGACTCAAGAAGTTTATATAAATATATATGTGTGTGTGTGTGTGTGTGTGTACAAGATTAACATCCAGTCTCAAGATTCAGAGAATTAAAACCTAAGAGAAAGATAAAACCATGGAAGGAAGAGAGAAATATTAAAAGACAGACACAAGGCCAGCAACTGTGAAGTATAGAAAGGAAAGGAGGCCGGACGCGGTGGCTCACGCCTGTAATCCCAGCACTTTGGGAGGCTGAGGCAGGCAGATCACGAGGTCGGGAGTTCGAGACCAGCCTGACCAATATGGTGAAACCTGGTCTCTGCTAAAAACACAAAAATTAGCTGGGCATGGTGGCGCATGCCTGTAATCCCAGCTACTCAGGAGGCTGAGGCAGGAGAATTGCTTGAGCCCGGGAGGCAGAGGTAGCAGTGAGCCAAGATCGCGCCACCGCACTCCAGCCTGGGTGACAGAGCGAGACTCCGTCTCAAAAAAAAAAAAAAAGAAAAAAAAAAAAAGGAAAGGAAAGATGAAGAGAAAGGGAGAAAGATAAGATGTGGGGGAGAGGAAAGAGGATATGCAGATATGCAGAATATAAACAGGAAAGCAAAGCGAAGGAAAAAATGCTGCCACTCTAACAAATTTCAGGAAGTACTCCATGAAGGATGCCAGGATGGTGCGGGAGATGGAGAAAGGTCTTGCAGCTCCTTTTTCTGGATGTCGTTCAGTCTGGAACAATCTGAGATTTCATTTGACCTGCAGGCAGGAGTATGTATGAAAGAGCTCCTGGAGTCCAGGACCTGGACCCCACCTCTCTCTAGCTTAGTCTCCTCACCTTCTTCACCCGTGCCTCCCTCCAGCAATCTCTCTTCATGGCTTCCTGCAGGGTGGCAGCTACCTCGCCCACCCATGGGAGCGTCTTCTGTACAGGTTCGATTGGCTTCAGCTGTTCAAACATCTTCTCTTCTGTGGTGTCTCTTTCTAGCTTTATCCACTCCTGGCCTGGTGCCCAGGCCTGACTGGATTCCTTCCTGGGGCTATCTACCTCCCAGTAACTGGGCAGATGGAGAGGCCCAGCAAAGGCCCCAGGGTTTGATGTGGCTTCCTGTGACAAATGTATCTGCTCCAAGAGGCTGTCTTCCTTTTTTGTTCTGCTGTCCAAATTCTCCTCTTCCACAATTGAGAACAATTTTGCTTCCCTCAAAGCTGGGCCACCGAGTTCAGGGCCCTGGTCACCCTTGGCTCACCAGCTGCCATTGTTTAGTAACAACACCAGCCTGGGCTAGGTGTCTGCCGTCTGTTCTACCCTGCTTCTAGAAACCTGAGGTCAGAGAAAAACAAAACATATCAGCAAGAGGGAGGGTAAGAAACAGCTTCCTTATTTGGTCAGGGAATGCCAGCAGTTACTAAACCCCTACAG
This sequence comes from Homo sapiens, assembly GCF_000001405.40. Taxonomy (NCBI): domain Eukaryota; kingdom Metazoa; phylum Chordata; class Mammalia; order Primates; family Hominidae; genus Homo; species Homo sapiens. The sequence goes on from NT_167248.2 coordinate 942,969, forward strand.
TGTGCCACTGGATGCTCTCAGCAATGAGGTAACAATTACTGGCCCTGTCTTAAGGACCTAATGCAGAGATGCTAAATAATTTTCCAAGGACAAGTGGACATTCTTGATCTACAAAAGTTAATGTTTAAACCTAATGTTAATGTTAGACTCAGTACCATTGGAAATCATGTAGCTGGGGTAACCAGGCTAGGATCTGTCACAGATCACCTCGAGTGAGTCTCTTTATTCTTTCTGACTTGGTTTCATCAGAAATGTGAGAATAAAGGAGACACTCTCTAAGATCTCTTCCATGACCAAAATTATACACACACACACACACACACAATTCTGTGATCTGGATTTTCAATACATGTAGTAGTTCCCCTTTATCATGGTTTTGCTTTCCAATGCTTCAGTTACCCATGGTCAACCATGGTTCAAAAATATTAAATGAAAAATTCCGGAGGACAGGCACAGTGGCTCACACCTGTAATCCCAGCATTTTGGGAGGCTGAGGTAGGCAGATCATCTGAGGTCAGGAGTTCGAGATCAGCCTGGTCAACATGGTGAAACCCTGTCTCTACTAAAAATACAAAAAGAAAATAGCTGGGCATAGTGGCACACATCTGTAATCCCAGCAACTCAGGAGGCTGAGGCAGGAGAATCACTTGAACCCTGGAGGTGGACGTTGCCATGAGCCAAGACTGCGCCACTGCACTCCAGCCTGGGACATAGAGCGAGACTCCGTCTCAAAAAAAAATCCAGAGATAAACAATTCCTAAGTTTTAAATTGCTTGACATTCTGAGTAGTGTGATGAAATCTTGTACCTTTTCTCTCTGGCCTGCCCAGGATGTGAATCATCCCTTTGACTAGCATATCCACACTGCAGACAATACCTGCCCATTAGTTCCTTAGTAGCTAGCCATCTCAGTTACCAGGTTGACTACTGTAGTATAGCAGTTGCCTGTGCTCAAGAATGCCTTATTTTACTTAATAATGACCCAAAAGCACAAGAGTAGAGACGCTGGAAATTCAGATATGCAAAGAGAAGCCATAAAATAAAAAGGTAAAAATTCTTGTCTTAAGGAAAGAAAAAATAATCATATGCTGAGGTTGCTAAGATTTACAATATAAATTATTTTGAGAGAGATACCACATTCATACAACTTTTATTACAATATATTGCTGTAATTGTTCTATCTTATTACTAGTTATTGTTGTCAATCTCTTACCATGCCTAATTTGTAAATTAAACTTTATCATTATTATGTATGTATAGAAAAAGAAAACCATAGTGTATACAGGGTTTGGTACTATTCATGGTTTCAAAGTATCCACTGGGGTGGGGCGCGGTGGATCACTTCAGGGCAGGAATTTGAGACCAGCCTGGCCAACATGGTGAAACCCCGTCTCTACTGAAAATACAAAAATTAGCTGGGCGTGGTGGCACGCTGTAGTCCCAGCTGCTCAGGATGCTGAGGCAGAATTACTTGAACCCGTGAGGTGAAGGTTGCAGTGAGCCAAGACTGTGCCACTGTACTCCAGCCTGGGTGACAGAGTGAGATTCTGCCTCAAACAACAACAAAAACAAAGTATCCACTAGAGCTCTTGGAACATATCACCTGTGGATAAGGGGAACCACTGTATATACAGATCTTTGTGAAGAATACTGCTAACAACCCAAGAGCAATCACTTATTCAGGGCTCACAATGAGCCCAGCACTGGAGTTCCCTGCTCATCCTTGGAAATTTCCTGCTCAGATGCAAACATAGCTGAACTCTCACCTTTTCCTGCTGACAGCCACTCACCCACATCTCCCTTACTAGAGATAGAAAGAAAAGAATAAAGACCAAAAAACCCTGTTGACTATTTTTTCCTTTCACTTTTTGAGAAGTGTTAATAGAACTGAAAATACCAGCAAGGAAAAACGCCCTCGAGGAATAGAGTTAATTGGATCTCCAAAATGTTGTCATGAAAGGTGCATTCCTGGGATATGAATTTGATTTCCTTCCTTTCTTCCTCTCTCTTTCTTTCCTCTCTCTCCCTTTCCTTTCCTGTCTTTCAAAACCATTCGCACTCCTTTTATGAGGCATGCAGATCTTGGATTATTCTTCCACTTTCCAGCCAACTGCACTTCAAAACAGCCTTAATAAGGCTGGGCACGGTGGCTCAGCCTGTAATCCCAACACTTGGGGAGGCCGAGGCGGGCGGATCACCTGAGGTCAGGAGTTTGAGACCAGCCTGACCAACATGGACCTCGTCTCTACTAAAAATACAAAATTATCCCGGCGTGGTGGCGCATGCCTGTAATCGTAGCTACTAGGGAGGCTGAGGCAGGAGAATCGCTTGAACCCGGGAGGCAGAGGTTGCGGTGAGCGGAGATCGCGCCATTGCACTCCAGCCAGGGAAATGAGAGTGAAACTCCGTCTCAAAAACAAACAAACAAACAAACAAACAAAAAAAACGCCTTAGTAACAGTGCCCTCAAGAACCTGGCCTTCCAGTTCTCTGGCAGAGAAGACCTACTGCTGCCGCTAGTCCTCAAGATGGCATTTGCTGGAGGCGGTAGGCAGAGGCCCTAAGTGTGGATTCTAACCCCCGTGGGGACTGAATCTCTGCGGCTGTTGCTTGCCCAGGCACGTTTGCCTCCCATGAACTTCCTTCATCCACAGGGCCCCAAACCTCATGCCGGCGGGAGGAGGAAGGAGACTGGGCATAACTCATCAGACTTTCGACTGTAAGAGCTGGAGGCCGCCTGCGGGCTTATCTGTACCCGGGCCTGTCCCCACCCTTCCAGAATGTAAATCCTCTGAGGGAATGTGTCGTCGCCATCTTTCAGTCCTTTGAGTGCACCCAGTCTCTCTCCAACCCAAAACCCTTTATCCACAGCAATTCTGAGAATGATGAGAATCCCCCTCACCCCTCACACCGCAAACAGTTGCAATGCTTAGTGGGATTCACCCTTGTCGTCACCAACCCTGCTACTCCAGCCACGTGAGTTTTCCGCCTGTCAGCCAAGCAAAATGGCCTTCCTGCAGTCGCACGGCCCTTTGGTCTCTGCTCAGGGCTTCGGGGACCCTTTCCAGCCATTGCCCTGCACCTACCCACCAGATCGCCGCCCTGGTGGGCGCTCCTGGCCCTGTCCTCCGCGCTTAGTTTGTCATTGGGCGCCCAGATCCGGAACCCCAGCCTCGAAGCTTCCGGTGGCCGGGAACAAAGCCGGTTTTGCTCACTGTTGCCTGGCAAAGCAGGCGCTTGTTAGCACCCACTGAATGCGCTTATGTGCTCAGAAACGGTCCCATTGGTTGGGACTACCTTCCCCGATGCCCATCCGCCCAGAATCTTCCTTCTGGGATGCCGACTTTTTCAACACGTGCCAGGAGCCCTTCCTCGGCCCGGAATCCCCAGAGTGCCCACAGTGGACAGGGCACCTGGATACACCCCAGACTAACCCACGTTTCCCCGGAGGACCCCAGAGGTTGGAAGCCCCTCCAAGATTGGGGCGCAGTGCTCCCCTGGCCTGCGGAAGAGTCAGAGGAGTGGGGACAACATCCAACATCAGCCTCTACTACCGCTAGCGCGACTCCCCGCCGCCGCTCTACTCACCTGACGCGCGCAGTGGACCGCGATTTAGGGGCACAGGGTCTCCCGGGGACCAGCGGGTGGAGCGCTCCGGCCGAGCACCCGCAGTCCCGGCGCCGCGGCCCCGCCCCGGCCCCGCCCTCTTCCGCTCCCTCCCAGTCATCAGGCCACCGAGAATGTGTGCCCCTTGACCCAGATGAGAGGGTGAGCCCGCCAAGGTCAAGCTTCCCATCCTAAGAATCATAGACAGCCCGGCCATGCACCACCACTTCGAGCCTCCAACCAACTGATAACTGCTGGTCCCAAGTAGCGCTAGGATTTTCGCTTTCCCAGTCTTAATTGACTCTAAAAGAAGAAGAAAAAAAAGCCTGGGCGCGGTTGCTCACACCTGTAATTCCGGCACTTTGGGAGGTCGAGGCTGGTGAATTACCTGAAGTCAGGAGTTCAAGACCACCCTGGCCAACATGGCGAAACCTCGTCTCTACTAAAAGTACAAAAATTAGCCAGGCGTGGTGGCGGGCGCCTGTAACCCCAGCTACTCAGGAGGCTGAGGCAGGAGAATCGCTTGAATCCGGGAGGTGGAGGTTGCAGTGAGCCCAGATCACGCCACTGCACTCCAGCCTGGGCAAAAAGAGTGAAACTCCATCTCAAAAAAAAAAAAAAAAAAAAAAAAAGGAAAGTATTTACGAAAAAAAAAAAAAAAAGACCAAAGTATTATGATTAAAACACGCGGCCGAGAGCGGTGGCTCACACCTGTAATCCCAGCACTTTGGGAGGCTGAGGGGGCGGATCACCTAAGGTCAGAAGTTCGACCTCAGCTTGGCCAATATGGCGAAACCTTGTCCCTATTAAAAATACAAAAGTTAGCCGGTGGTGGTGACGCACACCTGTAATCCCAGCTACTTGGGAGACATTGCCGTTACTGGGCAAGTGTTCTTTCAAGAGCATCTTATCTGAATTACTATAGTACTAAAGAATGTCTAGGCTAGGCCCCCGTGGCTCACTCCTGGAATGCTAACACTTTGGGAAGCTGAGGAGGGAGGATTGCTGGAGGCCAGGAGTTCAAGACCAACCTGGGCAACATAGCAAGACCCTTTCTCTAGAAAAAATGAAAACAACTTGGCCAGGTGTGGTGGTACATGCCTTTAGTCCTAGGTGCTTAGGAGGTTGAGGTGGGAGGATTGCTTGAGCCCAGGAGTTTGAGGTTACAGTGAGCTATGATTGCACCACTGCATTCCAGCCTTGGCAATGGAGTGAGGCCCTATTTCTAAACAGAACAAAAAAAAAGAATGCCTGCTGATAAACCTTGTGACAGGACATTCATGAAGGATGAAGAAAAGATTTCTTTTATTTTTTTATTTTTATTTTTTTGAGACAGAGTCTCGCTCTGTTGCCCTGGCTGGAGTGCAGTGGCGCCATCTCAGCTCACTGCAACCTCCAACTCCTGAGTAGCTGGGATTACAGGTGCGTGCCACCATACCCGGTTAATTTTTTTTTTTTTTTTTTTTTTTAGTAGACACAGGGTTTCACCATGTTGGTCAGGCTGGTCTCAAACTCCTGACCTCATGATCTGCCTGCCTCAGCCTCCCAAAGTGCTGGGATTACAGGCGTGAGCCACCGCGCCCGGCTAGAAAAGATTTCTTTCTTTTTTCTTTTTTTTTTTAAATTATACTGTAAGTTTTAGGGTACATATGCACAACATGCCGGTTAGTTACATATGTATACATGTGCCATGTTGGTGTGCTGCACCCATAACTCATCATTTAACATTAGATATATCTCCTAATGCTATCCCTCCCCACTCCCTAGAAAAGATTTCTTGTGGAATTTTTAAAAAGTCCTTTGAAACAATTCTTTTCTTTTCTTTTTTTTTTTTTTTTTCGATACAGAGTTTCGCTCTTGTTGCCCAGGCTAGAGTGCAATGGCATGATCTCGGCTCACTGCAACCTCCACCTCCCGGGTTCAAGCGATTCTCCTGCCTCAGCCTCCCAAGTAGCTGGGATTACAGGCATGCACCACCATGCCTGGCAAATTTTGTATTTTTAGTAGAGATGGGGTTTCTCCATGTTGGTCAGGCTGTTCTCGAACTCCCGACCTCAGGTGATCCACCCACCTCGGCCTCCCAAAGTGCTGGGATTACAGGCATGAGCTACCACGCCCAACTTAACAATTCTTACTTCAAACATGTAAGCATGACGTTCCTCTCCTTCATGCCTTCCTGGCCATTTTTTTTTTTTTTTTTTTTTTTTTGAGACAGAGTCTTGCTTCTTCACCTAGGCTAGCGTGCAATGGTGTGATCTTGGCTCACTGCAACCTCCACCTCCCAGGTTCAAGCAATTCTCGTGCCTCAGCCTCCCCAGTAGCTGGGATTACAGCCACATGCCAGCACGTCCGACTAATTTTTGTACTTTTAGTAGAGATGGGGGTTTCACTATGTAGGCCAGGCTGGTCTCGAACTCCTGACCTCAGGTGATCCGCTCGCCTCGGCCTCCCAAAGTGCTGGGACTACAAGCATAAGCCACCGTGCCTGGCCTGGCCCTATTTTATCTGGGTCTGACAAAAGTTATTTCATCCTAGTATCTGCAATTTTTCCGCAGAAAATTACAGAGACGCACAGTGAATGTGAAAGGAGGGAAATTAACAATAGCTATTGGCAGAGCCAAACAAATCATTACACTTTAGCTGGATCATCTGGGAGTTGAGACGTTGAGGGTATAAGGAGGTAGCATGTCAATGCTTGTTAAGAAAGAATGGCAACAACTGTGCTGCCTTACAGATCAGCACCTTCTGCAGTCTGCGAGCCCAACCTTAGATCCATTTGTAGGCAACAGTAAAAGGTCTCATATTTTCATCGCAGTGAGCCCTGACTGCCATTAGGAAGATTTGGTCCTCTAGGTAAGATTTCCCTGAGACAAAGTACTATGGGAAATCAAGTGCATATTCAGCCTCTTAGTACTCTGGGTTGGTGTTACCGTACTGACGAAGGCGATCCATTGATGAAAAACAAACTGACCTAAAGAAATGTAAATAAATGCTTGCAGTCAGCCCTGTTCCTCTGAAAAATTCCCCTAGCCCTTATGTTGAAACCTGATGAGAACTTTAAAAATGTTAACTTGGTAATGGACGGAATCCTCCTCATTCAAGGTTACCCCTGTGCAAGTCAAGCTCAAGTCAGCCTGAAGGTGCAAACCCCATGGACTCAGCCAGAGCCTATGGCTGTGGGTGCTAGATCCAAGGCCAAAATTGATGGCATCAGCCATCAGGATGTTTCTGCCCAATATAAAGTATTGGGTGGGCTGAGAACACTGAAAGCTTGCCATGCAGAAAGAAACTGAAAGTAAATGCGTGACTTTAATGGAACAGAACTTGTTTCTCCCTCCATGCTCCCGATCCCTTTAGATCCCTTTATCTCACCTCAGCCACTTTAAGACAAAAGGTGATTAGAGGTGTAGAGAAGTTCTAATGGGATACATTCATTTGCAGTAGTCCCCCAAGGTACTGTGATAGGCAGAATTCTAAAGATGCTTTCCCCCTCAAGATTGCTTCCCCTGGTTATTCAGTCAAATACTAATCAAAGTACAGATGCTCTTCAATTTAAAATGGGGTTATGTTTCAATAAAACCATTGTAACTGAAAAATATTTTCAAGTGGAAAATGCATTTAATGCACCTAACCTACTGAATATATTAGCTCAGCCTAGCCTACCTTAAATGTGCTCAGAACACATTTGCCTACAGTTGGGCAAAATCACTTAACACAAATCCCATTGTATGATAAAGTGTTGACTATCTCATGTAACTGGTTGCATACAGTACAGTATAGAGTACAGTATCAGTTGTTACCATCATAATTGTGTGGCTGATGGGAGCTGCAGCTCACTACTGCTGTCCAGCACCGTCACAGAGTATCATACTCTCTAACCCAGGAAAATATCAAAATTCAAAGTACAGTTTATACTGAATGTGTGTTGCTTTCACATCATCATAAAGTTGAAAAACTGTAAGTTGAGCCATCGTAAATCAGGGACCATCTGCACCACTATGTAGGGATTATGCTGTTGTAATTGAAGTCCCAAGACAATTGACCATAAAACAGGTTATCTGGTTGGGCCTGATCTAACCACATGAACTCCTTAAGGGGCAGAAAAAACAAAGATCAAAGAGAAGTTGGGAAGATTCAAAGCAAAAGAAGTATTCAGTGTACCATGGCTGTGTTTCAAGATGGAGGTGGCCATGAGCAAAAGAATGCAGGTAACTTCCAGAAGCTGAGAGCAACCCTTGGTTGACAGCTAGCAAGGAAACAGGAACCTAATTCCTACAATCACTTCTTCTCCCCTTGTCTTCTTCCCTTTCTTCGTGTGTAAGCGCATTATACTGTCTCTGTAAGCACAAAAATTGCCTAAAATTTAAGTGTAGTTTTCTGATCGCTTGTAAAACTGACACAGCTGTAATTATCATCCATGTGAAAAACACCATCCCAGTTAGAAACCTGTGAGCCTCTCCCCAAGCAGAACCCATTGATCCTACACAGGTGTCATCAGAGCTGATTCCTTTCTATGCCCCTTTATCTCTAATGTCCCTATTCTGTTCCTGTTTTCACTTCACCAGCAGCTTCTCCAACTCCCTAGGCCAATGCCCTGAGAATTTCCCTTCCTCTCCCCCATCCTAGGGATGGAGAGTAGGGGTTGGTCCCCAGGATAAGCCACATTTATCCCTGGAAGCAGCAGCAGAAGTGACAGTATGTTTGTGGGGTCCACTTGTAACCTGGGAACCACTTGTTTTGGCCTGGAAACCTCGCTCTGTCCCGAGGTCAGAATCCACGGTCACTAGGTGGAGAGGAAACATCTATGTCAGCGTGGATTTGGGAAACACTTCAGATTCCGAGCCTAACACGGGACTGGGGCGCCCCCTTGGGTACGTTGTCCTGTCCAGTTGCTGAAAGCCAAAGGTGACAATGGGGAGGTCTCAACCTGAGGAGGAGGCCAAAAGAGTCTGGTCTTCTGTTCTCAGCCCGGTGACCACACACAAGTGCCGATGTTCTGCTCTCTTGGATTCTGATTGAGCAGCCTGGGAGAGGACTGGGCTGCAGTCTAAACTGGACAGATATGGCTGGTGTGGAGGCTGGCTGTCAATGAGGGAGTGAAGGTAAGCCGCTCGAAAAGTAGATAATTTTTACTTCCACTTTCTTTTTCTTTCCTGAGCACTAGTTATAAAAATATCCTTTTAAAATCTAAAATATTGGCCAGGCACGGTGGCTCACACTTGTAATCCCAGCACTTTGGGAGGCCGAGGCAGATGGATTACCTGAGGTGGGGGGTTTGAGACCAGCCTGACCAATATGGAGAAATCCTCTCTCTACTAAAAATACAAAATTAGCCGGGCATGGTGGTGCATTCCTGTAATCCCAGCTACTCAGGAGGCTGAGGCAGGAGAATCTCTTGAGCCTGGGAGGTGGAGGTTGCGGTGAGCCAAGATCGCGCCATTGCACTCCAGCCTGGGCAACAAGAGCAAAACTCCGTCTCAAAAATCAAATCAAATCAAATCAAATCTACAATATTTTTGGATTTACAGAAAAGTTGCAAAGATAGTACATAGTTCTCGTATGTTCCACATTCAGTTTCCCCTATTATTAATGTCTTATTTTATTATACATTTGTGACAGGTTATGAAACAATATTGATACATTGTTACTAACTCCTATTTTATTTGGATTTTATTCTTTTCCCTAACATCACTTTTATGTTCCAGGATCCCATCCAGGATACATTACATTTAGTCCCCTTTATATCTCCTTAGCCTCCTCTGGTCTGTGACAATTTCTCAGACCTCGTTTTTGATAATTTGGTATTTCTTGAGGAGTACTAGTGAGGCATATTGTAAAATGTCCCTTAATTTGAGTGTGGTTGACAGGGCTATAGGTTTGGGGGAAGAAGAGCACAGAGATGAAATGCAATACTCTCAATACAACATACCAAGAGTGTATATTACCCAGTTGATTTATCAAATGATTATGTTAACCTCCATCACTTGGCTAGGGCAGTGTTTCCCAGTCTATAATATATGATTTTTAATAGCAGCCCAAAAAGACTAAAACACTTGCCCTTGCATGAAGAACCCTGTCTGACTTCCGGGAGCCCAAGGAGACGCAGGGGAGGTCCACAGCGAGAAGAAAAGGGGGCTCAGGTCGTCTGTCCTCAGGTCTATGGCCACTTGGGGGTGGCACCTCTCTGGTGTCTCAGACACAAATTGAGCAATCAGAAAAGGCTGGGATGTCTGTGGTCTGAGTTGGGCAGAGGTGACTGACCCTGGAACCTGACATCAATAGGGGGATGAAGACAATTTCTGAGCAGCCCCAGTAGTCAGAGGACAAGAGAACTCTGGAGCCCCACACTGTCTCTGAGGTTCCAATCTTTTCTCCCTCTTCCCAGCCCCTTGATAGGAAACCCTGGGAAAACTAAAAAGTATACTGTTTTTTCTTTAACTCCCTATTCCTTTCCTCTTCTGAGGGTTGTTGTTGTTGTTTTTTTTTAATAAACTTATTAATTTTAGAATACTTTTAGATTACACAAAAGTTGAAAAGATAATACATAGTTCTCACATATGTCACACTCAGCTCCCCATTGTTAACATATTTTTTTTTTTTTTGAGGGAGTCTCACTCTGTCGCCCAGGCTGAAGTGCAGTGGCACAATTTCGGCTCACTGCAACCTCTGCCTCCGGGTTTCAAGCCATTCTCCTGCCTCAGCCTCCTGAGTAGCTAGGATTACAGGTGCGCGCCACCATGCCCAGCTAGTTTTTGTAGTTTTAGTAAAGACAGGGTTCCACCACATTGGCCAGGCTGGTCTCGAACTCCTGACCTCAGGTGATCTACCCGCTCAGCTTCCCAAAGTGCTGGCATTACAGGTGTGTGCCACTGCCCCCAGCCCCATTGTTAACATCTTATATCACTATTATACATTTTTCACAACCAGTGAGACAATATTAATATAGTATCACTAAACTTTATTTCGATTTCATTAGCTCTTTCTGTTTTGAAACAAAGTCTTGCTCTGTCACCCAGGCCGGAGTGCAATGGCATGATGTCCACTCACTGCAACCTCCACCTCCCGAGTTCAAATGATTTTCATGCCTCAGCCTCCTGAATAGCTGTGACTACAGACACATGCCACCGTGCCTGGCTGATTTCTGTATTTTTAGTAGAGACAGGATTTCACCATGTTGGTCAGGCTGGTCTCTTACTCCTGACCTAAAGTGATCCACCCGCCTTGGCCTCCCAAAGTGCTAGGATTACAGGTGTGAGCCACCATGCCCAGCCAGGTTTCATTAGTTCTTTTAACTTCCTTTTTCTGTCACAGGATTTCATCGAGGATATCACATTGTATTTAGTCCTAATCATGTCTCCTTAAGGCTCCTCCAGGTTGACTTTGTTTTCAATGACTGTCTTAGTATGTTGAGTATTACTATAACAGAATAACTTGAAACTGGGTAGTTTATAAAGAGAAGATGTTTATTTAGCTCATGATTTTGCAGGCTGGGAAGTTCAACAGGATAGTGCTGGATCTGGCAAACTTCTGGTGAAGGCCAAATGTTAGGTCAAAACATTTTGGAGAAGGGGAAAAGTGAGTGGCATGTGCAAAAACATCACATGGGGAGACAGGGAAGCAAGAGAGAGTCTAGGAAACCAAACTTGCTTTTATAACAACCTGCTTTTTGGTAACTAACCTAGCCCCAACAGAGTAATAAATTACTCGCTCATGTGGGAGGACATTAATCTATTCATGAAGGATCTGCTCCTGATGACCCAAACGCCTCCCACTAAGCCCCACCTCCAACACCACCACCACATTGAGAACTTTTTTTTTTTTGCCTGAGGTTGGGAGTTTGAGACCAGCCTCACCAACATGGATAAACCCTGTCTCTACTAAAAATAGAAAATTAGCCAGGTGTGATGGCACATGCCTGTAATCCCAGTTATTCAGGAGGCTGAGGCAGGAGAATTGCTTGAACCCGGGAGGTGGAAGTTGCAGTGAGCCAAGATCATGCCATTGCACTCCAGCCTGGGCAACAAGAGTGAAACTCTGTCTCAAAGAAAAAAAAAAAAGAGTAAACAAAATTTAATTTTCCTAATGGAAAAAATTATGGTGCATTCTATAACAATAGAGGACTCACAGAAAACTTTGCAGGTAGATATATCAATAGAGCAATGAAAACAAAGGTATGTAAGTAGTAAATAGAAACTTCAGAGTAAATAGGTAAGAATTCCACAAAACTCAATGTACTGAAGGTTCATTTTACTCTCTAAAGGAGGAAGAACAGTCGTCTTGATGGGTGTGTTTAAGGGGCAATGATTGTGATGGAGTCTCAAATATTTCCTGACAGATTTTCTGATGTGTAACAATTTTCCTGAAAATGCAAATGATTCAGATCTTTTCTTTATCTTTCATTGTTTATTAATATCATATAAACACCAGCCTGACAAAAATGGTGAAACCCCATCTGTACTAAAAATACAAAAATTGGCCGGGCGTGGTGGCACGTGCCTGTAATCCCAGCTACTCAGGAGGCTGAGGCAGGAGAATCCCGTGAACCAGGGAGGCAGAAGTTTGCAGTGAGCCGAGATCGCGCCATTACACTCCAGCCTGGGCGACAGAGTGAGACTCTGTCCGCCCCGCGCCCCCCTCCCCCCACAAAAAATAAACAGCAGAACACCTTAACTATGAAGAGAATACAATATCATTCATTTGCTCTCTTTTTTTCTAGTATCATTTATCACACACACACACCCTCACACCTTTTGCTCAATAGGTAAACATCTCTTTCACTTCTGTATCACTTTCTTTCTTTCTTTCTTTCTTTCTTTTTTTGAGACGGAGTCTCGCCCTTTAAGTGCAGTTGCGCTGTCTCTGCTCACTGCAAGCTCCGCCTCCCGGGTTCACGCCATTCTCCTGCCTCAGCCTCCCGAGTAGCTGGGACTACAGGCGCCCGCCACCGTGCCGGGCTAATTCTTTGTATTTTTAGTAGAGACTGAGTTTCACCTGTTAGCCAGGATGGTCTCGATCTCCTGACCTCGTGATCCGCCCTCCTCGGCTTCCCAAAGTGCTAGGATTACAGGCGTGAGCCACCGCGCCTGGCCTCTGTACCATTTTCTCCACTTTGAGGCAGAGTCTCTCTCTGTCGCCCAGGCTGGAGTGCAGTGGCGGGATCTCGGCTCACTGCAAGCTCCACCTCCCGGGTTCACGCCATTCGTCTGCCTCAGCCTCCAGAGTAGCTGGGACTACAGGTGCCCGCCACCACGCCCGGCTAATTTTTTTGTATTTTTAGTAGAGACGAGGTTTCACCTCGTTAGCCAGGATGGTCTCGATCTCCTGACCTAGTGATCCGCCCGCCTCGGCCTCCCAAAGTGCTGGGATGATAGGCGTGAGCCACCGCGCCCGGCCTTTTTAAGACAGAGTTTCGCTCTTGTTGCCCAGGCTGGAGTGCAATGGCCCGATCTTGGCCCACCACAACCTCTGCCTCCTGGGTTCAAGTCAAGCGATTCTCCTGCCTCAGCCTTCCGAGTAGCTGGGATTACAGGCATGCACCACCACGCCTGCCTAATTTGTATTTTCAGTAGAGAGGGGGTTTCTCCATGTTGGTCAGGCTGGTCTCAAACTCCCAACCTCAGGTGATCCGCCGGCCTTGGCCTCCCAATTTCCTGGGATTACAGGCGTGAGCCACCGCACCCAGCCTGGTTTAATACTTTTTATTTAGTGGCACAATGCCCAGGAATGAATTAAAGTCATTAAATGAGGACTAGGTTGCTATGCACTTGGCTGTTTCTGGACTTCCTGTGCTGTTCCATTGGTTGGTCTATTCATTCACCAGTGCCACACTGTTCTAGTGACAGGGAATTTGTAAAATATTTAACTATTAGGCATAACTAGACACCCAATTCTCAATTTGTTTTTTTCCCCCAAGGGATTTTCTAATTATTCTTATTTATTTTCTCATGTGAACTTTATAATCTACTTGTCTAGCTTGAGAAAAAAAGTAGTTGTTGGCATTTTGATTAGGAGGTATTACATTTGAAAATTTACTCTGCAAATGTGCTGTATAGTCTTCCTATTTGAGAATGTTCTTCTGTACTACACAGCCATAAAAAGGAATGAATTAACAGCATTTTCAGTGACCTGGATGAGATTGGAGACTGTTATTCTAAGTGAAATAACTCAGGAATGGGAAACCAAACATTGTATGTTCTCACTGATATGTAGAAGCTGAGTTATGAAGACACAAAGGCATATGAATGATGCAATGGACTTTGGGGACTTGAGAGGAAGAGTAGGAGGGGGCAAGGGACAGAAGACTACAAGGTGCAGTGTATACTGCTCGGGTGATAAGTGCATCGAAATCTCACAAATCACCACTAAAGAACTTACTCGTGTAACCGAATACCACCTGTACCCCAAGAACTTATGGAAAAGAAAAAAAAGTTCTTCATTTTTTTTTTTTTTTTTTTTGAAATGGACTCTCATTCTGTCACCCAGGCTGGAGTGCAGAGGTGTGACCTTGGCTCACCACAACCTCCACTTCCCAGGTTCAAGCCATTCTCCTGCCTCAGCCTCCCAGGTAGTTGGGATTATAGGCTCACACCACCACACCCGGCTAATTTTTGTATTTTTAGTAGAAGCAGGGTTTCACCACTTGGCCAGGCTGGTCTCAAACTCCTGATCTCAGGTGATCCTCCAACCTCAGCCTGCCAAAGTGCTGAGATTACAGGCGTGAGACACCGCACCCGGCCCGATTTGTTCATATCTAATTTTTAAATTTCAGATGTGTTTTAATGTTTTCATTTAAAGTTTGCACACTTCTTAGTAATTTTTTTCATTAAAAACCTTTTTGTTTCTATTATATATGAGGTTATCGCCTCACAAAAATTTTAACTTTTTATTGTTTATATGAACAAAGGCAATTGTTTAATGTTTGGGAATTTATATGCTACTATATGCTATTTCTTTTCTTTTCTTTTCCTTTACTTTTTTGTTTTTTTTGAGAGGGAATTTCACTCTTGTCGCCCAGGCTGGAGTGCAATGGCGCGATCTGGGCTCACTGCAACCTCTGCCTCCTGGGTTCAAGCGATTCTCCTGCCTCAGCCTCCCAAGTAGCTGGGATTTATAGGCACGCACCACCATACCCGGCTAATTTTGTATTTTTAATAGAGGCAGGTTTTCACCACGTTGGCCAGGCTGGTCTTGAATTCCTGATCTCAGGTGATCTGCCTGCCTCAGCCTCCCAAAGCGCTGGGATTAGTCGTGAGCCACCTCGCCCGGCCTAGTCCCTTCTTTCAAATTTCATCACCACTCTTTGCTTGTTTTTCTTTTTTTCTTTTCTTTTCTTTTTTTTTTTTTTGAGACAGAATCTCGCTCTGTCAGCCAGGCTGGAGTGCAGTGGCACGATCTCGGCTCACTGCAAGCTCCGCCTCCCAGGTTGAAGCGATTCTCCTGCCTCAGCCTCCTGAGCAGCTGGGACTACAGGTGCGTGCCACCATGCCCAGCTAATTTTTGTATTTTTAATAGAGGTGGAGTTTCTCCATACTGGCCAGGCTGGTCTCTAACTCCTGATCTCGTGATCCGCCCACCTCAGCCTCCCAAAGAGCTAGGATTACAGGTGTGAGTCACCGCGTCCGGCCGCAATTTTTTTTTTTTTTTTTTTTTTGAGAAGGAGTCTGGCTCTTGTTGCCCAGGCTAGAGTGCAATGGCGCCATATTGTAGCAGGACGAGCCGCAGACAAAACTCCTCAGACACCGAGTTAAAGAAGGAATGGGTTTATTCGGCCGGGGGCATCGGCAAGACTCCTGTCTCAGGAGCCGAGCTCCCCCAGTGAGCAATTTCTGTCCCTTTTAAGGGATCACAACTCTAAGGGGGTGCGCTTGAGAGGGCCGTGATCGATTGAGCAAGCAGGGGTTATGTGACTAGGGGCTGCATGTCCCAGTAATTAGATCGGAACAAACAGGATAGGGATTTTCACAGTGCTTTTTTTTTTTTTTTTTTTTTTTTTTTTTGAGACGGAGTCTCGCTCCGTTGTCCAGGCTGGCGTGCAGTGGCGCGATCTCGGCTCACTGCAAGCTCCACCTCCCGGGTTCTCGCCATTCTCCTTCCTGCCTCAGCTTCCGGAGTAGCTGGGACTACAGGCGCCTGCAACCACGCCCGGCTAATTTTTTGTATTTTTAGTAGAGACGGGGTTTCACTGTGTTACCCAGGACAGTATCGATCTCCTGACCTCGTGATCCACCCACCTTAGCCTCCCAAAGTACTGGGATTACAGGCGTGACCCACCGTGCCCGGCCTGAAAAATCCACTGTTAGGCTGATGGAATTTCCTATATAGGTTTTTAGGACACTTTTTCTCTTCTCTTGCTCATTTTAAGATTTTTTTTCCTTTACATTGAGTTTAGATTGTCTGATGACTATTTGTCTTGGTGAAGTCCATCTTGCAATGTATTTTCCAGGAGTTCTCTAAGTATCTTCTATCTGGATTTTAAATCTCTAGCCAGGGTTAGGGAAGTTTTCCTCAATTATTTCCTCAAGTAGATTTTCCACACTTTTTACACTTCATTCTCCCTTAGGAATACCTATGATTCATGGGTTCAGATGTTTTACATAACCCCATACTTCCTGAAGGCTTTGTTCATATTTTAATTCTCTTTTCTTTCTTTTTGTCTGACTGGGTTAATTTGAAAGACCTGTCTTCAAGCTCTGAAATTCTTTCTTCTGCTTGGTCTAGTCTATTGTTAAAGCTTTCAGCTGCATTTGGAACTACTTTGATGAATTTTTTATTTCCAGGTGGTTTAATTTTTTTTTTTTTTTTTCTTTTGAGAAGGAGTCTCACTCTGTCGCCCAGGCTGGAGTGCAGTGGCGCAATCTCGGCTCACTGCAAGCTCCGCCTCCCGGGTTCAGACCATTCTCCTGCCTCAGCCTCCTGAGTAGCTGGGACTACAGGCGCCTGCAACCAGGCCCGGCTAATTTTTTGTATTTTGAGTAGAGACGAGGTTTCACTGTGTTAGCCAGGATGGTCTAGATCTCCTGGCCTCGTGATCTGCCCGCCTCAGCCTCCCAAAATGCTGGGATTACAGGCGTGAGCCACCGCGCCCAGCCCAGGTGGTTTACTTTTTTAAAAATATTTATCTCTTGGTAAATTTTTTATTCATATGCTGAATTGATTTTTTACATTTCTTTGTGTTGTTTTCAACTTTCTCTTGGATTTCATTGAGCTTCTTTATAATCATTATTTTGAATTATTTATTTGGTATTTCAAAGATTTTATTTTTGTTAGGATCTATTGCTAGAAAGTTAGTGTAATGTTTTGGGGATGTCATAACACTCTATTTTTTCAGAGTATGTTTTCAAAACATTCTACTGTTTTCAACAGAGAAACAAAGGACTTACTTAAAAAATAGAAAACATAGAGAGTTCCAGAATCATTTCTTTGGTTCCTTCTCATCTGTAGAAACTTTCTCTTCTTATTTTTGAATTTATTTCATTTGGGCAGGATTTTTTTTCCCTTTACAATGTGACTATAATGTATGTTGTTTAAGGTCCTTTGCATTTGGTTGTGAATGCTTTCAGTGGCAAAGACTCTGTAGTTGTCCCCTGGTTATAGATAGCCTTTGTATGGTGGCTTTCTCAAATGCCAGTTGTGGTGGTGATGTACTGGGAGTGTGAACAGGCTCACAGCCTCCTGCAGGGCCAGGATGGCAGAGGTTTAAGAAGTTTATCTCATTTCCTCTTTTGGAAGAGATGAGAAGTTTATTTCCACTCATGTGCCCTTTTGTCAACTGATTTGTATTGAGGTGCGTGGTTCAGCCTCCAGAACAGTAGGTGGGCTTATGCCTAAAAGCCTATGTGGCAGAAGCACGTGAGTATATGCTTCATCATTGTATACCTAGAAAAGTTCTCTGTTGCCTCAGGAAATGTGCTGGTAAGTGGAATGTACAGCAGCCTGGGCTCCCTGCTCAGCACCAGAGAGGGGGACATAGCTGAGTAGAGCTGGATCCCCAAGCCTGCCCCACAATGGTGAGCACAGGCAGCAGCTTTCAGGCAGGAGTGGTGGCATGGGAAACTTCTGGTGAAACGTGCCTAGGTCTCCACAGATGAGGAGAGGGCTGCCCCAGCTTCATGACCTGGCCAGGCAGGAATGCCATCCATTTCCCTGTCATTCCCTAGTCCTGGCATCGGGGAAACTCAAATTGACCAGACACTACTCTCTATCTCCAACTGCAATGTAGTTGAGACTCATTAAAGATGTCTTCTCCTCAGCTCACCATTTAAATGTCTTTGGTGCAGAGCATCCTCCCTCAACCCCAAACACATAGCTTTTCTTTTTCTTTTTTTTTTTTGAGATGGAGTTTTGCTCTTGTTGCCCAGGCTGGAGTGCAATGGCGTGATCTCAGCTCACCGCAACCTCCACCTCCCAGGTTCAAGCAATTCTCCTGCCTCAGCCTCTCGAGTACCTGGGATTACAGGCATGCGCCACCACGCCTGGCTAATTGTTTTTGTAGTTTTAGTAGAGACAGGGTTTCTCCATGTTGGTCAGGCTGGTCTTGAACTCCTGACCTCAGATGATCCGCCCACCTCGGCCTCCCAAAGTGCTGGGATTACAGGCGTGAGCCACCGCGCCTGGCCTGCACATAGCTTTTCAGCTTTCCTGCTCTCCACTGCAGGAATGCTAGCACTCCCTGTAGAGAGGGGAAAGGGCCCTGTCTTTCACACAAGCCTGGCCCAAATGGCCACACTGCCAGTGGAAACACAGTCACCCCTGATAGCCCTAGAAAGGCTCTTCTCTGGCACACGTGCCAATTTCCCATGGGAGTGGCCATGCTGTGTTTGAAGCAGTGGTGGATGGGGGAAGGGCAGGAGAATTTCCCCTTTCCATGCCTGATTCTAAGCACTGGGGCTGCTTGGCTGCTGGGATGGAACTACACTCCTTCAGCGCAGAGCTGAACACAGTGTCCACGACTCTGCTGGAAGTGGTGCAGTCACTCAGCCCACAAACAAGGAGCTCTTGGACACAGATGAGTACATGGCCTGGCCTCCTTTGTCCCAACTGGTACTTTTTTTGTGTACTGCAGTCTCCCTTTCCTTAGGAGCAGCAATCCCTGATGGCTAGACCACTGGGAACCCTGCAGCTCCACTGGGTCCAGCCAGCCCTGTGTGGCTGCCACAATCCAAGTGGGCACTGGGGGCATGGCTGCAGGAGCTTCTGTGATGTGAATATACAAAGGTTGGGGTTCCCTGGGAAGGACACAGTCCCCTGATGGCTACACTCTTAATATGGCACCCTGCCAACACTGCCCGAGTCTGGAGGAGGGACAGGTGACCCAGCGCAAGTTGGTTGTCTGGTGTGATGCCCTCCAGAAGTTCCCAAATCGCCATGCACATCAGTGTTTGGCTTTGTGAGGGCAGAAGGGCTCTCCGACAGTTCAGATACTGGTGGTCTTCCTTAGGGATGACGGGAGTCAAAACACTCCTATCTTACCTGTCAATGAAATACCAAGTCTCTCAAGGTTCCTAGCTGATTTCTGCCAGCTTCTTACTTTCTTCTTTTTTTCTGTCTCAGCTTTTCCCCATGAGTTCTGAAACATTCTGACGTGATTCTGACAGCTATTTCCACACTCAGGCTGGGCCCTGGAGGAGTGCCCTCTGCTGGTTCTCTGAGACCTGTGGCTGGGATCATCTCTGATAAGGTTTGGGTGTTTGTCCCCTCCAAATCTCATGTTGAAAGATCCCCAGTGTTGGAGCTGGGGCCTAGTGGGAGGCGTTTGGGTCATGGAAGCGTTTCTCTCATGAGTGGCTTAGTACCCTGCCCATGGTAATGAGTGAGCTTTCACTCTATTCGTTCACACGAGAGCTGATTATTTAAAAGAGCCTAGCAGCTCTCTTGCTCCTTCTCTCTCCATGTGACACACCTTCTCTTCCTTTGCCTTCTGCCACAAGTAAAAGCTTCCTGAGACTTCACCAGAATCCTAGTGGAGCTGGCCCCATGATTGTACAGCCTGCAGAACTGTGAGCCAAATAAATCTCTTTTCTTTATAAATTACTTAAACCCAGGTATTCCTTTACAACAACGCAAATGGACTAATACAGTCTCCCTCTGCTGCCTCCAAGGTCACTCCTTGATCTTCACTGCTTTAGGCAGCCTTTTACCCTACTTTGTAGTTGGAGCTTCAGGGGCTTAACATCTTAAAAGTTTTATTTTTTTTTTTAATTTATGCTTTTTAAAAAAATTTTTTTGAGATGGAGTTTTGCTCTTGTTGCCCAGGCTGGAGTGCAATGGTGTGATCTCGGCTCACCGCAACCTCTGCCTCCTGGGTTCAAGCGATTCTCCTGCCTCAGCCTCCCAAGTAGGTGGGATTACAGGCGCACGACACCATGCTCGGCTAATTTTTGTTGTTTTAGTAGAAACAGGGTTTCACCATGTTGGTCAGGCTGGTCTCGAACTCCCGACCTCACGATCCGCCCGCCTTGGCCTCCCAAAATGCTGGGATTACAGGCATGAACCACCGCACCCAGCCAAACGATTTTTTAAAAATAATTACTATGTATAAAATAACAAATAGGTAATTTGGGTAATTTTATTTTGAACTCTTTGGCTACATATTTTATGTACATATTGTCTCAGCAATCAGGAATTAAAATTTATAAACACTATTAACAAGCAATACTCTCTGATTTGAAGGAGAATCTAATTTGGAAGTCAGTCACATGATGATTGTGTTTTTAAGTTTTTTTTTCCATGCATTTGTTATTTTATGAATTGGTCTGAATGATGAGGCCAGGCAAGTGTATACATCTTTTCACTGGTAGAAAAATCTGTAGCAAAGCCTGTGCCCTTTTTACAACAATGACTTTTTTTTTTTTTTTTTTTGAGATGAAGTCTCACTCTTGTGGCCCAGGCTGGAGTGCAATGGTGCTATCTGGGCTCACTGCAACCTCCATCTCCTGCCTCAACCTCCCGAGTAGCTGGGATTACAGGCGCCCATCAACACGCCTGGCTAATTTTTGTATTTTTGGTAGAGGCGGGGTTTCACCATGTTGGCCAGGCTGGTCTTGAACCCCTGACCTCAGGTGATCCACCCGCCTCGGCCTCCCAAAGTGCTGGGATTACAGGCATGAGCAACCACACCCAGCCTGGATTTTGACAAATGTATAGAATCATATATCCACTACCCTAGTACCATCTACAACAGTTCCTTCATCCTAAAAATTTCCCTTTGAATGTTCTTTATCCCTTCTCCCTCCAACCTTTGATAACCATTAACCTGTTTTCTGTCCCCATAGATCTGCTTTTTCCAGAATGGTATATGAATTGAGTCAGATAAAATGAAGCCTTTTGTGTCTGACATTTTTTTCACCTAGTAAAACGCATTTAAGATTAATTGATGTATGGATTAATAGCTTATTTACATATATATATATATATATATATATTTTTTTTTTTTTTTTTTTTTTGAGACAGAGTTTTGCCCTTGTTGCCCAGGCTGGAGTGCAATGGCGCGATATTAGCTCGCTGCAACCTCCGCCTCCCAGGTTCAAATGATTCTTCTGCCTCAGCTTCCTGAGTAGCTGGGATTACAGGCATGCGCCACCACTCCCGGCTAATTTTGTATTTTTAGTAGAGACGGGGTTTCTTCATGTTGGCCAGGCTGGTCTCGAACTCCTGACCTCAGGTGATCCACATGCCTCGGCCTCCCAGAGTGCTGGGATTACAGGTGTGAGCCACTGCGCCTGGCCAATTTTTTTTTTATTTTTAAATAAACATAGACAGCATATCGGTATGTTGCCCAGACTGGTCTTGAACCCTGGCCACAAGCGATCCTTCCACCTTGGCCTCCCAAAATGAGCCACTGCACCAGGGCAACAGCTTTTTTTTTTTTTTTTTTTTTTTAGACAGATCCTTGCTCTGTTGCCCAGACTAGAGTGCAATGATGCAGTCTTGGCTCACTCCAACCTCTGCCTCCCAGGTTCAAGTGATTCTCCTGCCTCAGCCTCCCGAGGAGCTGGGACTACAGTTGCTCGCCACCACGCCTGGCTAATTTTTTCTTTTTGTATTTTTACTAGAGACGGAGTTTTGCCATGTTGCCCAGGCTGGTCTCAAACTCCTGACCTCAGGTGATCCACCTGCCTCAGCCTCCCAAAGTGCTGGGATTACAGGTGTAAGCCACCTCTTCTGGCCTGACAATAGCTCATTTCTTATGATCCATATGGTTATACCACAGTTTGCTTAGTCTTGCATGGCTGAAAGATATCTTGGTTGTTTACAGTTTTTAGTGAACATATGTAAAGCTGCTATAAATATTCATGTACAGGTTTTTGTGTGGATATCAACCTTGAATTAACTTGGGTAAATACCTAAGAGCATGATTGATGGTAAGTCTCTCCTTAACTTTATAAGAAACTTCTAAACTGTCTTTCAAAGTGGCTTTACCATTTTCCATTCCCATTAGCAGTGAGTGGGAATTCTTGTTGCTCTGTATATTTTCAGCATTTTTTATTGTAAGTTTAAAAAATTTTAGCTACTCTAATAGTGTAGCAGTACTTTGTTTTGGTGTTCTGTTTTGTTTTGTTTTTTGAGACAGAGTCTCACTCTGTTGCCCAGGCTGGAGTAAAGTGGTGCGATCACAGCTCACTTCAGCCTCCACCTCCCAGGTTCAAGCAATCCTCCCGTCTCACTCTCCCAAGTATCTGGAATCACTGGTGCATGCCACCACACCTGGTTAATGTTTGTTTGTTTGTTTGTTTGTTTGTAGAGACATTGTCTCGCCATGTTACCCAGGCTGGTCTTGAGCTCCTGGGCTCAAGTGATCCTTCTGCCTTAGCCTACCAAAGTGTTGGCATTGAAGGCATGAGCCACTGCACCCTATTGGCATTTCCCTAATGACAGATGATCTTAAGCATATTTTCAAGTATTATTTACCACCCATATATCTTCTTTGGTGGTGTCTGTTGAGATCTTTCACCCACTTCTAAAATCAAGATTTTTTTTCCCAATTATTGTGTTTTAATTTTGTTCACATATTATCTTTACAAGTCCTTTGTCACATCTATAACTTCCAGTTTTTTGACAAGTATTTTCTTCCAGTCTGTGCCTTGTCTTCTTTTCATTCACTTACCAGTGTTTTTGTAAGGCAAAAACTATTAATTATGATAAAGTGTAATTGATTTGTTTTCTCTTTCATGGATTGTATTTTTGGTGTTTTATCTAAAAACTCAAACTCAAGGTTAAGATTTTCTCCTTTATATTCTTCCAGAAGTTTTATGGCTGTGCATATTATTTTTAAGTCTATGATACATTTTGAGTTACTTTTTTATAGGTGTGAAGTATTGTCAAGTTTTTTTTTTGTTTTTTTTTTCTTTGAGATTGAGTCTTACTCTGTGGCCCAGGCTGGAGTGCAATGGCGTGATCTCTGCTCACTGCAACCTCTGCCTCCCAGGTTCAAGTGATTCTTCTACCTCAGCCTCCCGAGTAGCTGGGATTACAGGCATGAGCCACCACACCAGCTAATTTTTGTAACTTTAGTAGAGGCAGGGTTTCACCATGTTGGCCAAGCCAGTCTCAAACTCCTGACCTCAAGTGATCCACCTGCCCCAGCCTCCCAAAGTAGATGGATGCCAATTGTTTCAGCATCATTATTGAAAGGAGATTCCCTTCTTCATTGGATGACCTTTGTACTTGTATTCAAAATCAAGTGACTCTATTTTTGTCCTTCCATTTCTGGCCTCTCCATTCTGTTCTGTTGATCTATGTGTCTGTCCTTTTGCCAATACCACACTCTCTTGATCACTGTCCTTTGCAGAAAGACTGGAAATAGTATCTAATAATTTTGAAAGGTATGTTTTCATCATCATTCAGTTGAAAATATTATCTAACTTCCCTTATGTTTTCTTCTTTGATCCGTAGGTTATTTAGAAGGAAGATTTAAAATTTTCAATACTTTTTTGCCCCTAGACAACTTATTATTGATTTCCAATAAAATCTATTTTGGTCAGAGTACATATTCTGTATGATTTCAGTCCTTTGAAATATGTTGTTACTTGTTTTATGTCTCAACATATGACCTGTGCTAGTGAATGTACCATATTCACTTTACAAAATATATATTCTGGAGCTGTTGAACACAGTGACTGTAAATGTCAGATCAAGACGGTTGATAGTGTTGTTCATTTGTATTTTTAAAAAACTAAGAAAAAGCTGGGCGCGGTGGCTCACGCCTGTAATCCCAGCACTTTGGGAGGCCAAGACGTGTGGATCACCTCAGGTCGGGAGTTCGAGACCAGCCTAACCAACGTGGAGAAACCACGTCTCTACTAAAAATACAAAATTAGCTGGGCGTGGTGGCGCATGCCTGTAATCCCAGCTACTCGAGAGGCTGAGGCAGGATAATCGCTTGAACCCAGGAGGCAGAGGTTGCAGTGAGCGGAGATTGTGCCATTGCACTCCAGCCTGGGCAACAAGAGTGAAACTCCACCTCAAAAAAAAATTAATAAAAAAAAAACTAAGAAAAAATAGAGCATCTTTAACTTCCCACCATATATTTGGCATTTCCAGTGTTGGTCACTCCTATCTGAAGACTCAAGTTACCATCTGGTATGATTTCTTTCAACCTGGGAAACTCCTTCAGTATTTTTCTTGTAGTAGAGTTATGTTTGCAACAAATTATCCTAGTTTTATTTTATCTGGAGACACCTTTTCATTTTTCTTCCCTGAAAATATTTTTACTGGATGTGCAATTCTGAGTTAGGTTGTTTTCTTACAGCACTCAAAAAAATGCCATTTCATTGTCTTCTGACAACCATAGTTTCTGATGACAAATTATGAACACATGGACTGGTCATTCTCATAATTGTTCTCATGTATGTAACGTGTCATTTTTCTCTGATTATTCTCACGATTTTCTGTGACCATAGGCTGCTCAGGGCTGGACTTGGATATGGCCATAAAGTGGTACTGTAGGAAGTGCAGTATCCTGGAATTAATTCCGGACCTTGGAATTAACAGGGCTGGGCCCCTTAGCACCTGCCCTTAGCTCTCCTTTCCCCAGGTCCCTAGAAACCCCCTCCTGATCTACACACACACACACACACATGCACACACAACTTCTAACAGGGCCCTTCTCGTTTTTCTCTCCCCCCTGGTTCCTTCCACTCTCCCCCTTCTCTTATGATCCATTTCATCTCCCTTCTGCTCTCTGGACCAAGGCCCCAGGCCCGGACTCCAGGGTTGGAGCTCACAGGCTGATTCCTGGGATGAGCAGCCTCCACCTGCAGGAGCAGCAGCAGGAACAAGGGAGGGGACAGGAGGGCAAGGCCCCATTTTGGAGGCTGAGGGACTAGGTCATGTGGTAGCAATGGTCTGGGGGTGGATGAGCCCCAGATATGATCCCACTGTTTTGGCCTGGAGGTATCTCTTCCCTAAAGCCAAAATCCAGAGTCACTCAGTGGTGGGAGGAAACGTCAGTGTCAACATGGATTTTGGGAAGCTGGATGGACTCAGAGCCTGACTTGAGATCGGGAACCCCCTTGTATGCAGAGCCCTGTCCAGGTGCTGGGAGCAGGAGAGCCTGGGAGGTCCTGGCTAGGGAGAAAGGGGAGCGGGGTCTCTGTCCTCGGCCCTGTGGCCACACGGGGGCGCCGCTGCGCTGCTCTCGGATTCTGAGTGCTCTCCTGGACGGGGCTGCGGGCTGAATGGACAGACGGGGCTGAACCTGAGGTCATCCACGCTGAGACGGAGGTTCCTCCTGAGCACCTCTGGAATCCACAGGACTCAGGTTAGATTTGTTTGTCTTGCAACGTGAGGCAATTGTGGTGTAGCAAGATCTGGCTCTAGAATTCTTATGGCAAAATAGCTGTCATAGAATCCAACTAGAATGAGAGTCCAGGGCCTGGGTTGACTGCCCTGGGCACACCTGACTCTTGATGGGGTTGCCAAAATGTAGCTTGGCATTTACAAAAATTCTTTCCAAAGATTGCATCAAAGTCCAAAAGAATTATGTACAATTTCATTTCTGATGTCTCTGGCTGTGCTTTCGAAAGGGCAGGAAGAGCCATGGAAAGAGGCTGAAAGGCCCCTCTGGGAATTCTCAAATCTCTTTTCATAGCAGTAACTTGGACCTAGACAGCAAAGCCTGAAAGACACAGGTAGAAGGATCGCGAGGCGCAGCCCTCCCTTCTGATCAGCACGGGCATGGCTGTCTGGGCGCTTTTGCCCCTCTGTGTTCAGCAGGATGGACTCTGCAGTGAGGCGCAGCTCCTGTCTCCCCACTGCCCCACATCAGAAGCATGTTTCCTTATCTTGTTTTCCACACACTCCTTTTCTTTTTCTGTCTTGTGACCACGAATAGAATAGACAGGCAAGGTCCTGTAAGACCAGGTAAAAGATGTTACTGATGCACTTTGGAAGGCTGAGGTGGGCGAATCACAAGGTCAGGAGTTTGAGACCAGCCTGGCCAACATTGTGAAACCCCATCTCTACAAAAAAAATCAAAATAAAAATACAAAATTTAGCCGGGCGTGGTGGCATGTGCCTATAATCCCAGCTACTCAGGAGGCTGAGGCAGGATAATCGCTTGAACCCGGGAGGTGGAGGCTACAGTGAGCAGAGATTGTGACATTGCACTCCAGCCTGGGCGACAGAGTGAGACTCTGTCTCAAAGAAAAAAAAAAAAAGTTAGTGAAATCATGATTGTGAAGGAACAATGGCAAATGGAGAGAAAGAGCAGAGAGACAGACAGAGATAGATACACACGTACACACACACATAGAGAAAATGAATATCCATCCATCCATCCATCCATCCATCTATCCATCCATCCATCCATCTACCCATCCACCCATCCACCCATCCACCTTTCTATCTCCTTGCAAGGTAGGTTCATCAACACTTTTACATTTATGCCCCAGCAAAAATCTTTTTTTGGCTCACACCTGCCCTCCTTCATCCAGCCAACTGACATATTTGCTGAGGTCTTGCCACGTGCCGCACTGGGTGCTGAGCATTGGAGTCTAAACAGGAACAGACCCCTGGGATGCACTCCCGTGGGGCCCTTCACTGTCCCGTCCCTGGCTGTGAGACATCCTCATCTCCCTGAGGCTCTTGTTTCTGGTCACTGGGAAAAGTCCCTGGCCCACCTCTCTATTGATACCTGGGAGACTCTATCGCTACTTTGAATAAAGCACTGATTTTCAGCATTTATTCTGTATCCACACTTACTAATGCCCTTTCAACGATTTTCTCATTTAGAAGTTGTTACAAACGGGAGGGGTTATAACCTTAGGCACGTTGTTTAAGAGAATTGTAAAAATAAGGAAACATGATGGCAATGGGGTTTTCTGCTTTCTCCCAGAACACTTCATATTCATTTTCTCACCTGTGTTTGGTTGGTTGCAAGGTGGCTTCCACACCCCCAAGTTTATTTCAAGTAGCAGAAACACTTGCTTAGAAAACAAGTACTTTGGGAAATGCAGGGTCTCAGCCTCTGTCCTCAGGACTCCACACATCAGAAAGACATGTGCGTCTCCTGCCACAATCCTGGAGGTGCCCGTGGACTGCAGGTTCGCTCCTCACTGACTTTACTCATGTCCTACTGGAAAAGGATGGAGCTGCTAGAAATGTCCCAATGGCTTGGAACACTCAATTTCTCTGTGTGCACTGCAAGCAAACTGACAGTTTGACTTTTCAATTCTATTCAACACCTGAAAATAAACTGAATTTTCAGTATATTTCCTTCCAGAGAGTAAACTGAAAAGGGAACCTTTCTAAATTCAGTTATGATTTCCTGAAACATCGAAGAAGGCAAATGTGGGGGCCCTTAAAGACAAGAGAATTCTCTGACCTCAAATTTCATGTGGCAGCTGTAAGGTGGAGCTGGCAGCATCTGTCCCCACCTCTGGGTACACAGCAGAATGTGCCAGCTTTAGGGACCCCGGAGGACACAGCCGCACAGTGTCCGGGGGCATCCAGCAAACCCTCAGGAAGGACTCGATCCACGCAGGAGCCTCCTTAAGCAACTTCTCCCTGAAGAAACCCTGAAGTCTTAGAAATCCATAAAGAAAAAAGATATTCATGTCTCTGATAAAGAAAAGAAATGTCAGCAATCCAGCACCGAGAAGGGAAGCTACGAGACCACATTTTCTGCATGTGGAGAAGACACGTCTAATGGAGAGGTGGGAACTTGTCTCAAAAGTGTTGGGCCGCAGTGAGAGGGTGTGGTCGTCACTGCCACCACCCGCTGCTCACTCAGTGACCCCTCCCCATTGTAACTAACGGGCCAGTGAAGAGAAACACTTTTCGTCTGCTTGTACTGAAATAAGGCTATTACAATAAATCATCTCTGTGGTTGATTTTTCATTTAAGGATGGGATAACTGGGGAAATTGGTGCCTGCAGTGCAGGTTTTAAAGAAGTTCCTAGAAGCCCTTCTGAGGCCATCTCCAGGAGGCTGCCCCAGCGGGTATGAGGCCTTGCGCTTCTGCCATCCTGTGTGTCCCTGTGATGGAATTTTGGCCCAGCTAGGGATGGCAAGAGGCCAGGTCATCGCAGGTGGTCTGCAGGCCTGGTGAGGAAGGACAATGACAGACGGGGAGGCAGAAAGGCACACATATGACCAGACCTCCCCCTGGGTCCTGCTCCCATTCCTCTGTCCATCACTCTTGCTCTGTCTGCCCTAGGGGAAATTTCCTGAAGGAAACAGGAAAAGGAACCTCTATTCCTGGCTGCATATCTTTTATGTAGGCCTTTCCTGTTATTCAAGCATATCCCCAGCAGATGGCAGAGAAGACATTTCAATTTCGTGCCTCTGCTTTTCCTCCCCCTCCTCCAACCGGAAAGTCAGGACCAAGGGAATGGATGAAGGCATTAAAGGTATAAATGAGAATGGGTGATAATTTCCCTTTCTCTGAGCTGGGGAGTCCCATTGCAAGGGTGGGAATAGAAATGTCCAGTGTAACCATTCAGAGATGACAGATACTGCCCTGAAAACAGCCACAAAATCAAACCATGATGTGCCTCCCTGGGCTCCTTGGCTCTGGGCTGCTGCTTTCTTTTATTGAGAATCTAAGAGGTGCTGAGCATTCAGTTAAAACGGGACTCAAGAGTTCCTGCATTGTCCTCTGCCTTAATTGCATTTGAAAATATATTTTGTCAGTTCAATCCTTCTCCTGCCCGTCTCTGTTTCTCTTTTTAAAGAAGCTGAACATTGGCACCTTCAAAAGAAAATTGCTAACATGTGAAATAATATATTGTCTAGGATTTAGTTGAAAATAACCTGGTGTTGGGCTATGGTTGAGGATGTAGATAAATCAAGAGTGGGTGTTACTGAGTGAAGGGTACAGTGAAGGTTACTTTACTCTTCTGTCTACTTTTGTGTTTGCTTAAAATATTTGTACAAGTTTAAAAAAATAAGAACCAGGGTTACCAGGGGGCATGGCATATGCTGAATAATCATGAGATACCGGTTATAATTTCAAACAAATCTCCAATAAAAATAGATAATTTGAAGTCAAACCACAGGGACAAAATGTTTTTAGATGTCTCCAAATTCCTCACTTCCCTCCTCTAAATTCAGGTGGGTCACTTCATACTTTCTCCCAACCGCAGGTTCCCAATAGGCAGGTCCTAGAGCCCAACCTTGGTGGGGCAGGGAGTAGGGATTTAAAAACTGCATGATGATCAACAGCAGGAAAGAGGATTGGGGCTGAGAGGGGAGGAGAGGCAGGCAGGAGACCCCTGGGGAGTTGCTGCCCCAAGGAACTCCTTCTTCACCCTCTGAGAGAAAGTGTCACAGGACCACAGACCCTTGGTCTTCATAGGTCCCATAACCTCCCCCGAATTGTATGTAAAATTGTGTGGGAATGCAGGTGAGTGCATTTCAGCTGGGGCTGGCTTTGACAAGGCTGTGGCCTTCAGTAGATATCAAAGTAGTCATCTAGGTCTCGTGTAGATGATGGAAAACTCGATGGGAGGGAGACACGGTGCCTTGACCCAGAGTCAATGCCAATAAACTTGGCTAGGACATAGTACCCAGTCATTTAATCAAAACCTAATCTAGATGTTGCTGTGAAGATATTTAGTACATGTGGTTAACATTTACAATCAGTTGACTTTATGAAAAGGAAATTACCCTCAATAATGTAGATGGACCTCATCCAATCAGTAGAAGGCTTTAAGAGCAGAAACTACAGTTTCCCAGAAAAGAAGAAATTCTGTCTTAAGACTACCATATCAACTTCTGTCTGCATTTTCAGCCTGCTGGCGTATCCTACAGATTTCACACTTGCCACCGTAATAATTGCATGAGTCAGTTTCATAACACGAATAACACACACACACACACACACACACACACACACACACACACCTTATTGGTTCTGTTTCTCTGATGAATCCAGAATAATACAGATTTTGGTACTTAGAGTGATTCTAGAGGAAGAGAATCCTTTTAAAACGTTTATAGCCAACAATAAAAAACTTTATTAAAAATGTTGAAAAGCATAAAACGGTAATTATAAATTAGCAAACACCCAACAAGAAAAGCACTTATTTTCTTTTCCTTATACAGTACAAGAAAGAGTAATTGGGATCTCATTCACTTTCAGCCACCATTTGCCCTAGATGTCCTTCACTCAAAACAAGTTTTTAGCTTGTGTTTTTGGAGTGGAAACTCACATGGCTACTAAGAAACAACTCTAAAAATGTAACTTAGACACTCAAAATTCCATGTGCCATGTTAACATGTAATGATGGTTCATATTACAGCATCTCACAATGGGTAAGCATTATTTCCAAAGTAAAATTAAGTCACATTTGTGGTTGCTAGTGAATGCGGCAGAAATGGACCCTGAAGATTCAGGCATTGTTCTGCTCTGGAGTAGGACATCTGTGGCTCCAGCAAACTGTACAAAGGCTTTTTTTTTTTTAATGTATCTTCCGTGATACTTCAACTATTTCACCTTATTAATCATTTTCTTGCAAACAAAACTGAAAATATCAGTTCATAATGTGTTTCCATACACCTTGCCCTTATTCAAATGGTTATGAACAAGTGGTCTTCCATTTTCTATTGCCGCTGTAATTATTTGTTCCTGATCTGGCAACACCTTCTTCAGCTCCTTTCTCTGGCCACCGAGATTAACAGTCCAACAAGCGGTCTTTTGATTCACTAAGTGGCTTAATAGGACAACGTTGATTTGAGCCAATACTTCTGGCATGTTCATTTCAATTTGTAACTTTTTTCTGAATTCATCCCCACAAGGTGAGCTGGAAAACTGCAACCATAACCAAAGCTAGAAAATACTGGAAGTAGCCAATATTTCTCTTCATCACCAAAGACTGGTCTCTAATTTTTACTATTGTTCTATTTTTTCCAGCCAGCCAACAGTAGTAGCTGAAAAGCGAGAGCACACTGATGAAGAACACTGCGGGCACAAAGAAAAGGAAAAGTATGTGGAGCTTTGCTGTGTATCTCTCAGTTCATTCTACTCACTAGAACGTGGCGTTCTCAGGAATTGACGTCCTCCAGGCCCCCAGATGAGGGTAGTGAGCACCCTGAGAGCCAGCTGGACTCCCCTCTTGGTGTGTTACTGCACAGCCACAGCCTCTGGGTAGGGAGTTGTCCTGCACTTCTGGAATCATCTTTTTGGTCATGGTGGCTACTGCTGTACTGTCCTTCTGAGGTCAGTGAGATAGGATGTTCACAGCCTCCCTTGAAAGGAAACAAGAGACTTGTCAGGTTGATGGAGAGAACAAGCTGTTCGACAGTGCGCAAACCATATCCTGGGCTTGTGGTTAGAACATCCTGCAGCAAAGAGGTAGAAGAGCCAAGGGAGGCATCCCCACATCTGAGGAAGCCCAGAAACCCATGAATAGCGTCCTTGGGCTGACCTATGCTCATTACAATAGTAGCAAACACAACTCCGAGAGGGAAGTTAAGATGCTAATGAGACGTAAGATGTGTGTGCTGATATGTACAACCATAGTGCATGCACGTTCAAGAGACCACAGAACATGCTTAAAACAATACCCCTTCCCACCTATTCATGAATAATCATGTAAGACTCCCGTGAGGGGAGGGTACTGTCTCTCTTTTGAGCAGCTGCTCTGATCAGCTGTCAGAGTGTACTTTCACTTTGCAATAAATTCTCTTGCTGACTTTTACTTTGGACTTGCTCTCAAATTCTTTTGTGTGGCAAAGTCAAGAACCTGAACCGGCCCATTGGCTACATTTCCTTCCTTTTTTCTTTCTTTCTGTATCTTGTTGCTAGGGATAACTTTGCCCCTGCTGGCAGCATGCCCCTGAGGATGGCACCCTGTGGCTGGCGTCTTCCTTGGCTTGGCCTCGGGTCACTAAGCATAGCCCATGGTAGGAGGTTCTGAGAATGAGTGGCACTGCCTTGTGCAACAGTCCCCATGGGAGTGGCCCACAGGTGCTTGCATCTGTGGCATTTTCACAACTGTTTAAAAAGACTCAAGAATGTACTGTGGGAGGAGAGCAGGTCTGGAGACTCACCTGTGTCCCCCCACCTGCTCATCTGCATGGCCGTGTGCCTGACATGGTCAGAAATGAGAAATGCTGCTGCCCCTTTGCAAAGCACTACTTAGTTTTTCTCTTCTTGAAGGTGGTGGCACGATGCCCAGGTTGAGATGGACGCAGGAGTCAGCATCCTAAAGTAAAAGGAGAGACTTTAACAGAAATACCTGAGCTTTTCAATGAGAATGAACAGGGCCTTTTACCCTCTGGCAACTGTGTATTTCCCATTGACATGTTTCTTGTCCTCAGAATGGTTTTCCCTTTTTGCAGGTGGTTTATTGAAAAAGGAAAGGACAGAAAAGAAAAAGCAGGAGAAGGTGTATGGGAAGCTGGGACCCTGGCCCTGTGCAGGGGAGATACAAGGTGCTTCTGGGGAGGCTGCCGCCATCTGGGGCACTGGCACATGGGGCATGGCAGGGCTCGCCTTCCTGATGATGCCGCCTATCCCAGTTGCCCACCGGAAGTTGCAGTGCCCAGATTAGTTTTGTATTGATGGAAATTTAAAAAAAATTATATTACATAATTTTATGCTTTTTGAAAATAGCTAATAAACTTTTATGGCTAAGTTGTTAGTAATGGTAATCTCTCTAATCTGCTTAAAGACGGTCAAATCTGCAGGGTTCCCATCTCCACTGGACACCTGTGCTTCCTGTGGGGTCTATTTTCCGGTGGCTTTCCCTGTTGGTTGCCCCTGTGACTGCTGACATCCTGCCTTCTGGTGGAAACCACACTCTTCCTTGCCCAGTGAGGGTTGGAAAATTGGATGACTAAACTCGACGAAGATAGCAAATAACATTTGTTCTGCGTGGGTGCCATCATCACCTGCACTTGAAAGCAAGGCTGAGGTGCAGAAGACACAAAATGTGGCCATGTCCCTTGGCTGGCAAGTGGCCTAGGGGCAATGTGAGCCTGAGTGTATGACACTGTGACACAGGACAGGGTGCGTCACAGTGTTGCCCATTGTGACTGCAGGGCCAAAAGGAACCAGGGCTGAGAGGAACCTGGAGACATGCTAGGGTGGGGCCAAACGAGGGCTTGGAGAGAGCCTCCACCCACCCTCACAGGGCCTGGTGGAGACAGACCGAGGAGGGGCACCTGCCCCTCTCCCCTTGCAGAGTGGAATGATAGCTGATGACATCATTTTGAAAGTCACAGTACTACAGAGATGTTTGGACACTCATCAGAGGCAGACCTGCTGTGGGAAAGTCAAGGCCTTGGTGCGGAAACCTAAGATTCTGCAAACTGGAACAGGGTTATCCTATGGGTGCCCTTTAGAACTCTCTGGGCATGCAGAGGAGGCTCGCCCTTCTCTAGTAATGGTTCCCACTTCCTACACTGGAAGTTGCTGCAGAAACCTCACCCCTATGATGCAGTGGGAATTCCACTCAGGAGCTTTGCAGTAACAGCCGTTATGTCCCCGTAGGAGCCTGAGGAGCAGTTCTGGGATTGGAATTTAAGGGTGTTTGATCAAAGGGCCAGAATCAAGCTGGATAAATTAAAAAAAACACCTTTGGCTTGGGAGCACTTTCTCAGGGTATGGGTTTATCAAGGACCTCAGGGCATGGGGCAAACCCACTGCTGGGGTGGACCCATGTAGACTGGAAAAAATGATGTCCAACTCTCAGTAAGTTAGACATGAGTTAGTTGTCCTGGAACATGTAGAGGATGGATAATGAGGCTGAGGGAAGTGGGTGTGTGGGATGGAGACATCATGTGAACCAGAATGCCCACTAGGGCCATGCTCCACAGAGGACCCATAGGGCACACCTTCCACCAGAGCCTCAGGAATGTGCTGGTGAGAGGGACTTGCATTGCTAAGAAGCGTCGGGGTGGTGTCCTCTGCAGGCTGGGTGTGATGGCAGGAAGGAGGTCCTATAGTTGGGCTCATTGATATTCCTGAGGAAAGTGTGGCCTTGAAAAGGCAGAGAACTAAATGGTGACAGTGGCCTGCAAAAGCCAGAGGGCACGGTTAACTTGACAATCTCAGAGGAGCAGCTGAGGCAGCTTGATCTGCAGGGAGTTGTGGGGAAGGTTAATAGAGGGTGGTGTCAGAAAAGACAGCAGCCAACAAGGGCACTGCTTGACATCTATGATAAGAAAGCAAGAATTGATGAGCAGGGGGCTGAGGGTGTTTAACTCAATACAAAGTCATGATCCCATTCTCAATTCCTAAATGTCAACCAAGTTTCAGATTCAGATCCCAGTTACAGAGAAGGAGTCCCTATCCCAGGAGGAAGGACCCTGGAACCTCATGGCAAGTATATGCTGGAACAATTCCCTCTGTCTTTCTGCAAAGGAGCCTACAGTCATTTACTCAGGGGACTGTACACTAGGAAAGGGAAACAGGCAGAATTTGGGGGAGTGTTGACATTGGGTGTGAGCTAATATTGATGCCTACAGGCCTACAGCACCATTATGTCCCCAGCACAGTGGGGCTTACAGAAGCTGGGAATAAATCTGGACACATCACAAAGAGACTACTGGGTCCACAGACCCAGCCCTGTTTATCTCCCCATTCTCCAAGTGTGTAATTGGCATTGATGCCCTGGCAGCTGGAGTAACCCCCACATTGGGTCCCAAGTCTCTGGAATAAGGGCTGTCATTTTCTGAAAGCCAAAGGGAAACCTCTGCAACTGACTTCATCTTGGCCAAATAAAAAATGATATTGAGTCCCAGGGTGAGTCTTATGAAAGGTGCTGTAGGTATTGTAGGTGTAGCACCGCCATTAGGGAGCTGAAGGATGAGGGGTGCTGTTGGAGTTGCCTATTATCTTCATGTAATCCAGCAATCTGTCCCCAAGGAAGCCTGATGGGGCCTAAAGAATGAATAAGATTACTTCAGACTTGAAAAAGTAGGAGTCATAATTGCAGCTGCCATGCTGGCTGGATATCACGGGTAGAGCAGATTGATAAGGCCTCAGGCACAGAGTGTGCAGCTGTGGATTTGGTGAGTGCATTCCTTTCCATTCCAATGAGAAAAACTATACATGAAGTGATTCATGTGGGATCCACAACACATTTATTGATAATTGGCCTCAGGGTTATTGTAACTGACCTGCCCTCTATAGTATAGTCTTAAGAGATCTGAAGAACTTGGGAGGCTGAGGCAGGAGAATGGCGTGAACCCGGGAGGCGGAGCTTGCAGTGAGCCGAGATCCCGCCACTGCACTCCAGCCTGGACGACAGAGCGAGACTCCGTCTCAAAAAAAAAAAAAAAAAAAAAAAAAAAAAAAAGAGATCTGAAGAACCTGGCATCCTATAGAATGGTAAACCAGCTTATTTCATCAACAACATCATGTTGACTAGGATGGATGAGTAGGAGGTGGAAAGTATGCTGAAGGCCTTGGCAAAACACGTGCTCTCCAGAAGATGGAAGATAAACCATACAGAGATTCAGGAGTGGCCACTGTGGTGAAGTTTTATTCATCCAGTGGTTGAGGACATCCAGGAGTTTCTCCTCCACAGTAAAAGACAAAGTGTTGCATCTTGCATCCTCACTACAAGGAAGGAAGCACACTGCCTGGTGAGCCTCTTTGAGTTCTGACAATACCACATCCCACATCTATTGTTTTGACCTACACTCTAGGAGAAATAGGAGGGGACTTGCTTCAATTAGGCCTGCTGAGGAAAGGACACTGGCAGATTCAGGCCATGAGGCAGCGCCATCCCTCAGACCCACCTAGAGGTGTCAGTCCTGGGGAAAGATGCAGGATGGAGCTGAAACAAGCACCAGTGGGGGAGTCACATGGACGGCCTGGGATTCTGGAGTAAGGCCATGTCATCCACAGCAGAGACATATGCCCCTGTTAGAAGCAACTTTTGGTATGTTACTGGCCTTGATAAGATAGAATCCTTGCCATGGGACAGCAAACAACCATGTGATTTCAAATGCCCATATGAATTGGCTTCTGTAACTCAGAAAGTCATAGATCGGACAGACCCCAAAGCATCCATCATGAGATAGAAATGGTCCATCTGGATTGAGCATGAATCCTATGTTGACACCTCCAGAAAACATCCAAACCTGAAGTGGCACTAAACAACCAAGCAGACAAATTGAAGTTAGCCAGCCCTCACCATCGGGCAGCCCAGGCCTAGCAGGATGGGTTCATGAATGGAGCAAGCACAGTGGCAGGGATGAGGCTAAATATGGGTCCAGAAGCACTGACTACCACCTACCAAGACAGATCCAGCTGCTGCCACCTCTGAATGTCCAACTCATTAGCATTTGAGGCCAATGATATGCCTCAGTGGGGCTATATTTCTTTAGGTGACTAAAGCAACACTCGCTGCTAAGTGATTAGTTGAGCCACTTCCATTCTGGAAGGGCCAGAGGTTCATCTTTACAGGGTTAGGCACCATTCCATGAGTGGGTTTTCCTGTCCTGCTCTCAGACCCTCAGTCAGCACCACTCTCCAGGGACTGTTGACATTCCTGATTCACAGGCATGGCATTGCTCTTAGCACACTGTCTTCCTGGCGGAACCCACTTGACAGGGAAGCAGGTGCAGCATTTTCATGGCCATGGGATCCACTGGTTCTATCACCATCTGCACCACCCAGGGTCTGCCAGCCACTAAGAATGCTGGACAGGTCTTCTACAGGCACAACTCAGTGCCAGCCTGGAGGAAGCACTCTGAGGAGTGGGTGCTGTCTTTCAGGACATGGTGCATTTATTAAATCAGAGACATCTCTACAGTGCCGTGTTCTCAGTAGGAAGAACATGTGGGTCCAGAAACTAAGGAGTGAAAGTGGGTATGGCTCCATGTCTCATTCCTTAGATTCACCTGCTGTGGGATTTTGCACTTCTCATCTCCCAAACCTGTGCTCTGCAGGGTAGAAGGTCCTGGATTCTAAAGGAAGGTACTCTTAAATCAGGACAAATGAGAGCCTACTGAAGAACACATTACTATTGCCCCCAGAGAGATTTGGACAGTATGTGCCCAGAGACCAGCAAGTGAGGAGTCCCCTCCTCTCCAGGCACAGGTAATAGATCCTAATCTCCAGGAGGAGGTTGGGCTGCTGTCACAATGAGGGCAGGAGGAATGTGTGTGGAACCCAGTGATCCACTTGAGGGGTCTCCTGGTTCCCCTTGTCCCATTGTAAGTGTTAGTGGAATTGTCCAGCAACCAATCCTGAGGGAATTTGATTTCCAAGGGCCCAGAAACCTCAGGAAGGAAAATTTGAACCATGCTCCCAGATAATCTCCCAAGGCCCTGCTCCTGTGCTCTGACATCCTCAGCAGCATTGGTGCAGGCACCCTGCTTTCCATGGGCTGTTCCCAACCAGTGATGGGTGACAAGAGGGACACTAAGGGAGGCCCATGTCTGGAAGACAAGGGCCAACTGTGACGAGAGGACTCCTCTATGGCCTTGCTCAACTCTCCTTAGATTGCCTATGGTCTAGGATGTGTCCAACAAACCTCCTCTCCTGTCCCTCACTTGGGGATCACGCTTGCATCTCAGTCTGCTGTCTCTCCCAAGGTTTCCTGGATCTTTTCCCATATTTTCTGGCAGGTGAGTCCTCTAATAAAATACTGCAACTTTAATCTCATGTCATCTGCTTCTTGGAGAACATGGACCAACAAAATCATTTCCATTTACACACCAGTGACCTCTTACTTTTCCAGTTTGTAAAATCCTTTTTTTTATCCAACTTCTTCCACCTGCCCCAGTTTTGCTAGTATTTGTGTTGTTTTCTTTGAGTAAATTGATGTTCACTGTTTTAAGTCACTAAGTCTTGGGGTAGTTTGTTACACAGCAACAGATAGCTAATAAACCTCTCTTATGTTTCGATTATTCCATAGTGGTTATCTACATCTGATTTATTTCCTTCTATTTTTATAATATTATCCATACATAATGTTTCCCGTTTCTCTCCACCTATTCTCTTCTTGATTTTTCTTTTCCTTCCCACCATTTTTTCCTACTTCTCATGAAATATTCCTAACATATAAAATAACCCTATGTGGTTATGATATAAGGAAGCATTTTCTGAATCTGTATGTTAAAAGTTTAATGCCACAGTGTATGGGATACAAGTAAAGAACAGGAAGTTATTAACAGAGTCTGAGTAAAAAGTGCCTGGTGTAATTCTGCGGCCAAGACAGTGACTTTGAACTCTTACAGGCTGATGCAAAAATAATTGCAGTTTTTGCCATTACAATAATTCTTACCAAGAACTATTCACATTGGACCAAAGCCAATTGTAATGATCCATGTGATGGAGAGAGCCAGAATGCTATGAAAGTGGCCTTGACCAGAAATAGGTCATTTGATCCTTGGCTCATTGACATCTCCATAGATTTTTGGTGTACAATGTTTGGTCTGATGTGCAAGGTAATTCCATCTTGCAAAGGATTCGATGTTACATTCTACCACACACACACCTGAATTAAACTTTTACAGAATTGGAAATGCACATTACTGATCAAAATAAATTAAACAGGAAAAAATTATATAGGAATAACCAGTGATAGAATAGCAAATAGGAATGGAAAACACAATAGGATTGCTTAAAAAATACTGTAGAAGTACAGAATAGCAGTGCTATTTAGAATCATAGTGATGTCCAAATCATGTCTACCACGTCTCATTAAAAACCAGAGCGAAAGATGTCAAGTTTATTATGGAATGCCCACCCAGTAGCCAGTTTTTGGAAAATCTTGTTCCTAAGTTGGAGCTAAGCATTTTGGGCTACTGTATCCAACCAAAGTTACTGACATTATGCTAAGCTAGATGTGTTGGCTGAGGTATGAGATTCACATTTTTTCTACCTTAAAAGCAATCTGATTTGGCAAATATTTTTAAAGATGATATTTGAATGAGAAAATTGGCATTTGGGACATTCTTAAACTAAATTTGAGACATCTTAGGCAAAACAAATACTTATTTTTAAGGCACTATTGTTATGGCACTGAAGTCTTGGAACTATTTGATCTAGTTACTGTAAGTTCTCAGCTGTGTTGCAACTCATTAAAGAGAATATTGTTATTAAAGGTATTTGCAAGAAAAACTTAGAGATACTATAGTATCTCCTTTCTCTGTCTCAAACTTTTTTCCCCTCAATACCCAAGGCTCTGTGATGTCTCAAATTTTAATCATTACTTTAAAAAGAGAAGTTTAAAGCATTAAAGAATTATAATCAGATGAAAGCAGCTTTGGATTTATAAAATTCTGAAACAATAATTTTAATTTTGCTTTTAACATATATGCAAATTCTTTGATACTCTCCACTTTGCAGAGGTGCAGGTTCATTCCCTCCCTGTGAGTGTGGCCTGGACTTAATGATTCACTTCTATCTGATGGAGTGACTGTTGGTGTAGAACAAAAAACTTACCGTAGCTTCTACCTTTGCTCTCTCTGTCTCTGGGATCATGAACTCTGGGGGAAGCCAGCTGCTGTGTCATAAGCAGACCTGTGGAAAGGTCCATGTGGCTAGGACCGAGGCCTCCCGGGACCAGACAACAAGGAACTGAGGCCTTTTCCAATAGCCATGTGAGTGAGCCATTTTTCATGCAAATCCCCAGCCCAGTTGAGCCCTCAGATGATGCAGCCCTGGCTGACAACTGGACTGCAACCTTGTGAGAGGCCCTGAGCCAGAAACACTCAGGGAAACCTCTCCTGGATTCCTGAGCATTGGAAACTGTGGGAGATGATAAATATTTGTTGCTTTGAGCTGTTACATTTTCAGTAATTTGTAATGTAACAGTAAAAAAAAATACAGCTTCACAAGAGAGGATGAATAGTTGCACTTTAATTTTCATTTGCTCTAAATTTATTAGTGTTATTGTTATCATCATTATTATTGAGACAGGGTCTTGCTCTGTCACTCAGGCTGCAGTGCTGTGGCAGGAGGACAGCTCACTGCAGCCTCGACCTCCTAGGCTCATGTGATCTTCCCACCTCAGCTGTCTGAGTAGCTGGGAGTACAGACATGCACCACCATGCCTGGCTAAAATTTTTGTATTTTTGGTAGAGACAAGGGTTTTGCCATGCTGCCTAGGCTGATCTCGAACTCATGAAATCAAGCTCTCTGCCTGACTCCACCTCCAAAAGTGCTGGGATTACAGGCATGAGCCACCACCACACCCAACCTAAATTAATTATAAAATATTAAACATGTCATTTGGTTTTAAGAGGTAAGAGGAATTTCCATGGCTAAATAGGATGTATTTTATTATCATTCACAATTATTGCTTTATTTGAACTTCAATTTCCACCTGTGTCCCAATTAAACTCAAAAGAAAGACCCAAGCCTTGCTAGGCTGATTCTATCATCCCCCCCATGATAGACGTGTAACCTTGGTCATTCACCTGACCCCAGTTATTCAACCAACAATAATGTAAGTCCTGCCTTGAAGGGATTTTTGCATATATAATTAAGGTCCTAAATCAATTGACTTTAAGACAGGGATTATCCCTGGTCGGGCTGTCCTCATCTGGCGAGCCCCTGAAAGGACTGGGTTCTTCCTGATCAGAGAGATTCACAGTGTGAGAGGGATTCAGTGTGAGGGGGTTCCTCCAATGTGGATTCTAAAAATGAAGGGGCTGTGTGGCAAAGAATGCTGGTGGGCACCAGGAATTGAGAGCAGCCTCTCTCTACCTTGACAGTAGGCAAGGAACAGGAACCTTAGTCCTACAACTGGCAGAAACTGAATTCTGTCGCCTCTGTATAAGCCTGAAGGAGGCCCTCAAAATGAAAACACAGTTTTGGGAAACCCTAAACAGAGAACCCTCCAATCATGCTCAGATTTCTGACTAAGGAACTGTAAATAAATAAATAAGTGTTGTTTGGTCAAGCGTGGTAGCTCATGCCTGTAATCCTAAGGTTTGTGGGAATGACACAGGAGGATTACTTGCAGCCAGGAGTGAGACTAGCCTGGGCAATTTGAGGAGACCTTCCTCTCTACAAAAAGGAATTTTTTTTTTTTTAATTTACCTGAGCACGGTGGTACTTGCCTGTAGTCCCAGGTACTCCAGACACTGAGGCAGGGGGACCTCTAGAGGCCAGGAGTTTGAGGTTGCAGGGAACCATGATCATGCAACTGCACTTCACCGTGGATAACAGAGGGAGACCATGTCTCTAAAAATAAATAAATAAATACAATAAATGGGTGTTGTTTAAAGCCAGTGTTTGTGGTAATTTGTTATGCAGTCATACAAAAGTCATACACAGACTCAACAGACACATGGAATGAATTTATAAATTGATAAGCACACTACATGAGTAAAATAAAATATTTCCTTTTTCCAGTATTTTTCATTTTATAATATTCCATGATGCGATTAAATTTTTATACAATCATATTTCATTCAACTAGTCAACAAAAATTAATTTAGTGCCTATGCTGAACCAGGTATGCCCTCATATGCTCAAGTGCCTGACATTCTAGAAGCTTCACAAGACCGAAGTGGAGCCACTGGAGTGTTTTAGGTGAAGAAACGACACACTTTGACTCACAGTAGCAGGACCACTGTGGAGAGAACACTCAGGTGGCAGGTAATGGAACAGTGCTAGAGCCACTATTCAGGAGTGACAGAGTGGTGGGGACTAAGGGAAGAGGAGGGCCTGAGGGATGAGAGGGACGGAGGGAAGGGCTGGAGAAGCAGGAGGTGAGGAGAAGGAGCAGAGGGACAGAATTTGAAAGCAGCAGAATTCTTAGCTTTAAACACATTGTTTTATAAATTTTTAATACATCCATCTACAGAGCCTAGCAGGGTGTTCCTTGCATTTGGCCTTTAACACCTTATGTGGGACTGCCTAAAAATTAATTGCTTTTTCTGCTTTTTTTCAGGTTTAAAAAAATACTAAGTGTTCCAATAAAACATGCACACCACTTAGATGCGGATACTTCCTAAAAACAGGAAGTGCATGAGCACTGGTGAGGGGCATTGTGACTGCGTTGAACACTTGCAACTTTGAGGTGAATGAATGTATTGGCTCCTGGTTGCAATATACAATCACACGTTGTGCTACTTTGTATTGTCAGGAGATGTCCTGGACTCCCACAGAAACTCAGGGCTATGGAATGAAGGTAATTTTAGAATACAACAAGAGTCACAGATACATAGTCTGGGAAAGCAAAACTTAGGAGCTCTGAGAGTTGTACAACTGTAATGCATTTAGACACATTTATATATCAAGGGGCCAAAGTAACAGTTTTTACACATAAGATTCCTGATTGGTCGGGCGCGGTGGCTCATGCCTGTAATCGCAGCACTTTGGGAGGCCGAGGCGGGAGGATCACGAGGTCAGGAGATCGAGACCATCCTGGCTAACACGGTGAAACCCGTCTCTACAAAAAAATTAGCCGGGCGTGGTGGCGGGCATCTGTAGTCTCAGCTACTCGGGAGGCTGAAGCAGAAGAATGGCGTGAACCCGGGACGCAGAGCTTGCAGTGAGCCGAGATCGCGCCACTGCACTCCAGCCTGGGCGGCAGAGAGAGACTCCGTCTCAAAAAAAAAAAAAAAAAAAAAAAGGTTCCTGATAATTCAGGGGTTACCAAGATTCTACTACTCACTGCAGCTAATAAAAAAAAAAAAAGAAAGAAAGAAACTGGTCTCTGTCCTATTTCATATGCTCAGGTACAACTTTTCCAGAGAAGAAGAGGAGGGGGGCGGGGAGGAGCAGGAGGAGGAGGAAAGAAGGAGGAGAAGGAGAAGGAGAAGGAGAAGGAGAAGAAGAGGAAGAGGAAGAAGAAGAAGAAGAAGAAGAAGAAGAAGAAGAAGAAGAAGAGGAAGAGGAAGAGGAAGAGGAAGAAGAAGAAGAAGAAGAAGAAGAAGAAGAAGAAGAAGAAGAAGAAGAAGAAGAAGAAGAAGAAGAAGAAGAAGAAGAAGAAGAAGAAGAAGAGGAAGAAGAAGAAACTGTCTCTAGACCTTCATTCTCAGGACAAGTTCATTGTCTGGCACCAAGCTCCTTGGGGTGAATTTTCTTCCAAAAGAGTCCGGGGAGTCCAGGTATGGAATGGGAGGCAGAAAGTTCAATCAAGGGACTGGGATTTCGGAATGAATAATGAAGGGAGATGGACTGGGTCCATGCCGAAGGTTTCTCCCTGGTTTCTCAGCCCCCGGGCGAAGACTCAGGGAGACATTGAGACACACCCTGCACAGGAGGGGGAGGGGGAGGGGGAGGGCAAAGTCCCAGGGCCCCAGGAGTGGCTCTCAAGGGCTCAGGCCCCGAGGCGGTGTCTGGGGTTGGAAGGCTCAGTATTGAGAATTCCCCATCTCCCCAGAGTTTCTCTTTCTCTCCCAACCCGTGTCAGGTCCTTCATCCTGGATACTCATAACGCGGCCCCATTTCTCACTCCCATTGGGCGTCGCGTTTCTAGAGAAGCCAATCAGTGTCGCCGCAGTTCCCAGGTTCTAAAGTCCCACGCACCCCGCGGGACTCATATTTTTCCCAGACGCGGAGGTTGGGGTCATGGCGCCCCGAAGCCTCCTCCTGCTGCTCTCAGGGGCCCTGGCCCTGACCGATACTTGGGCGGGTGAGTGCGGGGTCCAGAGAGAAACGGCCTCTGTGGGGAGGAGTGAGGGGCCCGCCCGGTGGGGGCGCAGGACTCAGGGAGCCGCGCCCGGAGGAGGGTCTGGCGGGTCTCAGCCCCTCCTCGCCCCCAGGCTCCCACTCCTTGAGGTATTTCAGC
Organism: Homo sapiens; assembly: GCF_000001405.40. Lineage (NCBI taxonomy): Eukaryota > Metazoa > Chordata > Mammalia > Primates > Hominidae > Homo > Homo sapiens. The sequence goes on from NT_167248.2 coordinate 986,724, forward strand.
ACCGCTGTGTCGCGGCCCGGCCGCGGGGAGCCCCGCTACATCGCCGTGGAGTACGTAGACGACACGCAATTCCTGCGGTTCGACAGCGACGCCGCGATTCCGAGGATGGAGCCGCGGGAGCCGTGGGTGGAGCAAGAGGGGCCGCAGTATTGGGAGTGGACCACAGGGTACGCCAAGGCCAACGCACAGACTGACCGAGTGGCCCTGAGGAACCTGCTCCGCCGCTACAACCAGAGCGAGGCTGGTGAGTGAACCCGGCCGGGGGCGCAGGTCACGACCACCCCCCATCCGCCACGGACCGCCCGGGTCCCCCAGAGTCTCCGGATCCGAAATCTACCCCGAGGCAGCGGGACCCGCCCAGACCCTCCACCCGGGAGAGTCCCAGGCGCCTTTACCGAGGTTCATTTTCAGTTTAGGCCAAAATCCCCGCGGGTTGGGCGGGGAGGGGGCGGGGCTAGCTGGGCGGGGCTGACTGCGGGGACCGGCTAGGGTCTCACACCCTCCAGGGAATGAATGGCTGCGACATGGGGCCCGACGGACGCCTCCTCCGCGGGTATCACCAGCACGCGTACGACGGCAAGGATTACATCTCCCTGAACGAGGACCTGCGCTCCTGGACCGCGGCGGACACCGTGGCTCAGATCACCCAGCGCTTCTATGAGGCAGAGGAATATGCAGAGGAGTTCAGGACCTACCTGGAGGGCGAGTGCCTGGAGTTGCTCCGCAGATACTTGGAGAATGGGAAGGAGACGCTACAGCGCGCAGGTACCAGGGGCCATGGGCGCCTTCCCTATCTCCTGTAGATCTCTTGGGATGGCCTCGCACAAGGTTGGGAGGAAAGTGGGCCCAATGCTAGGATATCGCCCTCCCTCTAGTCCTGAGTAGGAAGAATCTTCCTGGCTTTCGAGATCCGGTACCAGAGAGTGACTGTGAGAGTCCGCCCTGCTCTCTGGGACAATTAAGGGATGAAATCTCTGAGGGAATGGAGGGAAGACAGTCCCTGGAATACCGATCCGCGGTCCCCTTTGAGCCCTCCAACAGCCTTGGGCCCCGTGACTTTTCTCTCAAGTTTTGTTCTCTGCCTCACACTCAATGTGTTTGGGGCTCTGATTCCAGTCCCTCGGCCTCCACTTAGGTCAGGGCCAGAAGTCCCTGCTCCCCACTCAGAGACTCGAACTTTCCAAGGAATAGGAGATTTTCCCAGGTGTCTGTGTCCAGGCTGGTGTCTGGGTTCTGTGCTCCCTTCCCCACCCCAGGTGTCCTGTCCATTCTCAGGTTGGTCACATGGGTGCTGCTGGGGTTTCCCATGAGGAGTGCAAAGTGCCTGAATTTTCTGACTCTTCTCAGATCCTCCAAAGGCACACGTTGCCCACCACCCCATCTCTGACCATGAGGCCACCCTGAGGTGCTGGGCCCTGGGCTTCTACCCTGCGGAGATCACGCTGACCTGGCAGCGGGATGGGGAGGAACAGACCCAGGACACAGAGCTTGTGGAGACCAGGCCTGCAGGGGATGGAACCTTCCAGAAGTGGGCCGCTGTGGTGGTGCCTTCTGGAGAGGAACAGAGATACACATGCCATGTGCAGCACGAGGGGCTGCCCCAGCCCCTCATCCTGAGATGGGGTAAGGAGGGAGATGGGTAAAGAGGGGAACGAGGGGTCATGTCTTTTCTCAGGGAAAGCAGGAGCCCTTCTGGAGCTCTTCAGCAGGGTCAGGGCTGAGGCCTGGAGATCAGGGCCCCTCACCTTCCCTTCCTTTCCCAGAGCAGTCTCCCCAGCCCACCATCCCCATCGTGGGCATCGTTGCTGGCCTTGTTGTCCTTGGAGCTGTGGTCACTGGAGCTGTGGTCGCTGCTGTGATGTGGAGGAAGAAGAGCTCAGGTAGGAAGGGGTGAGGAGTGGAGTCTGAGTTTTCTTGTCCCACTGGGGGTTGCAAGCCCCAAGTAGAAGTGTGCCCTGCCTCATTACTGGGAAGCACCATCCACACTCATGGGTCTACCCAGCCTGGGCCCTGTGTGCCAGCACCTACTCATTTGTAAAGCTCCTGTGAAAATGAAGGACAGATTCTTCACTTCGATGATTATGGTGGTGATGGGACCTGATCCCAGCAGTCACAAATCACAGGGGAAGGTCCCTGCTGATGACAGACCTCAGGAGGGCAGTTGGTCCAGGACCCACATCTGCTTTCTTCATATTTCTTGATCCTGCCCTGGATCTACAGTTACACTTTTCTGGAAACTTCTCTGGGATCAAAGACTAGGGGTTTGCTCTAGGACCTTATGGCCCTGCCTCCTTTCTGGCCTCTCACAGGACATTTTCTTCCCATAGATAGAAACAGAGGGAGCTACTCTCAGGCTGCAGGTAAGATGAAGGAGGCTGATCCCTGAGATTGTTGGGATATTGTGGTCAGGAGCCTATGAGGGAGCTCACCCACCCCACAGTTCCTCTAGCCACATCTGTGGGCTCTGACCAGGTCCTATTTTTGTTCTACCCCAATCACTGACAGTGCCCAGGGCTCTGGGGTGTCTCTCACAGCTAATAAAGGTGACACTCCAGGGCAGGGGCCCTGATGTGAGTGGGGTGTTGGGGGGGAACAGAGGGGACTCAGCTGTGCTATTGGGTTTCTTTGACTTGGATGTCTTGAGCATGAAATGGGCTATTTAGAGTGTTACCTCTCACTGTGACTGATACGAATTTGTTCATGAATATTTTCTCTATAGTGTGAGACAGCTTCCTTGTGTGGGACTGAGAAGCAAGATATCAATGTAGCAGAATTGCACTTGTGCCTCACGAACATACATAAATTTTAAAAATAAAGAATAAAAATATATCTTTTTATAGATACAGGTAGATATGTTTTTATAGCATGCACGTAAATGTGTGTGTGTGTGTGTGTGTGTGTGAAGAGAAAGAGTGAATAGAGAGATTAAGATTCTTTTAATGGTGAAAAGATATACATATATTTGGAATTAGCCAGCTTGACTCAGTTTAGGTGATCCCAATTTTGGTGGCAACAACCAAAGCATCGTAGTCAGGAGCCAGTCGAACATATGCCTTCCTCTCTCCATCAGACTGAATCAGAGTGTTGACTTTGGCCACATCAATGTCACAAACTTCTTCACAGCCTGTTTGATCTGGTGCTTGTTGGCTTTAACATCCACAGTGAACACAAGTAGGCTGTTGTTTTCTATCTTCTTCACAGCCTACTCAGTGGTCAGCGGAAACTTGATGATAACATGGTGGTCAAGCTTATTTCTCCTGGGGGTGCTCTTCCAAGGATATTTGGGCTGCCTCCGGAGTCACAGTGTCTTGGGCCGCCGGAAGGTGGGTGACATGTGGATCTTGTTTTTTTTGTGGCTGTGGACATCTTTCAACACTGCCTTCTTGGCCTTGCAAAGCCTTCGCTTTGGCTTCGGCTTTAGGAGGGGCAGGAGCTTCCTTCTTCGTTCTTGGCACCATCTTATGAAAAGGGTCCAGATTAAGATTTTTGACTGAGTCATTCTAAAGTAAGTTGCAAGACCCATGATACTAGACCACTAAATACTTCATCACACACCTCCTAAGAATAAGAACCAACATTATCACACCAAAGAAAATAAATAATTCCATAATATTATTTAAAGTCCTTTTATGTTCAAATATCTCCACTTCTTTCAGTACATTTTTGTACCTATTTTTTATAGCTTGTTTTCTTAAAATGTCCACTCGTTGCCTTTGGTTATGTTTCTTTAATTACCTACAATCTATAACAATCAACCCATCTTTTTTCTTTTAGAATGGCATTACCTGTTTCAGAGATGAGGCCAAATACCTGTGGAATCTTCTCCACACTGAATTTATCATATTAGTTCCCCTGATGCCTTTAACTTTTTTCCTCTAACTGCTATGCCTCCTAAGGACCTATGTAGCTCTGGGTTAAACATTTGGCAGCAATGTTTACAGGAGGAGCTGTGACCGCACATTCATCACATCAGGAGGCACACAAAGCCTAGGGTTACCAGGACTCTTACTGACCCCATACAGCCAAATTTATCCTGACTTCCCAGAGATGCAGAACCATGGGCTGGGTGTTTAGTGGGTATGAGTGTGATATTCTGGCAATAGGAGGTTCTGCCACTCTCCCCATTCCTCACGAGCTTTAGTTCCCCATACCCTGAGGTTCTGAGCTCCAGACCTTCAACCATCAGGCCAGGCCCCTCCAGACCTAGACTCCCTTCCTGTCTTCTCCAGCCCCACTCTGCTTTGTATCTACTTCTGGATCACTTTCCCTCTACAGGCCCAGCTCCTGAGTGTCTCTACCTCTCAAACAAGTATTCTCATCCAGGAGCAATTTTCCCACCAGAGGACATTAGCTATGTCTGGAAAAATGTTTTGTTGCCATGACTGGAGTGAGGAGAAGGTGCTACCAGCATCTTGTGGGGAATGACCAGGGATGCTGAACATCCTGCAGTGCACAAGTCAGCCCAATCACCCACATAACAGATAATTATCCAGCCCCAATACCAAGATTGCCAAGGGTAAGGAGGCCTGCCAGGACTTTCTCTCCCTTGAGTACAAGCTTCCTTGAACTGAGGGACACCCTGAAGGAAAAGTGTGGTCCCACCCCAGTCATCTCTCCCTTCCCTGGAGCTCCATCTGTATGCCTGTAGTGCTTAGGCCTGTAACCTGGGGTCCAGGAACCCACCTTCCCATGAGACTGCATGCAGAAGTGATGATATGTGCACACATGACTTCATTACAGGGCATTGGATATTGATATTCATCAGGTCAGCTGGGGCCCAAGACACTACTCTTCTGCCAACAGGCCGCAATCCTCTGCATTAGAGAGAGGGTAAAGATTGAGGGAGGCCCTAACTTCAAACCTTCTATCACTGCTAGTGAAGTGCCAAAAAGAAGTGCAAGGTCATCTGCCCTTGTAGGAACCACACAGGAAGGCAGAGTGTCCACCAATGTCAAATTCCATCAAAGAAATAATATTTTGACAAAAAATGCAAGTCACCTTTCTAAGTCCCAGACAGCAGCTCAAAATAAAAAGCATTAAACCCCTCAAATCTTAGACCAGGTGAAATTATTGAAGCTGCAGTAAGGTCTTGTGGGACCTGCAGTTAGAGAGAAGGGACAACTCAATTTGGGACTGCAGCAGAAACCCCTACATCATGGGGTTCCTGGAAGGGACCCTCTCCCTTCAGCGACGCATTGTGAGGCCATTTCTAGGTAAAAAGGTAGAATTTCCTTGGATTCCTGAGGTTTATTTTACACTTACTGCTTATTCTTTGACTTTATAGAAGCCAACTTCAGTTTGAACATCTTGCAATTAATTTTTTTTGGCTCTAAGTGGAGAATTTGAACTTGTTTCTGAAGAAAACCAGGGGCTCCTTATGTGAGCAAGCAACCCTCCCTGTGGCCCCCTTATGCAATAAACATAAGCCATTGTGAGCCAGCAAAATTTAAAGCAAGGAAAGCAGTAAACCCTCCATTTCAGCATGTTTCAGCCTGTCTAGTGATGTTCTAGTCTTGCCTCACTCTTAACATTTTAAAATTTATAATTTTATTTGATTTTGATTTAATAAGAATTCATATGTATTCATTTCTTTTGGGTTTGTCACCAAAAGCCTCCTCCAATCACCTGTGGAGTAAAGACAAGTAAATAAATGCATGGTGTTCCCATTTATCAGTGCTCACTGCATCTTACAAGTGTATCAGCCCCACTTCAGCTGATAGTACCAGGAAACCTTAATACCCACATACAAAATAATGATGTTGGACAAAATTCATAGCATCACCTTACACCATATTCAAAAATTAACTCAATTAACTCAGAATGGTTCAAGGAACTCAACTTAGGAGTTCAACCTATAAATCTTTTAGAAGAAAACATTGAAGAAAATCTTAGGAACATTGGATGTGGCAATGGCTTCTTGGCTGGTGAGCAAAAGCACAACCAATAAAAGAAAAACAATAAATTAGACTATCAAAATTTAAAAACCTTTTTTATATATCAAGGGACACTATTAAGAGAGTTAAAAGAAAATGCACAGAATGGGAGGAAATATTTGCCAGTTATATACCTGATAAAGAATTAATATCCAGAATACATAAAGAACTATGACTTAACAACAGAAAAACAAACAATCTCATTCAAAAATGAGTGAACAACATGAATAGACAATTCTCCAAAGAAGATATACAAATGGGCAATAGGCACATGAAAATATGCTGAACTTCACTAGTCCAAATGTTGGCGAAGATGTGGAGAAGTCACAACACTTGTACACTGCTGGTGAGAGTGTACAGTGGTACAGCGACCATGAAAAACAGTATGATGCTTCCTCAAGAAAGTAAAAACACAATTTCCATAGGAGCCAACAATTCCACTTTTGGGCATATACCCAAAAGAATTGAAAGCAGGAACTCACACAGATAATTGTACACTCATGCTCGTAGCAGCACTATTCCCAATGGCCAAAAGGTGGAAGCAACCGAGTGTCCATCGGAGGATGATTAGATAAACGACCCATGGTGCACATAGCATGGAATATTATTCAGCCTTAAAAGTGAATGAAATTCAGGTTGCATGAACCTTGAGAACACTGTAAGTGAAATGAGCCAGAAACAAAAAGACAAATATAATATTTCACTTATGTGATGCAGCTAAAATAGGCAAATTCATAGAAACAGAGAGTAAAATAGAATTTACCAGAAATTGAGGGTAGGGAGAATGGGCAGCTTTGGTTTAATGGGTCCAGTTTCTGTTGGGATGATGAAAATGTTCTGGAAATGCATATTGGTGGTGGTTACACAACATTGTAAATGTGCTTTAGGCCACCGAATTGTACACTGAAAAAGTGGTTAGAAGGTAAATTACATGGTATGTATGTTTTACCACAATATTAACAAGTATATCAACACTAAATCCAATCACTTTTCACTCCTCTCCTGCCACCACCCGAGAGCCACCCTCTCAAGAATTGTAAACCAGAAGGGCTTTCCAGCTGGGCTGCCTGCTGCCTCTCATGCCCACTGTCCATTACTCACACAAAGGCAGAGTGAGCCTCTCAAACGAAAATTAGGACATATCCTATGAACACCTCAGCCCTTTTCTTTCCTAGGCACAATGAAACCTCAGTCTCTCACCGTTTCCTACAAGCCCCTCATCATAGGACCCCTGTGGCCTCATCCCGCCATTCTCAGCCCAGCTCACTCATCTCCACTCACACCAGCCTTTTGTCACTGCTCCATCCTGTCTCTGCTACCTGCCCCTGCTGTGACTCCCACATGCACCTGCTCCCCGGGGGTCCACATGGCTCACTCCTCACACCATTCGAGTCTCTGTTCAAATGTCCCATGGTCAAGTTCTCAGAAATGTCATGCCCAGTTACCTTTTCTGAAATCTATTCCCTGCCATTCCCGCCACTCCCACCAATCTTCTAGCCTAGGTGTATTTTTTATCAGTGGCAATTATCACTGATACTGTGACAGATTCTATTTGTTTATTGTCTGTTGGTGTATCAGGGTTACCAAGACAGAAAGACCCAATAGAGTAGATGGATAGATAGATAGATAGATAGATAGATAGATAGATAGATAGATAGAGAGACAAGAGGGGATTTATTAGTGGAAATGGCTCACATAGTTATGGAGGCTGATAAGATCCATGAGAGGCCACCTGCAAGCTGGAGAACCAAGGAAGACAGCAGCCTGGCTCAGTCCAAGGCCAAAGGCCTGAGGGGCCAGAGGAGGAGGTGGGAGGATAAAGGGTTGACTGGTGCAACACTCAAGAGTCCAAAGACCATACAACCTGGAGTTCTGATGTCCAAGGGCAGGAAAAGTGTCCCAGATTGAGAGAGAGAGAGAGAGAGAAAATTTGACTCCTTTCTGCTTTTTTGTTCTATCTGGGCCCCTAGGTGATTGGATTGTGGCTGCCCACAGCGAGAGAGGATTTTCCCCGCTCAGTCACTCACATGCCAATCCCTTCCAGAAACACCCTCACAGGCACACCCAGAAATAATGTTATACCAGCTATCTAGGCATCCCTTAATCCAGTCAATATGACACCTAAAATTAACCATTACAGTCAGTATCACTGAAATGTATGTTCTTTGATAAAGGGATCTGGTCTGTTTCCTTACCATTGTTTCTCACCATCATAATCAGTAAATAGCTCTCAGTAAGTATTTGTTAAATGAATAAATATGTCAGTACAATCACAGTATGACAGTATAATAAGGCTTTAAAATGTTTAAAGCAGTCTCTTGTTTAATATTTATCACTTGAGTAGTCTATGAATTTATTTATTTTTGGAGACAAATTCTCACTCTGTAGCCTGGTCTGGAGGGCAGTGGCATGATCACAGCTCACTTCAGCCTCAACCTTCCAGGCTCGAACAATCTTCCCACCTCAAACACTGGGGTACCTAGGACTACAGGCTCATGCCACCATGCCCAGCTAATTTTTTTTTTGTATTTTTTGTAGAGACAGGATTTTGCCATGTTGCCCAGGCTGGTCTTGAACTTCTGGGCTCAGACAATCCACCCTCCTTGGCCTTCCAATGTGTTGAGATTACAGGCTTGAGGCACCGCACCTGGCCTGAGTAGTCTATGAATTTTTAAAATCCCAACCATAGGAGAATCTTTATGTACAAACATGCTTGTCAAAATATTACCTACAAAAAGATAAGATGAAAGCAGATGGATCTAAAAGAACTCAGTTACATCACCTCCTTATCTGAGATGGGATGCAGCTTGTAAAAGTGTGTCAACTTTTTAAATTTAAAAATTTTTTTAGATGGAGTCTCATTCTGTCACCCAGGCTGGAGTACAGTGGCAGTGATCTCGGCTCACTGCAACATCTGCCTCCTGGGTTCAAGCAATTCTCCTGGCTCAGCATCCTGAGTAGCTGGGACTACAGGCACATGCCTAGACTCCTGGCTAATTTTTTGTATTTTTTAGTACAGATGGGGTTTCACCATGTTGGCCAGTCTGGTCTCGAATTCCTGACCTCAAGTGATCCACCCACCTCGGCCTCCCAAAGTGCTGGGATTACAGGCGTGAGCCACCATGCCGGCCAAAAAAGCATGTAAACTTTATACAGAGTTTACAACATGGAAAACTACTTGTATAATAATACATTCAAAAAGCAACATTCAAGATAACCCATAACATATGAATGCAACCTTGTACAATAAAGATACCTATAAAAATATATACATAGAGAACAACAAAATGGGCCAGGCGCCTTGGCTCATTCCTGTAATCCCAGCACTTTGAGAAGCTGAGGCAGGTGGATCACTTGAGGTCGGGAGTTCGAGACCAGACTGGCCAATATGGCAAAACCCTGTCTCTACTAAAAATACAAAAAATTTGCTGGGCCTGGTGGCGCATGTGTGTAATCTCAGCTACTCAGGAGGCTGAGGCATGGAAATCACTTGAACCCGAGAGGCGGAGGTTGCAGTGAGCTGAGGTCGCACCACTGCACTCCAGCCTCAGTGACAAAGTGAAATTGTGTTTCAGAAACAAAAACAAAAACAAAAACAAAAACAAACCACCACCAACAAAATGGAAATCAGCACCACGCAAAGGACAGCTCCAGGGACCAACAGTCACACTGAGTCCAGGAAGGTTCAACAATACAATAGCAGTGATATTTTTGAGGGGAGACCTAGGTGGTATTTCTTCTGTGTATTTTATTTTTTTTTTAATTCAAGTAGGCATTGATCTGTGTATTTTAAAGTCTTCTGTGATCAAATAGATTTTCACATTTCTAATATTCAAAATAAAGCATTTGAAGTAAAATAACAATGAAAAGTGGCTGAGTGCACACCTGTAGTCCCAGCTACTCAGGAGGCTGAGATGGGAGAACCACTTGAGCCCAGGATTTTGAGGCTGTCGTGTGCTATTATCACACCTGTGAATAGTCACTTCTCTCCAGCTTGGACAACATAGCAAGACCCCATCTAAAATAATAGTAATACAAAGAAGTTCAGATCTCCTTCCAACCTCAGCCTAAAGCAAATTTCTCATTTGAAATCCATAGGGCAGAAATGCCGATTATGGCACCTCCAGAGAGTAGAAAAATATTCTTCCTCCACTCCATGACTCATCCTTTGGTTACAGCATTTAGCTGAGCAATGAAGTCAATGCTAAGAATACCATCAATTTATAAAATACTGATTATCTCATTTATAGACATAAAAATACTATAATTATATATATATATTTATGTAAAATTACCATCACACCTAAGACAGCGAGATGGATTTTTCCCTTCCACAGATGAAAATATGAGTCCCTGAGAACATAAAATCTTCATTTGAGCTCACTGAAAATGTTGGCCTTGAGAATTAGGAGACACTCAGTCTCCTGCAGGCCCCCTGGGCATGAGCCACACCAGTGGAGGCCACACAACAGCAGGAAGAGCAACTGAGAACCCTGGAAGGTTCACACTTGTAGAGGGTGCACATCCAGTGAAATGCAGTTGATGGATGGGCCAAGGTAATAATCCAGCTCCTTCCTTCAGCTGGGGGAGGCAGATGGGTGAGTCAGCTACGCATGAGGTGTATGGTGTTCCTAGAGCTATTGTTAGTTCCTCTGCTGTGAACTCCACCCCGGGCATACAAAAATTATATACTCACTGGTAAGCAGGATCCTTTTTAGGAAAGCAAATGACTTTCCTAACATAAGGTCAAACATTTCCCTCCAAATGAATCATCCTAGTTGGATAATCTCTTCACTCCCACTGAAATTGCCCCAGAGTTGCACGTGAGCATTTGGATCCAAGACAGAAAGTCATTTTGGGGGTTGGGTCTGGCTGATCTGGGAGTGTTGTGAAGAAAGGCTTTCTACTTACAGAAGAACAAGGGTGAGCTCTGAGTAGGAGATGACATCCTGAGGGGGAAAGACAGATGGGCAGATGCTCAAGCAAACTCAGGAGTTTACCATATAAAAGATTTTGGAATCTATTCTTCAGCCTCTTTTTTACTGTGATACAATATACATGAACACAAAATTTACCACTGTACCCATTGTACAATAGGTGTACAATGCAGTGACAATTAGTAGGTTCACAATGTTATGTAGCCATCATCACTCTCTAGTTCCAGAGTATTTCATCACCTCAGGGGAAACTCTGCACCATTAAGCAGTCACCCTCCATTTCCTCCTGCCACCAGACCCTGTCACCACAAGTCTGCTTTCTTTCTCTATAGATTGGTCTCTTCTGAAGATTTCACAAAGATGGGTTCATGAAATATGTATCCTTTTGTGGCTGATTTCCTTCACTTATCATGTTTTTGAGATTCAGCAATGTTGTAGCATGTATCAGTATTTCATTCCTTTTATGGCTAAATCATATTCCATTGTAGAAATACACTACATGTTGTTTATTCATTCATTAGTCAATGGGCATTTTCTTTTAAACCAAATAGGAAAAACAAAGGAAGAATTAAACACCAAAAATATACATGTTACTACTAGCTTTTATAGGACTACTATATATAGTACTATATATATATGCACACACACACACACACACATATAAACACCAAAAATATACATATTACTACTAGCTTTTATAGTATGACTACTATATATAGTACTATATATATAATTTCATAGTAGTACTATATATAGTTATATATATGTGGTACTATGTATAGTCATATATATGTATATATATGTGTGTATATATATATATATATATATATTTATATATATATAAAATCCATTATTTCTGAAGGAGAGTTTTTCCAGACACACAATTCCTGCATGACAGTCTTTTTTTTTCTGACCTCTAAATTTGTCAACATTCCAGTGCCTTCTGAACTCTATGGTTTCTGAAGAAAACTGGGCTGCAATCTTATTGAGGATCCATTGAACCTGAAAAGTTCCTTCTCTGTTATTCATTTCAATATGCTCTGTTTGTCATTGGCTTTTGACAGGTTGATTATAATGTTCTCTTGGTGTGGACCTCTTTAAATTTAAATTTTTTTGCTGCTTAAAATTTGTCAAGTTTGTTGGATGAATAATGTTTTTCATCAAATTTGGAAGGTTTGGAGTTATTCTTTAAATAGTCATTCTTCTCCTTTCTCTCTCTCCTTTCTTTGAGGACTCCCAAAGTGCATGTGCTTGATGTTGTCTCACAGATCTTTAAAGTTCTGTTTATTTTTCTTCATAATTTTTTTTCTTTCTGCTACTGAACTAGAGAATTTCAATTGTCTTATCTTCAAGCTTGCTGATTCTCCATTCTGCATGGTGAAATTTGCTCTGGAGCCCCTCTAGTGAATTTTTCATTTCAGTTATTGCACTTTTCAGCTCCAAACTTTTTATCTGGTCTCTTTGTAAAATTTCTACCTTTTTATTGATGTTCTCTATTTGGGGAAACCTGCAACCACCATCTTCTGAAGCTCTGCCCATGTCAAGAGGTCTGTGCATACCTCTCTCTTCCATCCCCCAGTTTTCCAACTTTATTTTGCTCAAGTTCCTGACTGACCAAGCAACCCATGAGCCACTGCCCATGACTCATTCATTCATGCACTACTGGGGCATCATTTCACACCCTCCACCTTGCATGGGCCTTTTTGGGTTTTGATTCCTAGTTCCTGGCTCAACAGCCATTTCCAAAGCTGTTCTTGTGTTAGCTCCCAAGCCTACTGCTCTTGTTGTAGATTCTCCTCTTAATGTCTGAGTCACAGCATTTATTTCATAGATTTTTAATAATTGGACTAATTTTTTCCAATGCAGCATTTCTAAGGACTTTCAGTAATGGAGATTCTATATTAGCTTAGAGAGAATTGTTTCAAAACATCAGTAATGTATACTTGAATGAAGGACAACATGCATGGAGAAAGGTGGACAAACCATAAGTGGGCCGTGGATTTTCACAAAGTGAACACTCAGGTAAATAGCAGCCACATCAAGGAATAGCATTGCCAGCCTCCAGGAAACACCACTGGGTTCTACTTGGTCATAAATCACCCTCCCCAACCCTAGAGCAGACACTTTCTTGATTTCTAATATGATAGATTAGTTCTGTCAGTTCTGGACACAGTCACTGCCATGTCCCAGGTCTTGCTGTGTGTGGTCACTATTCACTCCCGCGGCAGTCAGGTGCTCAGCTTTATAAATAGCTCACACTTCTTGTCTCTCCACTGTTGATAGACATTTGTGTTGTATTCAGAGTCTACAAATCGTGCTGCTATAAATAATATTTTCATATATTTTGGCACACAAATGCATGCATTTCTATTGGTATATAACAAAAAGTGGAATTGCTGGGTCATAGGTGATTAGAAACTTGGTTTAGTCTCTCAAAAAACAAGTTTCTACTGAATAGATAACTGGTGGAAGAGGGTAAATCTTTTATTTTAGAAATTATGCAGCTAGCATATGAAAAGAAATGAAAGACTGAGACTTTTGCAATTTGTAATGAATTAACAGATTTAGCCACTGAACAGCAATGGCAATTAACATCGCAAAAAAGAAATAACTAGTATTGAATTCTTCCTCTTGATGAAAAACATGATATAGTACCATCAATCCTCATGGCAAAAAAAAAAAAAAAAAAAACCCTGAATAGACGCAAACCTCTATAACAAACTACCAATTTACAGAAAATACAGGTCATAGAGATACATTAAACCACACCTTGGGGTGCAATCTGCAAAATGCAAAGGACAGGAAACTACCAGACAATATAAATTTCAAGCAGGAATCTATGGAATAAATGAGGATAAAAATATACTCTTAAAGGTAAAACTAAACTATAATTTTAGATGATAAAAATATAAAATTGTACAAAGAAGTGATGGCCATGTAAGCCAGGATGTGCTTTTATTTGAAGAAGAGAAGAGTTTATCATTGAGCTGGGGCAGTTGATGGGGCTTCTAGGTCAGCTGCCAAACTTCTCCCTCTCTCTGATGGTTAAAGGGTGTTTACTTTTGATTAAAGGGCACTATTTTTAGATCTTTTATCTTTTATGGTACCCGTGGGGTTTTTTATGACAAAAACACTAATAAAGAATAAAATAGTATGTGACATATGGTTCTTGTTCTGCACCAAGCCTCCTTCCCACCCTCCGCTCCAGACACTGAGCACCCAGAACTACTGGCAACCCCAGGATACTTGGCAGGGCTACCTTACATCTGGGTGTGTGTCCAGCTCACATTGCCAGAGGCAATGTCCAGGGTCTATTCTTTGAGGCCTAGATGAACCTGACAGGACACAGCTGAGGGAAAAACCTGGCCCCACTCTGGAGGCTCTGGCCATCGGTGTAGAGGGGACAGGTCCTCACCTCTCCACAGGTGCAGTTACAGTCAGAGCCTCTTCTCTGCATGGGAGTGAGGCTTGGTCCTTCCCCCGAACACGGGGACAGGGATCTCTCCAGAAGTGGAGATGACACCATTCCTCCTCTAACATGGTCCAATCTCGTGCTTGTTCTGCTTTACAGGAAAGTTGACTCATACTGGTGTCCAGTGAAGAAACCCAGGCGCATAAGAGGGACAGTTGGATCTCAGGTTTGTGCTTGATCTGGAAAAGGAAGAGCAGAGACCACTAGGAGGCACCACTGCACTGCTCATGAGCCCAGGAGGTGGATGCCCAGGCTGAGCTCAGGGTGGAGAGATGTCATTGCTCATCCTCCAGGTTCCAGGTGAAAACCCACCTGCCCAGCCCATCTGCTTCTCCCTGGTTCTTCAATTCTAGGGAGGACTGTCTTCTTCTCACCTCCCCGGACGATGCTTCTTGACACAGGAAAGAGGATGTGCTGCTAGGGTCATCATGTCCTGGTTTATTGTGTTGTCAGTAGAATGAAATCAAAATACATACTCCATAAATAATAAAATAACCCATAATAAGTAAACATTTACAATTTACTCACACCATTGAGGTTTCCTCCAGGTGTGAGCACAGCTGCAGACACACCTTGTCGCTTCAGTCAGGACACAGGACAGAGTAAAATGGGAAGAAACCACAGTCACTGCAGAAAGGGCCCCCATGGAAGAGGCCTGGCAGGGAGGCCAGCTGCCCCAGGGCCACCATATTTAGAGATGACTTCCCCTTTCTAGGCAGGACTGGGATTTTAAAATTCTTTTTGTATTCATAGTTGTTCTGAAATTGCAGGATGATGAGACCCAGCACTGGTGAGTTATACTGTCTCTTTCTTCCCTATTAAATTCTGTGCCAAACAGCACCTTCATATATTTATCTCCTCTTCCTGGAGAGAATAAAAACAATGGAAAAATTGAACCATACAAACATACTTTAAATATGTGCTGTCAGAAGTAGCTACTAAAGGATTAATTCCACCAAAGTGAGGGAAGGTTTGAAAAGAAAAACATTGTATACCCATATTCAAAGCAGCATTATTCACGATAGCCAAGACAACACACACCAACACATGAATGAAGAAAATGTGGTATATATCGACAACGGAATATCATTCAGCCTTAAGAAGGAAACCTGGTCACAGGCTGCAACAGGGATGAACCTGAAGGACACTGCTAAGTAAAATAAGCCAATCACAAAGAAAACCCAATACTGCACATTTCCATTTATATGAGGTGTCTAAACTGAAAGTAGACTAATGGCTGCTAGGGGCTCGGTGAGGGGGATGGATGAATGTTTGTTCAATGGGCATAGAGTTTCAGTGTTGCAAGATGAAAAGTTCTAGAGATCTGTTGCACAACTATGTATTTACAGTTAATACTGTACTACTGTATACTTTAAAATAGTTAAGATACCAAATTTTACATAATGTAGTTTTTGGCCCAAGGAAAAGACTAATTAGCCCTGTTACTAATTTAGGGAAAAAGTACATGAATTCATTAAAAATATATTAGTATGCGCTTACCTTAGATACAGAAAACTATGAGACAAAAAGAGAGATCCCTGCTACCCCAGCTATCACCCATGAACCAGGAAAATCAGCACCTCCTGAAACTAGACAGAAAGGCTCACAGGCCCAGCCTTGACATGTTGAATCAGTCTGCATTTTGGCTGGAACCCAGGTGGCTCCACTGCATGTAAAGCACCTTCCCAGATAGTGATGGAGGGAGATCCTAGGACAGTGACTCTGCTCCACGGGGAGAAGCCTCCAATCCAGATGGGAGCAGCCAGAAGGGCCCAGGAGGGACATTTCCAAGAAGATAAAATTAACAGAATGTCCAAAGTGTCCAACGTCTTGAAAGAATCATACAAACAAAAGAGATATCAAACTTAAATTAATGAGAGTTAATAAAATAAACAAAAACAAATACAAGTATTAACTCCAAGAAGAACCAATGTTGTACAGGCAGTGAAAAGTAGTCCAGTTGACATATGAGAGGATTAGTCATGGTAAAAGAAACAAGAGATGGCTGAACTAAACATAATCACTATATAAATATACTGGGAAGAGTGAAAGAGAACAAGTACTCTTAACTGTTGCATCCACCATTGCGCTGTGCAACAATGGGTGCATCTGAAAAAAATCAAGCAATAATAATAAAGAAATGGTAGTTAGAGATACAGAAGTAAAGTCAAAAGAATCAGCTAAAAAACTTGAAAGTGGTTGGCCCCTAGAAAGGCAGAAATTGAGAAGAGGCAGAGAGGACTCTCATTTTTCTCAAGAGATTCTGCACAAATATTTGACTCTTTCAATTATGCACAATTATAAATTTGATTAAAATAAAAACAAAAGCTTCAGTGAATATGCAAGTTTATGTCTAATGACAACCGCATTCAACAATGATATTTAAGGGTTAACTAAAATGTGAAAATACTTAAACATGAAACAGGCATGTATAAATGTGTTTTTGACACCAAACGTGAACACAAATGTGAAATAATACACCTGTAAACACATCTCTGGATAGATAGCCCACGATTGAATTCTCTACCCCACCTCCTTTACTGGTTGACCTGTGAACACAGGCAGGCAGTGGACCAGGACCCAACTAGGTTCCTTCATCCTCTTGCTTCTAGGCAGGGCTTGCATCCACTTTTGCTGCACAGAGGGCTCCCATCCCTGCCTTGGTCCGTTTCACAGGTGATCCCCTAACTCTCCCTGCCACCACTGCCTTACCTGAGTGGAGCTGAGGCTACCCTGACCAAGAAGAGCACCACCCATCTGTGCCCCAAGGCCAGAAAGTTAAAAGGAACCTCACAACAGGGTCAGGAACTATCCCACCTCCCCACTTACCAATCAGTCTGAACTGATAATGGGAGATGCTGATACTTGCTTTACTCATCCTCATTCCCAGTTCATTTATTCTTCATTAATTCAGTCCAATCTCCCCAGTGGTCACTTAACCCCAGAAGCAGACTGATCTCTATTCTTCTTAATCAGGAAAGTCCAAAGCACTCCCTGTCCTCTCCCTCATATCAGACTTCAGCTCTGCATCTGCAAGATGCAGAGGTCCTCTGCAAGGCAGGTGTCTTCCCACAGGGTCAGCCCCTAAACACTGGCTGCAGATGTCCCCCTCCATCCCTTCCCAGCCCTTTCTGTGTTGCTGTGAATCGTCCATCACCGAGAACTGGTGGGGAGATGCGGGGGAGGTGGGGAGATTTCTTTGTGCTGTGTCAAGGCATCAAGACAGACCTCTCCTTCTCTCTTGAACCTCATACTCTATCCCTTCCCAGACACTTGAAATAAAACACAGACCAGAAATGTCTACTTAAAGGGTAAATTTCTATAGTATAAAATTATGAAGACATAGTAGATATGAGGTAATGCATGAGAGTGTGACAGGGTGAGGGGACCTCAAGGTGCCAGGAAAGCTGGTCCTGGGCTCCCCAGAAGGAGCTGTAACCAGGACACTCACTCATAAATCTCATTTATAATAATAATACAATGACTGCATATGTAATATATTAAAATATAATCAAATGATAACAAAAATAATGTGGCACAGCTGCAAACCCCTCATATATACTAACGCTTTTCATCCACCCAACCACAAGAAATAAATGCTGTTAGTTTCCCCATTTCATAGATGAGGAAACTGAGGCACCAAGTGGGAAAGTGCTGGTGAGACCTGGGCAGGGAGTTGAATTCTGGCCATCTGGCTGCAGAGTGTAGCTGCCCTCAGTGGAGCCAGTAGACCCAGGAGTTGACACCAGAGACTGAAATCCCAGCTGTGCACTGCCCTGGTGGTCTCCTGTCCCAACCGGGCGTTGATCCGGGCCTTGCAGGCTCACGTGCTCTGGAGAAAATAGAGAAACCAATAAATGCTCCCCTGGGTGCAGAGTGCTGCTTTTTACTCCCTGAGGATTTCTCCCTCCTCAGTCACTCCAAAATCAGATTTACCCTTTCTCTGAGGGAAGATGATGCTCCCACATTTTTCTCCCTCCTATGGCACTTTTCCCAGCCCCTGCCAGTCCCCTCCCATGACTTCATGAAGATCAGCACTCGCCCTGTGCCCACTATGCACTCTGTAGGGACTGAAAGGGCCGCAGGACTAAATGACAAGACTCCAGAAGAAACTCAGTGCCCTCCCCTCCTCTCAAGCCTGGCCAGCTCGGACACAGTGGGAGGCCTCCCCAGAGAGAGGCCCTGGCTCCACGTACTTCCAGGCCTGGGCTGGGTCACACACAAGGCCTTTCTCTCCCTCTTTCCCCAGGCCCTCCTTTCCTGCAGAAGCACCTGCACACCAGGGCAGGCCCTGCCCACTGTGGGTTCCGCCCTCCACCTACAGCTCAGTGTTCCTCCCCTTCCAGTCCTGAGCAGGCAGCTCCTACCTGGAGAGCCCACCAGGAAGCCCAGCAGGCCTGTCAGGCCCAGGATGGAAACACGTGGCTGCCATGGGGTCTGCACCTGACCTGACCCTGGAGACCCCCTTGCTCAAGAAGGCTCTGCTTCCCTTGACACCCAGGTCCATGACCTGCACTTGGGATGCCCTGCTCCTGCCTGGTCCACTCATCCCTGGAAATCCAGCTCCACCCCAGGGCTGCTGCTTGGTGAGGCTGCAAGGCCTTCCTGTCTGGTTCCTAGCAGGGATTCCACCCAGGCCACTGCCCTCACACCCACAGAGGATCTTCTTCTTCTCCCTATGGAATAAGGGATTTCTTGAGACCCCTCAGCCTGAGGCTGCCTCCGCCCACTCTGCACCTGGGGATTGCCACAGCCACAGCCACCATCTCCCACATGGACCCTTCTAGAGAGAGAGTTTCAAATTTGAATTCCTGTTCCATTCAATATACTTTACAGCATCGGTATTGGAGGAAATCCTATTAAGAATATCCAGCTGAAATTATGAACATCTTTATTGGACATCAACATTGAAAGCAGGAATTTTGAGAAATTAGCATGTGATTTTCACAACCTTTTTCTGGCCAATGCCCCAGTGACCTACAAGGAAACCTTTACTGCCCACAGGGAACCAGAACTGACAATTCCTCTACGGCAGATGCTGCAGGTGAGAGCAGGAGCAACCAGACCTGCACTGCCCCTGCTGTGGGTGCCCCAAAAAACATGGTCCTGGGGACTGTGTTCCTGGGGGCTAGACAAGGTAACACTT
Source organism: Homo sapiens (assembly GCF_000001405.40). Taxonomy (NCBI): domain Eukaryota; kingdom Metazoa; phylum Chordata; class Mammalia; order Primates; family Hominidae; genus Homo; species Homo sapiens. The sequence continues at coordinate 1,006,212 of NT_167248.2, forward strand.
GGACATATGATGAAAACAGGGACCACAGCTGCCCTGACAAGGAGCTGGTTCCTGCTTCCCAAATGGCCCAGGGATGTCTGCTTATATACTCCTCCATAACATCTGCACAGAAACTCAGGGAGGCAGGGCCATGTGGTGGGAACCTCCAGTGATGCAGAGGACATGATACCCCCAAGATAGCTCCTGGAGGAGGCCCATGGGGAGCTGCAAAGTGGACAGAGATGGCTGTGTGCACTCAGGACCCCCCCTGTTACAAGGGGACCTCAAAGGGGCTGCACAGGCAGGCCTCCCAGTCTGGGCTTCGTGGGTCTTTTTCTTGGTGTCCTCCTGATGGCTGGAGAAACAGGAGAGAGGGATGCAGAGAGGAAGAGACTAGGGGCACCGCCTCTCCTCGGATTCCTCTCCAGTTTCTAGCTCCTCCCCAGATCACAGCCGCCTTTACTATTTACTCCCACTGAAGCCATGATCATCCAGGCCCTCAGCAATCAGCACGTGATTCTCAACTCACCCCACCTGGACGCACCGTGGTGAGCCCAAGAAACAAGAGAGACCAGGATGGGGACAGAGCAGGTGCCACAGCCCTCCCTGCTGCCCACTCCTCACCTGCAGCAGGAGGAGGCCACCGCTGGACATTTGAGGGCCGTGGCCCAGCCCTGGCTTGGGCAGGACTTAGGGGTGTAGATGGAGATGTGGCTCCCATTCCCCTCCCAAATACCCCAATGTCCATCCCCTGTTCCAGGACCTTGTTACCTACATGTCTATCTGTGCAGGAGCTATGAGGGGACCCTGCTGCCCAGAGAAGAGTCCTTCCATCTCCAGCCACTGCCCCGTTTTCTCACCTGGACTCTGCAGCTGATGTTGTCTTCTTCTTGCACCAAAGGACACAGAGAATACTACTACTACTACTGCTAATAATAATAATGACAGTAGCAATAGCAGCATACAGAATGGCTGCCATTGACTCTGAAGCACCAGGGCCTTCTCTAAAAAAAGGGCCTTGTGACACACTGAGCACGCAAAGCCACAGCCGTCCCTGCTATCCCCACCCTGGCCTGACCTCCCTAGGTCGAAACCCTTGAGAGTTGCCCCTGGCTCACCAGAGGGCACAGGGTGAGTGCTGTGATTCCCTCTGTGTCCCATGTAGCAGGTGAACCTCTGCTCCTCTCCTCGGGGAATCCTGGTGGCCATGCAGGTCTGGTAGGTCCCATTCCCATTGGGCAGGACACCCCTAGACTGCTGGGCATCCTGGCTCAAAGATGCCTCATCCTGATGCCAGGTCAGAGAGATATTCCAGGGATAGAAGATGGAGGCCAGCACATCATGGTGACATTGCCTTCTAAGGCCCCACTGTGCATCTCATTCACTGTGGGGGTCATTGGAGACAAAAGGGCAGAGCCAGTGAGGCATGTGGCCAAGCCTTTCTCCCCTCTAAGGGAGATGCAGGGAACAGGACTGGTCCTCTCTATTGTTCTGACTCTCGCTGAAACCCACACTGACCCCAGACCTTCTGCAAATCGGTCCTTACCTGGGGTCCAATTCCCCTAGGCTTGCTGGAAGATGGGCCTCAGGACTGTGGCCTCACACTCTGGGACTCCGGCTTTGATGCTGAGGAGAGGGTTGTCAGGGGTGGGCTCCTGGGTCGTGGGGCTAGGAGGTAGCTCTCCAGGATGGGCAGGCTGGGAGGCAGATGAGGCAGCCCTGGCCTTGAGGCCTTCCTTTCCTGCCTAATGCCCACCCCAGGTTCAGGCTTCTATAGGAGGACCCACTACTTTCACAGTACCTGTTTTTCTGATACCTCCAGAATTTCAGATAACACCATAGCTTTTGCATGTAGTCTGCCTGCACAGGGCAATAGTGTGTCTTGGTCTGCATGGCATTTTCCTCCCAGAAATTTGTGACATTCATAGCCAAAGTCTGAGCTCTGGAGGACCGGGGCACTGTCCATTACTGAGTCTCCAGGTTGGGAGAGAGGAAGAGCTTCCCATATGTGTAGAAATGCCTAAAGCCCCTGGTGCTGCTGGCTTCCTGATCTCACAAACCCTAATCTCCTGGAGGGAATGCAAGGCTGCCTGCCCCTACCCAGCAGTGACTTCTCCATTCCAGTCCAAGTGAGGAACTCGGACCAGGAAGGACCCCTCCCTGGCCCTCTTCCATCCCTCCCTGTGTGGGCTGAGCCCCGCTGAGCACCATTCCTCACCCCTACTCACAGCCAAATCCAGTGGGAAGAGACAGGTCCTGCTCTCTGCCCCCAACTCTCCTGGAAAAGGCCTCTCCCATTACTCTTGCCCACTGCCCACTCTCACCTCCTTTCTGGCCCTTGATATGATCCAGGGTCCTCCTGAGCTCCTGCCCATTCTCTGTCAAGTCTTCAGTCTCTGTGTCCCAGGTCTCAGCTCCCAGGACTGCTTCTGCCCACTGTCCCCGGGGCCCTGCCCTGCCTTTCTGCCTGTCACAGAGCAGGAAGAGCTGACCATCCAGATGTCCCTCAGCGAGAAACCCTGACTGCACAGATCCATCCCGGGACAGCACCGTGAGGTTGTAACAAAGACTGTGGGGCTCTGGGGAAGAGGAAATCACAGATGAAACTTCTTCCTGGAAGTAACTTCACATCAATGTTTAACACACAGGTCTGCTGTCCCGACCTTCCTGAGGAGGCAGGAAATGCACACGGGCAAAGGGACAAGAAT